>NC_000017.11:13521414-13824444 GCF_000001405.40 Homo sapiens | reverse complement strand
TTATAAGAAAATAGAAACACACAGGGAGAAGACAGTCATGTGATGACAGAGGCAAAGATTGGAGTGGTGCATCAACAAGACAGGGAGCATCAAGAATTGCTAACAAACACCAGAAGCTAAAAAAGACAAGGAAGGATTCTCCTCTGTAGTTTTCAAGGCCCTGTGGACACCTTGATTTGGACTTCTAGGCTCCGGAACTCTGAGACAATACATTTCTGTTGTTTTAAGCCCCCAGTTTGTGGTTCTTTGTTGCAGCTGCCCTAGCAAGTTAGCGCAGATGTATCACTCCCACCTCCCTTCAGACATGCTGTCTATCTTCCTCTTACTCAACACGTCAAGCTCACTTTCTCTAGAGGCCTTTATTTTAGCGGTTCTCTCCCTCCGGAAAAATGTGTGTTCCCTTGGTGTTCACAGGCTGGATCCTCTTTGCCATTCAGATGGCAGCTTGCACGTCGCCTCTTCAGAAAGGACATCTCTGAGCATCAAAACTAATGTGGCGTCACATATGACCTATTTCACACCATCTGAAACCCTGTTTTTTGAATCTCTGCTTAGGACATGACACTACATGAATTTTTTCTTGTTTATTTGTTTATCATCAGCGTGCATCACTATCATGTAAACTTCATAAAACAAAAACCTTCTCTCTCTTGTTAACTGCTGTTCCTCCTCCACCTGGAATAGTGCCTAAGTTCAGGCACTATTCCATGAATATTTATTGCACGAATAGTGCCGTGTGATCTCCCTTATAAGCCCTCCTCTCCACTGAAACTGTGCTACTTTGATTAATATCCATCCCACTTTCCAGAGTAAAATGTTTCATGAAAACCAGAATGGGATCTGCTTCCCTCAGCATTACATGTCCATCATCAAAGACAGTGTACAGGAAAATGTTTGTTGAATGAATGAGAGAATGAATGAGTGGCTAAAACTGAGAGTCATAGCCTAAAAGAGGTAGAGATGGGTAGTTGAGGAATGGACCTCATGGTAGTGATGTAGGGAAACAGGGGAAGCAGGAGGTTGAAATCACCTAGTCAAGCACCACCCCCTCTTTTTCTAGAGATGGGGGTCTCACTCTGTCACCCAGGCTGGAGTACACTGGCATGATCAGTGGACTGATATTCCATGAATATTTTTTGAATGAAGGTATCAGTTTAAAAAAAAGAAAAGATATCTGCCAAAGTGAAGCTGGTTTGAGTGACTGGACCATAGGGAATAGGCTGTGAATAATTCGACTGGGTCTTTGAGATGGAGAGGGTAGAGACCTTCTGATGAAAGGAGTAGGGGTTTTTCAAAGAAGATTACCCTCCCATGGGTGAGAAGGATCTTAGCTCATGTTGGATGTTTGACCTTTGCTAGGAGGGGACATAATTGGTTGTGTTCCATCAAGCCCACCCTTTTTCCTCTACAAATATTTGTGCTGTGAGCTCTCCCTCTCCCAGGCCTAATGGGAGAAAGGGAGAGCCAGCACACGAGCTCTGGGCCTAATGGAGACATTGCAGTGCTATTAGCACAGATGGTTGTCATATGTATGCAAATGAGAAACAAATTGAATTTGGTGTCCCCTCTCACCAGCTGTCCTATCAAGGAAGGTTCCCAGAGCAGCAAAAGAACTGCTGCTACCCCGCTAATCTGTCACCACAGATTAATTACAACAAGTACATTAATCACCATTTGTTTCTAGTACAAAGGGAAATATCTTGTTTTTCAAGTACGTCCTGTTAAAAGAAGGTGTCCAGCCTTGTAGAAACAAGGCCTGACAAGGGCATGAAGCTTCATTAGCTAGGAATGAGGGGCAAATGAAAGATGAAACACCCCAGGCTGCACGCCACCTTCAGAGCTATCTGCTAGTGAGGATTCAAGAAGGGGCCATGAGGCTGGATGCCGAGGGACAGCTAGCCAGCTCTCACTTTATTGGATGCTTAACCAGCATGGGTATCAAAAAGTTAATTTTGCCTATGGAATCTCAAAGAATCAGGAGCTGGCTAAAAGATGTTTTGATATGAATTATTACTATTATTGTTATTTGATAGAAAGAGCAATGGATGGCCGGATGTGGTGGCTCATGCCTGTAATCACAGCACTTTGGGAGGCTGAGGTGGGAAGATTACAAGGTCAGGAGATCGAGACCATCCTGGCTAACATGGTGAAACCCTGCCTCTACTAAAAATACAAAAAATTAGCTGGGCATGGTGGTAGGCATCTGTAGTCCCAACTACCCAGGAGGCTGAGGCAGGAGAATCACTTGAACCTGGGAGGCAGAGGTCGCAGCAGTGAGCCGAGATCGCACCACTGCACTCCAGCCTGGGCAACAGAGCGAGACGTTGTCTCAAAAAAAAAAAAAAAAAAAAAAAAAAAGAAAGTGCAATGGATAAAGCACTGATTTCACCTCTGGCCATGTATCTAGTTCTTGTTCAGAAATTGGATTAGACTAGTGGTTTTTCATGCTTTTGGAGGATCAAGACCCATTTGAAATTTTTTTTAAGAGACAGGATTTTGCTATGTTGCCCAGGCTGGAGTGTAATAGTGGCTATTCACAGCTGCGATCAGAGCTCACTGCAGTCTCAAACTTCTGGCCTCAAGAAATTCTCCTGCCTCAGCCTCCTGAGTAGCTGGGACTACGGGTGTGCACCACAGTGCCCAGCTTCTATTTGAAATTGTGATGAATTCGGTAGACTTTGTTCCCACAAGGTATATGTATACATAAAATGTTATATTCAGTTAAAGTAGAGTCATTGATTCTCTGAACTCTTTGTATGCGTCCATGTTAAGAAGGCTTGGAGGCTGGGCACAGTGGTTCATGCCTGTCATCCCAGCACTTTGGGAACTCCAAGATGGGAGGATTGCTTGAAGCCAGGAGTTCAAGACCAGCCTGCACAATAAAACAAGATCCTGTCTTATAACAATATATATTTTTTTAATAAGCCAGGCATCGTGCCATATGCCCATGGTCCAACTACACAGGAGTCTGAGGTGGGAGGATCACTTAAGCCCAGTAATTTGAGGCTGCAGTGATCTATGATCATGCCAGTACACTCCAGCCTGGGTGACAGAGTGAGACACCCATTTCTAAAACAAGAGTGGGGTGGTGTTTGACTAGGTGATTTCAACTTCCTGCTTCCCCTATTTCCCTACACCACCACCATGAGGTCCATTTGTCAGCTACCCATCTCTACCTCTTGTAGACCATGACTTTCACTTTTAGCCACTCATTCATTCTCTCATTCAACCAATTGAATTCTCTCATTCAGCCACTCAAGAAAACAAACATTTTCTTGCACACTGTGTTTGATGATGGGTATGTAATGATGAGGGAAGCAAGTACCATTCTGGTTTTCATGAAACTTTTACTCTGGAAAGGGAGATAGATATTAATCAAAAAGCACAGAAACACATATGAAATTTCAATGGAGGGGAGGGCTTAGAATGGAGAATCACATGGCACTATGAAGGCAAATAATAGGGGTGTTCAACCTATCTGGAGTAAAGGAGGCTTCCCTGAAGAGGTGAGGTATATCAAGATCTGAAGGATGAGGCAAAGAAGGATGTTAGAAGAGTTCCTTGCAAGCGGGGATAGAAGTGTACATGACTTGCTCAAGAAACTGAAATAAGACCAGTGCAAATGGATTTCAGAGGCTGAGGGGTAGCATGGTGAATATGTGATCAAAGAGCATGAGGGCTCTTTTGGGTCCAGCTACGGAGGCCTGTATTTATTCCAAGAGCAAAGGGCTTTAAGCAATGAAGGATCAAATCATATTTGTATTTTTAAAAGATACCTCTTCTTTGACATTAGAATTGGGTGTCGGGTCTTGTGGTGGCCTTGGCTACTGAGTCTTTTAGACCAAGAGTTGGTCACCTTGTGATTCTATACTGGATAAAGCAAAGGATTCAAATGAAGTGGCAGCCAGTGTCCTTCTGCAGAGTAGCTTCCAGTGTAATAAGTGTCGGGGAAGAATTCAAGGATTCAGTGCCATGTCAAGAACTGATAATTGCCTTTGGGTGGAGAAAAGTCAAGAGCATTTGAACCAATTTTGGCACAAATCGTATCTTCAGAGGGCTTAGGGTCAGTTTTTGAGAATTAAAAATTCGCCAATGAGATTAACAAATATGAGCAGAGGAAGGAAGATAAAAGGTATGTGTGTGTGGAGGGTATGTGTGGAAGGAGAGGAGAGATCGTCCTTGTGAATTTAAACTGCAATTCCTTTCAACTTCCAGAAGCAGCTTTTTCAAGGTTGGCCAAACAGCTTCTTGCTTACCGTTGGGTTGTTAGAAAAATGAAAAGCAGCTCTTTAAATAATTAATATAAAATTTCACATGAAGTTCAACTAATCTGTGAGACCACAATATATTAAAAGAGGCTATATATTATATGTTATGTAATATCATAATATGTATACTAATATATAATAATATATTCTTTGCCTAGCATAGGAAGTTTAAAGAAAATGGAAATTATATCTGTGGCTTTCTATAAGCAGAATCTGGTTGCTTAAAGGGGTAATAAAAATACTAGCAAAGGGAAAGCTAATTAATAATAGTGATGGTTAATTTTATCTGTCTACTTGACTGGGTTAAGGGATGCCCAGATAGCTGGTTAAACACTATTTCTGGATGTATCTGTGCAGGTGTTTCTAGAAGAGATTAGAATTTGAATCAGTGGCGTGAGTAAAGAAGCCCCACCCTCACCAATGTGGGGAGGCATCATCCAATCTGTTGAGGACCCCAAGTAGAACAAACATGCTGAGGGAGGGCATACTCACTCTCTCTTCTTGAATTGGGATGTCTATCTTCTCCTGCCCTCAGACATTGAAGCTCCTGGTTCTCCAGCCTTCAGAGCCTAAGAGTTACACCAGCAGCCCCCCTGGTTTTCAGGACTTTGGACTCAGACTTAGTTACAGGACTGGCTTCTTTATTATTAGGTCTTTGAATTCAGATTGAATGACACCGCTGGCTTTGCTGATTCTCCAACAACTTACAGTTAAGTATATTGTGGGAGGTTTTGGCTTCCATAATCACATGAAACCAGTTTCCACAACAAATCTCTTCTTGTGTATGTCTATATATCCTACTGGTTCTGAAGAACCATTAATAATATAATAAAGGATGATTTTTATAGGAATTTCATACTTAGGAATTTATCTTAATGGAAATAAGAAAAACATCTGTAAAATATATTTATCGTAAAAAAGATGGAAAAAAATCTATATGCTCCCATTCCAACAGTATTAACTAAACCAATGATAACCTATACAAATAAATACTATGTAGTAATTTTTTTTTTTGAGACGGAGTTTTGCTCTGTCACCGAGGCTGGAGTGCAGTGGCGCGATCTCGGCTCACTACAACCTCCGCCTTCCGGGTTCAAGCGATTCTCTGCTTCAGCCTCCCGAGTAGCTGGGATTACAGGCACTCACCACCACGCCCGGCTAATTTTTTGTATTTTTAGTAGAGATGGGGTTTCACCATCATGGCCAAGCTGATCTTGAACTCCTGACCTCGTGATCCACCCACCTCGGCCTCCCAAAGTGCTGGGATTACAGGTGTGAGCCACCACACCTGGCCTATTATGTGGTAATTTTAAAGGAATGATTGAGATATAGATGTACTGACATAAAATATGTCTATGATATAGTCAGTGGGGTGACCAAAATAGACTTCAAAATATTTATTTTGTAATTCCATTGACTTAAATAGATGTTTGTAGAAGTCATCAGATGGGGACCCCATTCTCTTTCTGCTTTTTTTTTTTTTGAGACGAAGTCTCACCCTTTTGCCCAGGCTGGAGTGTAATGGCATGATCTCGGCTCACTGCAACCTCCGCCTCCCAGGTTCAAGCAATTCTCCTGCCTCAGCCTCCCGAGGAGCTGGGATTACAGGCACATGCCACCATGCCCTGCTAATTTTCTGTATCTTTAGTGGAAACGGTGTTTCACTATGTTGGCCAGGCTGGTCTTGAACTCCTGACCTCATGATCTGCCCGCCTCGGCCTCCCAAAGTGCTGGGATTATAGGCATAAGCCACTGCACCTGGCCCAATGCTGCTTATTATCTGGACTCCATCTCCTCTTGCTTTTGCAGGGACGTTACTGATATGGTTATTATACTTTTCTTATTTGTTATAAAATTACTCTTTTCTATTGGATCACTCCCATCAGCACAGTAAAAAGCTCCCATTCTCACATCCTATAGCAGCTGCTGCATCATTTACACTCATCAATTCAGTACAAAACTCAAGAATGTTGCTATAATGACTGTTTCCACCTCAACTCACTCTAGGCTGATTTCTGTCCCTACCACTCCACAAGGAAACTGCCAAGGTAACAAACTACCTTCAGACTGCCAAATGCCTAGGTCACTTCTCTGGCCTCATCTGATTCACTTGGCAGGATTTGATACCATTAACCTGGCCTCCTCTCAAATCACTTTTATCTCTGGCTTTCCTTGTCTTTTCTAGCTTCTACTTCTCAAACTGATGTCTAATGTTGAGTGCTTCAATGTTGGTCCAGGTTCCTCTTTGCTCCCCTGGATCATCTGTTCTCAACTCTACCTGCTCATTAGCGTCATCCAGAAGGTTTCTAAATGCAGTGATAATTTCCAGGCAAGGGGAATTAGAGTCCCTGGGACTGGAGCTCTGGCTGTGGCTGGTTTCGAAATCATCATGGATGATCCTTACATGCACTCAGGAATGAGAACCACTGCCCTACGTGGTCTCATTTGTTCCACAGTTTTATATAGTATCATCACTATGCTGAATTACTACTGAATTTATATCTTCAGCCTCTGGATGGAACTCCCTAAATGACCTAGGTCAGCTGGGTCTGAAGGAAACTCAGTGTCTCTTGATGGCACTACCCTTGCCTTTGGTCTTGGGGTGGGTAATAAGCACCATCATATCAAGAGAACCACACTGGGTCCTACGTCCTATGACATCCTGTGAATGTGTGCATTACACACTTGCATTTAAGAGCAGAACTTCTTTTTAAGGAACTTTCGCACAGATTGCACTGGTCTCCTAACACCATTATCTCAACAATGATGTATAATTTTCCTTGGACAGAAGATGAGTGAAAGCAATTTTGCTTTAATTCCAAATCCAAATTGGCTGTAGAAGCACCTGTCATGCTACTCTAAGTTTACACAGGCCCGTATATTGTTTGTCCCAGTATTCACCTACACACTCCTCTCACCCCAGCCATCAATGATGCCAAGCAAATTCTCCTTTGGTGGCTTTGCCATTTCATACTGTTAAGATCTGCATTAATCTCTCCTCTAGCCATTCCTTATCATCTCAAGCCAGATTCTCAGTGACATTCGTTAGTTATTTTCCTGAGTTCATTTCATATTCACTCCTATACCCTTGTGTATGATTAATTTTTTGTGTCAACTTAACTGGGCCATGGGTTGCCCAGATATTGGGTCAAACATTATTCTAGGTGTGCCCAGAAGGATGGTTTTGGATGATATTCATATTTGAATCAGTAGACTGAGTAAAGCAGATTAACTTCCCTAACATGGGCAGGCCTTATCTGATCCTTTGATGGCCCAAATAGGACAAAAAGTCTGATCCTTCTACAAATAAGAAATAACTCTTATCTGACTGCCTTTGAACAGAGACATGTTGGCCCTTCCTGGGTCCTGAGTTTGCAGACCTTTGGACTGGAACTATACCATTGGCTCTCCTGAGTCTCCAGCCTGCTGGTTGCAGATCTTAGGATTTGTCAGCATCTGTAATCATGTGAGCCAATTCCTTACAATAAATCTCTAGGTATAGATATAAATACAGATATCTCCAGTGAGTTTTGTTTTGTTTTGTTTTTTGTTTTCCTGGAGAATCCTGGGCAATGCCCCTTGTCTCTGGCAACCACTGTTTCAGCATTTGACAACATCATAATTTTTTTTTTTTTTTTTTTTTTTTTTGAGATGGAGTCTTGCTCTCTCACCCAGGCTGGATGGAGTGCAGTGGCGCAATCTTGGCTCACTGCAAGCTCTGCCTCCCGGGTTCACACCATTCTCCTGCCTCAGCCTCCTGAGTAGCTGGGACTACAGGTGCCCGCCACCACGCCCAGCTAATTTTTTGTATTTTTAGTAGAGACAGGGTTTCACCATGTTGACCAGGATGGTCTCGAACTCCTGACCTTGTGATCCATCTGCCTCAGCCTCCCAAAGTGCTGGGATTACAGGTGTGAGCCACTGCACCCAACCCATAATTTTTGAAGGCACTCATTCACTCACTTTCTTATCTGATTCGATAGTGGGGATCCACTTATCCCTGTACTTCCCTTGCGGTTTCAGCCTCCCTTCCAGTGCTCTTCTACCACCTGGATTACTGACCTTGAACCATTGCAAACCCTCTTCTCACTCCTCTGCCCCACAGAGGTTTCTTTGGGACTGTTACCTGATCAACTCATACCATCACACTTCTTTCTGCCACTGGCATGTCCATTTCTATATTCTAGCCTCTGTAGACTTCCTCACTTGGTTGGGTTCATGTCACAGATAGTTTCTGTCTCTAACATTCTGAAGGGAAGTCTCAAAGTCAAAGATTCCTAGATGCTTGGATTTCAGTTATCTGAAATGTAGGTTGAACCTTATTATGTGAATCATAGGAAAATAAAATGTCACAAGAGAGAATCAAAGATACGATTGCTGGCCGGGCGCGGTGGCTCATGCCTGTAATCCCAGCACTTTGGGAGGCTGAGGCGGGCAGATCATGAGGTCAAGAGATCAAGACCATCCTGGCTAACATGGTGAAACCCCGTCTCTACTAAAAATGCAAAAAAATCAGCCGGGTGTGGTGGCACACACCTGTAGTCCCAACTACTTGGGAGGCTGAGACAGGAGAATGGCATGAACCCCGGGAGCCGGAGCTTGCAGTGAGCCGAGATCACGCCACTGGACTCCAGCCTGGGCGACAGAGCAAGACACCATCTCAAAAAAAAAAAAAAAAAAAAAAAAAGATTGCTGTGATTGGTGTCCTATGAGCTTGTACAAGTGAAAGACAAGGCATGGTATAGTGAAGAGAATTTAGATTTCCAGATCGGGAGAGTATAGTCTGGATACTTTTCTAATTACCTGTCATTACCTGGCTAAGCACTGGTTTCCTCATTGATAAAATAGCCACATTGAAGTCTGCCTGCCAGTATTGTATCAAGAGAGATTACATAAAAGGCACACGTAGGAACTCCCATAAATGAAGTCTTCTCTCTTTTCCCCTTGTCTTTCCGTATCTCTTGGAATGCTGCAGACAGCAGTACTGTCCTGCACAGAAGAGCCTGGTGGTGCAAGCATTCACTTGAGAAGGAGGCAGGGACCACAGAGACAGAGTTACTTTTCCTGCCTTCCTGTTCAGGCCTCTCCAGACTCTAGAACTAAGTCTAAAGGAAACATGAGTGGGTCCCATACATGCAGAATGACAGGGAGTCTTGGCTTCTTCACCTCTTCTTTCCTGTGTGGGCTTCGTCGTGTGTCCTAAGAAACTATCACTCTCAGGCAGTGCATAATCCATCTTCTCAAAGCCTTTTTTTTTTTCTGTAGAGACAGAGTCTTGCTCTGTTGCCCAGGCTGGAGTGCAATGGCACCGTCTCGGCTCACTGCAACCTCTGCCTCCCGGGTTCAAGCAATTCCCCTGCCTCAGCCTCCCAAGTAGCTGGGACTACAGGTGCGCACTACCACACCTGGCTAATTTCTTTTGTATTTTAGTAGAGATGGGGTTTCACTGTGTTGCCCAGGCTGGTCTCAAACTCCTGAGCTCAGGCAATCTGCCCCCCTCGGCCTCCCAAAGTGCTAGGATTGCAGGGGTGAGCCACCGCGCCTGGCCCCAAGCCTCTTTTTAAAGGATTTTTAAAAGCTTGGCTTACCTGTGCCTTATTGAACTCTTAGAAAATAATTTTTTTAAGATGTACTTTTCTTTTAATTAACAAATAATGATTGTATATATTTATGGGGTACAACATGATGTTTTCATACAGGCATACACTGTGTAATGATTAAATCAGGCAAATTAACAAATCTGTTACCTCACATATATTCTTTTCATTTCCTTATGGGGAGAACATCTAAAATTCATTATTTTAGCAATTTTGAAATACATAATACATTATTATTAATTATAGTCCCCATGTCGTGCAATAGATCGCTAGAATTTAGTCCTCCTGGCTCACTGAAAGTTCATATGCTTTGACTTACATCTCCCCTTACCCCATCCATCCTGACCCCCAGCCTCTGCTAACCACCATTCTACTCTCTATTTTTTTATATTCCACATATAAATGAAATCTTGTGGCATTTCAATTTGCTCATAGCAACACCTACCACTTATCAAACACTTACGATGTGCCCGCCATTTTAAACTATCTCATCAACAATCCCCACAAAAACCATGCAAGAGAGGTGGAGGCTGTTGTTAGCTCAAGGTCACGTGGTTGATAAGAAGCAGAGCAGGAATGTAAACACAAATGTGTGATTTCAAAAGTGTGCCCTCTCCCACCAGTTTTATACTAAACTCGCCTATCACTGCCCCGTCCTCCTCACATTTCTTCCTGTTTGTAAGTTACCTCCCACTAAAGCCCCTGCTGGAGATATTACAGGGAATGGGTTTATATTTGTGTTATCTCATCCTCCTGGCTACCCGTTGAAAAAGAGTGGAGCTTGGATTTAGGGGAAACCAATTTATAGACTAGGCTATAACTAATCAACCCATTTGCCACTAGAAGTTGAATTCTGCGACAGAGGACTGTGGGTTGGGTGCTGAGCGGACAGCGAACTTGGGCTATGTACAGTAGAAGAGGTCGCAGTGTAGGGAGGAGACTGGAGCTGAGGCCAGGGAAGTACCCACAAGGAGAGGCAAGGAGGATGCCTCACAATTCTTAGCACGTCCTCCTGTGCTTCCCACCAGCTCGACTGCTCAGCTGGTCATCTCTGTGTCCCACCTCTCACTGTGTTCCACACAGAGACGCCCAGCTGAGCAGTATGGTTGGTGGGAAGCCAACGAAACTCCACGCTTCCCGGCCACTCCCCGTACATACTGTCTTAAAGTTAAAATACATATTTTAAATAGGTAATGCACTCACAGATTCAAAATACAAACTCTGAAAAATAGCATATGGTGAACCTTAGATCACTCCTCCTCCTCACTGCCCGTCAGCCGGCCACCCTTATTCCCTGCCCAGATACGGACTGCTATCAGTTTCCTTCCTACACAAATATATCTGTGTAGAGGTACATCAGTATCAACATAGATTGTTTCGGTGGGCATAGACAGTAGTATATGAGACCTATTTTTTTTTTTCTTTTGCACTTCGCTTTTTACTTTCAATTGTAAACCGTCAAGTTGGTTCCTTATTAGTATATTCAGAGCTGTTTCCTTTTAAAAACACATTGTGGATCGGGCGCGGTGGCTCAAGCCTGTAATCCCAGCACTTTGGGAAGCCGAGGCAGGCGGATCACCTGAGGTCAGGAGTTCGAGACCAGCCTGGCCAACATGGTGAAACCCCGTCTCTACTAAAAATACAAAAATTAGCCAGGCGTGGTGGTGGGTGCCTGTAATCCCAACCACTCGGGAAGCTGAGGCAGGAGAATGGCTTGAACCCGGGAGGCAGAGGTTGCAGTGAACCGAGATCGTGTCACTGCACTCCAGCCTGGGCCACAGAGTGAGACTCCGTCTCAAAAACAAACAAACTAACAAAACCATATTGTATCCATTGTATCACTACCTCAAAACATTTAGCTCCCATCCTACTGATAAATATTGAAGTTGTTTTAATTCTTTTGCTACTGTAAACAATGCTCTAAAACACTTGCGTGTGTGTTATTTCAACAAGTGCTTGAGTGTATTTTACGGCTACATTTCTAGAGGTAGAATTTTGGAATCAAAGGCAGATGTACTTTGGTTTTTGAGTTATTGCCCACTTGCTGTCAATAGCACAGTTTTCACTCTCAGCAATGTGAATACCTTTCTCCCTATGTTTTTGCAAGACAGTGGATTATCCAATATTTGCTCTATGACCATTTAATAGTTTAAAAAATTGGAATTTTATTTTGATTTTTCTAAGTATGAGTAAAGCTGAGCATCTTTTCAAAGTTTTAAAGCCATTTGTCTCTCCTTTTCTAAAATATCTATTCATAATCTTTGCCCATTTTTCTCTTATGCTCTTTGTCTTCTTTTCCTGTTGAGTTTGGGGGCTTTTTGTATATTAATAAATTATTATTTCTTGCCAGAGGAAGCATATTTTTCCTCTTAACTTTTCTTTGTTTTTATGGATTTTTTTTAATGTAGAAATTTTACTATATATTCTCAGTGGTGTGGTGTTTCGGCTTTTCCTTTTATGGAATGCTCTTTCTTACATCAAAAACAGCAATTTTTGGCACCTGTAGTCCCAGCTACTCGGGAGGCTGAGGCAGGAGAATGGCGTGAACCCGGAAGGTGGAGCTTGCAGTGAGCTGAGATTGCTCCACTGCACTCCAGCCTGGACGACAGAGCGAGACTCCATCTCAAAAAAATAAAAATAGAAATAAAAAACAGAAATAGCAATTTTTAATTATTTCTTTTTAATATTTGTATCTTTGATTAATGTAAAATTTATTTTAGTGGAGGCAGGGATTTTTCTGTTTTCCTTATTCTTTTGACTGGTTGGCTGATTTTGGCTTATTTTATGAGTTATAAGATGCCAGGTTGATAATATTTATTTATTTTTCTTTTTTTTAGTTCATTAATATAGTTAAAGATGTTTCTCTGAGTTCTGCTTTAGCTGTATCCTGCATGTTCTGGTATATAGTAGTTTCTTATCTTTATTTTTCTAGTTCTTTGTAATTAACTCAACATTTAAAAACATGTTTTAACATTTCCAGATGGTTGAGTATTTTTTTACCCCTAGTTTTGTAATTGCCTTTTAGTTTTATTTCACTGTGATCAGAGAGATTTCTAAACTATTTTCTCTTGTGGGAATTTACTGAGTTTTACTTTCTGACCTCATGATCAGATTTTTCCCAATGATTCATAAGTACTTACAAGGAAGATACCTCTACCTCTGTCTCTAAGGTAGAGAGGTAACTATATATCAGTTTTGTCCATATTATTATGTTCCTTGAGTTTCTTTATCCTTTTTTATTTTTATTTTTTGTTTAGTTTCTCTTTTATGGATTTGGAGAGGTGAAATAAAGTCTTCTATTATGATGTCTGTCTACTTATCTAGTGATTTCCTGTTCATTTCCTGTATGAATAATAATGCTATTATTTGGTACACAATTATCAATAACTATTAGATCTTCATTGTAAATTGAACCTATATTATTGTAAAGGGTTCTGCTTTGATTCACTGAAGTCTTTTTGCCTGGAATATAATTTTATCTGTTAAGATTATGAGCAGTTCCTTCTTTGAATTTTATTTGCCCTTCTCTATATTTTAACCTTTCTGGGTTGAATTTTTCTGCTTTTAGTGTGTGCAGTTTTGTGTGTGTGTGTGTGTGCATGTGTCTGCTTTACTAATTTGGAAAATTTTTATTTTAGTTTAAGAGTTACTGTTTTAAACATTAAGATGCGTATTTCATTTAGGTATTTGTATTTGACATTTACATATCTATGTAAACATTGTAATATCTACAGATAACAACAAATTGGCCTATGACACCTTCTTTATGTTTTGCCCTTAACTTCTACCACTCAATTTTAGTTGACTTTATTTTTTTCTATTGTTTAACTTATAATTGTTAAGTACATTTATAGCTCAATTACTTGATCTATCATATTTAAATGCTAACTTTTTCTTCCTCCCCACAGATGCATAACTTTTGTTAGGGATTTATTTCTATATTTTTGGGGGTTCTAATATTTTCATTTTACACTGAACCACTAACCACTTTTGTTTTTATCCTACAATTCCATTGTCCTTTTGCCATTTTTTTTTCCCATTTATCTCCAGTTAGTTGACATGTATCCTCTGGTAGTTCATGTTTTTGGAGATATCAATTATTTTATGTTATATATTGTATCATGCGTGTCTTTCTTCTCTGTTGTTGTCTTTTCCATGTTCAAATTTTGATTATTCCATTTAATTTTCTTTGCTTTCCTCATTTTTGTTCTCTATATTTCTTTATATGTTCACAGCAGTGTTTATCCTTCTATATGCTGCTTCTAATGTGACCTTTAAGATTTTTTTATCTTTTATTTTTCCTAAGCTTCCAACTTATGTTTTATTTCCTTCTATCAGCTCACTTATCTTCTGTGAGCCCTTGTATCTCAACGTTTTGCCTTCTTGTTTCTGCTTTCAGACTGTAAGCAATGTGGTTTATTTAATGCCACATTTTTCACATTTTTGAGCTTTTGGTTGATGTATGAGTCCATTTTCGCACTGCTATAAAGAATACCCCAGACTGGGTAATTTATAAACAAAAGAGGTTTCATTGACTCAGTTCCACATGGCCGGGGAGGCCTCAGAAAGCTTACCATCATGGCAGAAGGCGAAGGGGAGGCAGGCACCTTCTTCACAAGGCAGCAGGAGAGAGAGAATGTGAAGGAGGAACTGTCAGAAACTTATAAAAACATCAGATCTCACGAGAACTCACTATGATGAGAGCAGCATGTGGGAAACGGCCCCTATGATCCAATCATCTCCCACCAGGTACCCTCCTTGACACATGAGGATTAGGGGACTACAATTTGAGATGAGATTTGGGTGGGGACACAGAGCCAAACCATATCAATTGGTGATTTTGCCATTTAAAATGGCCACCAAACATAGTGCTGAAGCACTGTCTAATGTTTCTTTTTTTCTTTTTTATTTTGAGACGGAGTCTTGCTATGTCGCCCAGGCTGGAGTGCAGTGGCGTGATCTCGGCTCACTGCAAGCTCCGCCTCCCGGGTTCACGCCATTCTCCTACCTCAGCCTCCCGAGTAGCTGGGACTACAGGCGCCCGCCACTATGCCCGGCTAATTTTTGTATTTTTAGTAGAGACGGGGTTTCACCCTGTTAGCCAGGATGGTCTCGATCTCCTGACCTCGTGATCCACCCGCTTTGGCCTCCCAAAGTGCTGGGATTACAGGCGTGAGCCACCGCTCCCGGACTGTGATATGCCTTACAGAAAAAAATACATGTGTTTAGATAACGTTTGTTCAGGCATGAAGTATCATGCTGTTGGCCATGAGTTCAGTGTTAATGAATTAACAATATACAGTCGATCCTTGAACAAATCGGTTACGAAGGGGACTCACCCTTTGTGCAGTCGAAAATTGATGGATACTTTTTGACTTCCCCAAAACTTAACTACTAATAGCCTACTGTTGACTGGAAGCCTTAGTGATAATATAAACCGTCAATTAACACACATTTTATATGTTATAGGTATTATATACTGTATTCTTACAATAAAGTAAACTAGAGGAAATAAAATGTTATTAAGAACATCATGGCTGGATGCAGTGGCTCATGCCTGTAATCCCAGCACTTTGGGAGGCCAAGGCAGCAGATAACCTGAGGTCACGAGTTCAGGACCAGCCTGACTAACAGGAGAAACCCCGTCTCTACTAAAAATACAAAATTAGCTGGGCGTGGTGGCACATGCCTGTAATCCCAGCTACTAGGGAGGTTGAGGCAGGAGAATTGCTTAAACCCGGGAGGCAGAGGTTGCAGTGAGCCGAGATCGCGCCAACAATAGTGAACAACAGCGAAACTCCATCTCAAAAAAAAAAAAAAAAAAAAAAAAATCATAAGGAGGAGGGGAAAGAGGAAAAGAGGAAGGGTTAGTCTTGTTGTCTCAAGTGGGACAGAGGTGGAAGAAAATAGGCATATAAGTAGATCTGTGCAGTCCAAGCCCACGTTGTTGAAGGGCCAACTATATGTTACATAAAGTCTACACATAAAGTTGTGTATTGATTGGTTGATGAGCATATCGTGACCAGAAGTTTGCAGGAGCCCAGCTCTGTATCTCCCCTAACAGTGGTTCAGTATTTGGTAACTCAGCGTTTGCAGTGACTTTGTAGACCATAGCTGCTATGAACAAGAACCAACTGTACTGTTACTTTAAGTTACTGATATTTCCTGGTTACATGAAAGACAGAGTTTGTGACCATATTTCTTGTTTTTTTTTTTTTTATTGTTCCCTTGTTGCTTTGGGGTGACTTGTGAGAAAAGTAGGGGTATCTTGCCAGTTGAACACTGTGAATATTATTTTTATCAGAGCTTTTTGAAGGTTTACTTTATTAGGCAAAGTTATACTGACTTCATGTTTTAAAGAGCAGGAGGGTGCCAAGTGGGAAGCTGAGGTTCAGAGAACAGACAGCAAGAGAGGATGAAACCCAAAAGATGGCAGCCAAGACAGGAATCAAGTCCCCAGCTCTGGGTGAGTGCAAAGCCTTTTGAGTAAGTCCTAGCACATGAGTATTTGGGAATCAGGTAGCTTAAAGTCTCACCCTGCCTCTGCCGGTTATTATTTCTGTGAGACTGAAAAGTTATTGCTCTGGGGATCTGTTTCCTCTTTGCAAACTTTGATCATAGAATTCTTGAGAGGTTCTAACAAGATTATATATGGAAAGTGTCTGGTGCACAGTAGGCCTCAGCATTCATGAGTTTACACCTCATTTACTTGGGAAGAAAGGGCATGTGGAAACACTTGTATACCTGCATTTCTGATTACTCTCAGAATCGGTTTATGGCCCATGCTCAGAAAAATCAACCTCCAAGTCACACTTGTTTATTACCCAAACTGCTATTCAATTGCTTGATTACCCTTCTTCTCAAGGCTTGGTATTAAATAGCTCTTAGCTATTTTCAAAATCAAATCCACTTGGAGCAAATGAAGATTTGCCACCAATATCAGTATTGTAGAGGGAAGACACGCTGTGAGTGTTGACGGCTCAAAGAATTCCAGAGTTGGAGACATCTATACCAAGATGACATCCCTGGTTCTGCGCAGCCTCACATAGATCCCACTTAAAAGAGGACAGCATGTATCTGGGTGCCAATGTCCTGGCAAGTTTATTCCTTAAAAATCAGCTCAGTTACCGGAGCATTACACTTGGTAGGTCTCAGCTGGAGGGGCCCAGTCATAGGTGCAGAGGGCTTTCCTGTGATGGGGCCAGGACTGGCGAAAGGAAGCAGGAATACCCCTGGTGAGAGGCCTCTGCTACTCCACTCACCACGCTGGTGAGCAGGCTGGTGGATCAGACATCTCTGGAGGCATCTGCTTTGGAGCCCTCACAAGGGGAACTCAGGAATACCAGGGCTTTCTCCAGACATGGTGTGATTGTGCTCTGGTAGGGAAAGTTTTGGTTACTCTGTGCTGTGACCAAGAATTGAAGTTACTGAGTGGAAAGAAGTAAACTGACAAAAAATGAGGGTCAGGCAGTAGATTAAGAATTAGAATGATGCCGAGTGTGGTGGCTCACACCTGTAATCCCAGCACTTTGGGATACTGAGGCGGGTGGATCACCTGAGGTCAGGAGTTTGAGACCAGCCTGGCCAACATGGCAAAACCGTGTCTCTGCTAAAAATACAAAAAGAAAAATTAGCCGAGCATGATAGCACGTGACTATAGTCCCAGCTTCTTGGGAGGCTGAGGCAGAAGAATCGCTTGAACCCGGGAGGCAGAGTTTGCATGAGCCAAAATTGCACCACTGCACTCTAGCCTGGGTATCAGAGTGAGACTCCATCTCAAAAAGAGAAAAAAAAATTAGAATGAGAGCTGGGGTCCTGCACTTGTGTCTCCCTGTAGTAGAGTTTGATGCAGCTGGGGAGGGGTCATGGAAAAAGCCCCAGTCAACCCTCTGGCCATGTTGCCTGACAGACACCTGTGACTGTTCTGTATTCTGCGTAACCATTTCTCATTAACGTTCATCTTTTTGGCCTCCTCTTCCCACTGTGTCCTAACAATGATGATATGATTTATCTTCACCTCCCAGAAATGGCCCAGGAGTTATAAATGGTGCTTTCCACAGCTTATCAATCTTTGGGATTGATCAATTGGTAATCCCACCGACTGGTAAGCTGTGGAAAGCACCCTGTGTAATTTCTGTCAAGTGGACACTGTTATTAATTCATTTAACACATGCGGTAACTGAAGCTTGGAAATGCTGAGTAACTTATCTGAGGCCACACAGCTGGTGATGGCAAAGGTGGGGCTCACATCTAAGTCTGTCTGGCTCCCAAAGCCCAGGCCTGTTCCACCATAGCAGACTACAGTGTGGCACTGCAAATGCGGGTTGGGCTAACAAGCACCTCATATCCTGGCTGCATAGGAAATCCTGTGGGCTTTTAACTGATTTTTCAAGTCTGCGATTCATCTTCTCGGTTGTCACTGAGCTGTGCTCAGCTATGATGTCTACCTGGAGGGAGAGTCTTCTTACCTTTGTTTGAAAGTCTTCATCTTACTCTGGAGGTTAGACCCTTCTTGTTTATACAGGGAATGGGTATAGATACTTTCTGGGTGTTTGAAATGAAGTATGAGAAATTGGCTTTTCAAGTAGGGGACTGCATTGCCCATCAAGAACACTTTAATGATATTTTGAATTGTAAAAACACCAAATTATAATAGCTCAAGAAAGGGACTTGAATGGAATGATCTTGGGGTAGTTCCCAAAACCAAAAGAGAAGCAGCTAAGCCTCAAGAAGAAATTGAATGTCTCTGGGGAAGACCGAATATGTTATCTTTCTCTCTTTCCCTCCCTCCTTCCCTCCCTCCCTTCTTTCCTTCTTCCCTTCCTTCCTTCCTTCCTTCCTTCCTTCCTTCCTTCCTACCTTCCTTCCTTCCTACCTTTTCTTCTATCATGCATCTATCTTTGATTTTTGAATATGTTGGTTTTATTCTTCTTTCTTGTTATAGACTAGTGGTTCGCAAAGTGTGGTATCCAGACCAACAGCATCAATGACACCTGGAAACTTGTTACAAATGCTGATTTCCAGGCCCTATCCCAGAAACAGAGGGTGGGAGTCAGCAACATGTGTTTTAACAAGGCTTCTTGGTGATCCTGGTAGGGGTAAAATGCCTGTAAAGATTCAGAATGATCACTATGGGCTACATCTCTCTGCTTTCTACATGACAGAAAATAGCCAGTGATGTTACATTGCTGTAGGTGCTGTTAATATTCATATTTTACAGATGAACGACAATTTTTAAAACTTGCTTGAGCTGACACAGCTTGTAAGCAGGATAAGAATGTAGGCAATCTATCCCAGCACTTTGGGAGGCTGAGACGGGCGGATCATGAGGTCAGGAGATCGAGACCATCCTGGCTAACACGGTGAAACCCTGTCTCTACTAAAAATACAAAAAAAAAAAAAAAATTAGCCGGGTGTGGTGGCAGGTGCCTGTAGTCCCAGCTACTCAGGAGGCTGAGGAAGGAGAATGACATGAACCTGGGAGGTGGAACTTGCAGTGAGCCGAGATCATGCCACTGCACTCCAGCCTGGGCAACAGAGCAAGACTCTGTCTCATTAAAAAAAAAAAAAAAAAAAAGAATGTAGGCAAATTGACCAATAATGAATCCTACCTCTATAAGTTGTCCACTATGAAGGGCAGCACATCTTGTGGATGGTTTGAATATGAATGAGGTGATATCTGAAATCTCATCCATCTGCAAGATCACAGACTATCTTTGGACATTTGATGTTTTAAAATATGACCAATGTGGCTAGGCGTGGTGGCTCACACCTGTAATCCCAGCACTTTGGGAGGCCAAGGCAGGCAAATCACAAGGTCAGGAGTTCGAGACCAGCCTGGCTAACAGGCTGAAACCCTGTCTCTACTAAAAATAGAAAAAATTAGCTGGGTGTAGTGGTGGGCGCCTGTAATCCCAGCTACTCAGGAGGCTGAGGCAGGAGAATTGCTTAAACCCGGGAGGCGGAGGTTGCAGTGAGCCGAGATCGCACCACTGCACTCCAGCCTGGGCGACAGAGTGAGACTCTGTCTAAAAAAAATAAAAATAATAAAATAAAAAAAAATTGACCAATGCATTTTGTACTGCAGAGTGAAATAAGAAAGGTGCTGGCATGTGGGATTCTCAATACAGATTGTTTTCTGAGACACTAGAGCATTTGAAATTGACTTTGGCTGGGATCAAGTCCAGCTGGACAGAGAGGAGTAAAGGCATTTTAACTACCCCTACCAGGAGAAACTATAAATGAAGACTGGAGATAACATGTTCCAGACTCTTAATCATCGGGGGCTCCAGATGGGAGACTTGACTTGGAAACACAGGGCTTTCCTCTTACATTTCACTGTCTAAGCCCCTCCTTGGCTTTAAGGTATGCACACTAGCAGTCTAAGGTCTGCTGTCCTGAATGCACCCCTTTTTTATATGTATAATTATAATTCCCAGGATTTTAACTATGAGGGGAAGCCATTCCAGAAGAAACGATGGAGTTAAGAGTTTGGCATTGTCCAGCTTAGTCGGCAAATTTGAACAACCTTTTTCTCTTTTAAAGACTTTAGTCCTTTTCTTTATCCTCTCAACTCTGCCCTTCCCAGCCTCTTTCCTGGTGTTCTAAAAATGTTCAATTTCTGTCCTTAGAACTTCGTAGCATGATGTCTCCCTCCCTTGGATGAGATAATCCATGATATTCTCACTCTTCTACTTGACTTCTTCTGCCAAGTCAGCTTTTCCCTGCACCAGCTCACCCACATCCTTGGCCTCAGGTTTCTTGTCTGTTTTTCAACCCATTCTTTCTCTTTAAAATAAATGAAGATTTCAAGTCTTCCTTCCTTTCTCTCTCTCTCCCTCCTTTTCTGTCATCTTGGAGGCAGCCATATTAAGTATCTTCCCCTTCCTTCTTTAATAACACCAATAAGAATACCCCAAAACCTTTTATTTACTAAGAACACAGGGAGGCTGGCATCTCATCTGGAGTGGCCAGGAATAACTGCTGCAATGAGGAGCTTTTCATCACAGTTCCCCACAGGGGATGGGTACCTTGTGACATTTTACTGGCCAAGACCAAACTTAATTCAAATCCAGCAGGCATTTTTAGAAGGCATGTTGGCTAGCATGTCTTTATTGCTCTCATTTTTAATTATCAAGTATAATAAGGTCACATTTCTGGAAATAGAACTCAGTAAGATACATTGGTTTAATTTGTAAAAGTAATCTCCCTTCATATATGATATGTTTCATTCCACTTCAGCTAAAACCCACATCCAATAGCAGAAAAATGAAACAGGCTTCAATTAGCCTCAATAATCTTTCTGCACAATGATGAACAGGAAGAGAAAGAAAAATGGATATTTCATATCTTCATCATTTAAGGACTTTGATGATATAAAATAGATTAGCTCTATTTATTTCCCTGTTGCAGTTCATGTCTTTTTGAAAGGTTGTAATATGATAAAATACTTTTAATAAAATGAAGGTGAAAGGATTATTTGGAACTGAGTCAAAAAGCTTTTGACTAGGCAGCAGAAAAGGTCCAGGAGATCTTTTGCAAACTGGAGACTGGAACTGATCTGTGCTTTGGTGGGCGGAAGACATGAGCAAAGCTCTAAGTAGTAAATGGAAGAATCCTTAGACTTAGAGAGCTGACGATGGAATATTTCAATGCCAAAAGTATTACCTGTAAGCTATTTAGGGTCTAAAAGTTTTCAGTTGGAGATAAAACTAGTGCAGTTTTTTAAAAGCCCTACCTGAAAAAGGTGTGTGTAACTACAGTTGACTCTAGAACAGCACGGATTTCCACTTATACATAGATCTTTTTTCAATGAAAGTTACACCAAGTGCAATTCTCCTACCTCCCCTTCCACCTCCTCCACCTCTTCTGACTCTGCCACCTCTGAAACAGCAAGACCAACCCCTCTCTTCCTCCTCCTTCTCAGCCTACTCAACATGAAGACAACAAGGATGAGACACTCGTGTTGATAAATTTCCATTTAATGAATAGTAAATATAATTTCCACACAATTTTCTTAATAATGTTTTCTTTACTCTAGCTTAATTTATTGTAAGAATACAGTATATAATATAATATAACATATGAAAAATGTGTTAATCAACTGTTTGTGTTATCAGTAAGGTGTCCAGTCAACAGTAGACTATCAAGTGGCTAAGTATTGGGAGAGTCAAAAGTTATAGGTGGATTTTCAACTGTGCTGGGGATGGGTGACCTTATTCCCTGCATTGTTCAAGGGTCAACTATAATAGGTCAATGGTCTGGAAAATTCGAAGAGAAAAAGGGTGTAAGCAGGAGATCCATGTTCCAGGAGTAGGTCTACATCACAGGTGTGAGTAAACTGAGATACGTTCCTTGTAAGTATCCTGTTATTCATCCATGAAATAGGAAAACATAGCTAGCCACAATGGTAGTTTATTCTCATTTCAATGTTAGTTTTTAAGTTTCTATAATGAGTGAATCCTAGATATAAACTATGTAAAGATATATAGCTTTTTAGAGATCACACAATGCTGCCATATATACAATGCTATTTGATCCTTACAAAAAATATTTGAGGAAGACAGTGCAGAAACCCCTATTTTGCAGATGAGAAAAGATGGCTCCGATGAAGGTGACTTATCTAAGTTGGCATGGACCATTGTGGCAGAGCTGACTTGAACCCAAATTTTCTGGTGTACATTATGAACTGAATTCTGATTCAGTTCAACATGCATTGACCCCACTGTATACTAAGCTCTAGAAATAAAATATGAGTAAGTTTCAGATCTTTAAATGCAGCCTATGAGAAAAAACAGGTACTTTCTATAATAAATTGAACCATATGACCAATTGCTGTTTTTGTGGGCCAAAAATGTCGAATATTGGTTATTTCATTTGATTTAATCAAATAATATGTAAGTACTATGATAGCGGTATATTGATAAGTTACTTTGTTGTTTTCCTTATATCTGGAATTTCTGCTGCTCTCAACCATTTTTATCCTCTACTTTCTGAAGCAGTTGGCCTTGACAGAGGTGGCTAAATGTCTACATCACTTTAATTCACAAGAATACATATATGCTTTGGGAGGCCGAGGCGGGTGGATCACGAGGTCAGGAGATCGAGACCATCCTGGCTAACACGGTGAAACCCCGTCTCTACTAAAAATACAAAAAATTAGCCGGGCGTGGTGGCGGGCGCCTGTAGTCCCAGCTACTCGGGAGGCTGAGGCAGGAGAATGGCGTGAACCCAGGAGGCGGAGCTTGCAGTGAGCCGAGATCGCGCCACTGCACTCCAGCCTGGGCGACAGAGCGAGACTCCGTCTCAAAAAAAAAAAAAAAAAAAAAAAAAAAAAAAGAATACATATATGCACGCTGGATGACTGACGACCCTAGCAATCCACACAGACTTCTTTCTTGCCTGAATCAACACTCAAGTTCATGTCTAATACAGCATTTCTTCTTGGCCTGTAAATACAGGGAATCAATGGCTAATGAGCAACTTCATACAGGATCTCTGAGGTTGTACATAATAAGTTGGACTACCCCAGACCTAAGGTACATGGTATTTCGAGACGTCAAGGACTGCAGAGTTCTGATGGCTTAAAGAGTTAGGAAAAACCACTGATTTGCCAGCCAAGAGGTCATCTGTGACCTCAAGATCTGCAGCAATGGTGTAAGACTGATAACTGGCAGCAAAATAAAACAGCAGTACATGAAAAAGGGTGGCTGTGTACCAAGCATTGTGTCAAAAATCTTAATCTCTGAAAGGTCATAGGTTTGATAAGTTAGTAGAGTTTTTCCACTTTAAAGATAGGAATGATCATAGAATTATTGAAGGCAGAAGGAAAGAATCAATTAGAAGTGGAAAGGTTAGGCAGGGTGCAGTGGCTCACGCCTGTCATCTCAACACTTTAGGAGACTGAGGTGGGAGGATTGCTTGAGCCCAGGAGTTCAAGACCAGCCTGGGCAACATAGAGAGACCTCATCTTTACAAACCATACAAAAATTACCCAGGCATGGTGGCGCATGCCGGTGGTCTCAGCTACTCGGGAGGGTAAGGTGAGAAGATAGCTTGGGCTTGGGAGGTTAAGTCTATAGTGAGCCATGATTGTGCCACTGCACTCCAGCCTGGGTGCAGGATGAGACCTGGTCTCAAAACAAACAACAACAACAACAGCAACAAAGATGTGGAGGGGTTAAAGGTGCTGTTGAGGTTGTGCGGGGAGGGAGACAGAATGAAATCCACTTGTCCAGGGGATAGGGAGCCTCCTTCTCTGCAAGGGAGAGAGGGAAAAAGGGGGAAAACATTCACAGTGATGCAAAGGTGTTTCAAGTAAATGAGGAGACTGATGACAAATTAATAGAGGAACTGACTTGGGAAAACAAATCATAGATACATAGAAAATGATACAATCTGCTCACTTATGGAGGAAGAGATAGGGATGTACTAGAGAAAAAAAATGCAATGAATTTCAAATAACTACTGCCAGAAATACAGCAGGTAGTCAAGGAGATGGGGGAATTGTGTGGATAAATGAGGTGTTAGTACATATTCATTGGAGATAAGTTTGAAATAGAAGAAAAAGCCTTTGGATGCAGTCCAGGCAAGATTTAGTATGGTCTTCTCATTCCCAAAGACTCTCAACTATATCAAGAATACTTTGATATAGAAAGTAATTAACACAAATTATTATAGCCCAGGTATTTGCCCTTCCCTTCTGGGCCTTCTTAAGCTCCACAAAGCCTAGTGAACAATATAGAATTAATTGAATCTGTCACTGAGGCAAGAGATGGCAAAGGGGGGTTATTAGGATAAGCAACATGACCTCCTGTAACAACTCCCAAATCTCAGTGGCTAAACAAAAATAAAGGTTTATTTCTTGCTCACTCAAAGATCTTCCTTCTTGGGCAGTTCTCTTGAGCAGCTTACCTGGGTGATTCTCCTTCCATCTTGTCAGCCCACTGTGTCCTGGGTCCTCAGAGTCCTCCAGAAGATCTTCGGTGTCAGGTACTGTGACAGAGTGTGAGAAAAGACAGCAACTAGAGCAAGGTCAGCAAACTAACGCCCAGCAACCAAATTCAGCCCACTGCCAGTTGTATAGCTTCTGGGCTAATAGTTATTTTCATATTTTTCGGTGGTTGAAAAAATAAAAGGAAGAATAGTTTGTGACATGTGAAAACTAAATGAAATTCAAATTTCAATATCTGTAAGTAGTTTTTTTTGAAACGCAGCCATGCTTATTTGTTTGTACTTTTTTTAGACAGGGTCTCACTCTGTTGCCTAGGCTGGAGTGCAGTGGCGTGATCTCGGCTCACTGCAACCTCCACCTCCCTGGTTCAAGCAGTTCCCCTGCCTCAGCCTCCTGAGTAGCTGGGAATACAGGTGCCTGCCACCACGCCCGGTTCATATTTTTTGTATTTTTAGTAGAGATGGGGTTTCACCATGTTGTCCAGGCTGGTCTCAAACTCCTGACCTCAGGTGATCCACCCGCCTCGGCCTCCCAAAGTGCTGGGATTACAGGCATGAGCCACTGTGCCCGGCCGGTTTATACATTTTCTATGGATGATTTTTTGCTAAAAGGCAAAGTTGAGTATTACTTGCAATAGAGACTGTATGGCCTGGAAAGTCTACAAATATGTATTATTAGCCCTTGGTAAAATGTTTGCCTACCTCTGACCTAAAGGATCAAGCATCTGAGACTTGATATCTTCATTCTGCAAAGTCATACCTTGCTTCACCCAGAGTCTATTTGCAATAACTAGCCATACAGAGCCACCTAGATGCAAGGAGCCTGGGAAATGTAGTTCCTGGCTGAGTTGTTACTTCTCTGCATCAACTCTGCCGTTTCACACTAGGAGCAAAAATCTTTGTGCTTCTGGTCACTATGTGTGCAGCAGGTGGATTACATTGCACATCTTGCCAGAAATAGATTTTTTTTTTTTTTTGAGATGGAGTCTTCTGTCGCCCAGGCTGGAGTGCAGTGGTGCAATCTTGGCTCACTGCAACCTCCGCCTCCCGGTTTCAAGCAATTCTCCTGCCTCAGCCTCCCAAGTAGCTGGGACTACAGCCGCCCGTCACCATACCTGGCTAATTTTTGTATTTTTAGTGGAGACGAGGTTTCACCATGTTGGCCAGGCTGGTCTTGAACTCTCGACCTCAGGTGATCCACCTGCCTCAGCCTCCCAAAGTGCTGGATTATAGGCGTGAGCCACTGTGCCCAGCCCAGAAATAGACTTAAATGTTCTTTATATATTTCTGCCCTTAAAAATCCATTTTCAATCACGTCACCAGAGGATAGATGTGTGTGTATGTGTGTGTGTGTGCGTATATATTTTTTAGGGGATATGTGCACACTTTCTTTCTGCCCATCAATGGTCACTAGTTTGTATTCTTAGAGGATGCTAATCCTATCAGATCAGGGCCCCACCCTTATGATCTATTTAAACTTAATTACCTCCTTAGTCACCCCATCTCCAAATGCAGTCACACTGGGGGTTAGAGCTTCAACATGAATTCAGTCCTTAGCATGCACCATCATGCCTCTTCCTTTTATTGTGCAAAGTGACTCAGCCATGCCCAAACACTCAATCCTAAACTACATACCCACCCTCAGCAACATTAAAGGCAGGCCCTTGTAAATAGAATCCACCATCCTTAGAAGGGAATGGTTGTCAGAACTGATTAAAATATGTCTTGTAAGCACAACAAGTCTTCACAAGATAAAGTTGGGTTGGATGAGCATTTCCTCCATTCCCCTAACATTTTAAAGAAATTCAAGCAAAATGTCAACATACTCAATTAGACCAATTTTGTACAAGGCATTTTAGGGACTCTTCTGGTGCACTGATGCCTCACCAGAGATTTACTACTCTTCCATCATCTACCACCTAAAGCTACCTAAAAAAAACATAAAATCTAAGTAAAAATGAGTCTATAACGCAAACACAGGCCAGACACTTTTCTTATAACACCTGGCCACTCCCCAAACCATAGATTGCCCCTCCCCAAACCAGTGCTATATAGAAATACACACACACACGTGTGTGTGTATTTCTATATAGCACTGGTTATATTTATTTCTATATTCTATATAGAAATATATGTATTTCTATATTCTATGTAGAAATATATGTATTTCTATATTCTATGTAGAAATATATGTATTTCTATATTCTATGTAGAAATATATGTTTTTCTATATTCTATGTAGAAATATATGTATTTCTATATTCTATGTAGAAATATATGTATTTCTATATTCTATGTAGAAATATATGTATTTCTATATTCTCTGTAGAAATATATGTATTTCTATATTCTATGTAGAAATATATGTATTTCTATATTCTCTGTAGAAATATATGTATTTCTATATTCTATGTAGAAATATATGTATTTCTATATTCTCTGTAGAAATATATGTATTTCTATATTCTCTGTAGAAATATATGTATTTCTATATTCTCTGTAGAAATATATGTATTTCTATATTCTATGTAGAAATATATGTATTTCTATATTCTCTGTAGAAATATATGTATTTCTATATTCTCTGTAGAAATATATGTATTTCTATATTCTATGTAGAAATATATGTATTTCTATATTCTATGTAGAAATATATGTATTTCTATATTCTATGTAGAAATATATGTATTTCTATATTCTATGTAGAAATATATGTATTTCTATATTCTATGTAGAAATATATGTATTTCTATATTCTATGTAGAAATATATGTATTTCTATATTCTATGTAGAAATATATGTATTTCTATATTCTATGTAGAAATATATGTACTTCTATATAAGTGTGTGTGTGTATTTCTATATAGCACTGGTTATATGTATTTCTATATTCTATATAGAAATATACGCATTTCTATATTCTATATGGAAATATACGCATTTCTATATTCTATATGGAAATATACGCATTTCTATATTCTATATGGAAATATACGCATTTCTATATTCTATATGGAAATATACGCATTTCTATATTCTATATGGAAAATACGCATTTCTATATTCTATATGGAAAATACGCATTTCTATATTCTATATGGAAAATACGCATTTCTATATTCTATATGGAAAATACGCATTTCTATATTCTATATGGAAATATACGCATTTCTATATTCTATATGGAAATGTATGTATTTCTATATAGCACACACACGGATGTGTGTGTGTGTGTGTGCGTGTGTGTGTGTGGTGCTGTAGGGAAATTTTGGAGTTACCACTGTGATACAAACATTAATTAAAATAATCCCTGTTCTCAAAGGGATCACAGGCCAGTGGAAAGACAGACTTTATGCATCTATGGATCAAGAAGGTAGACTCAAATCAGTGCTCAAACTGAGGTCCAAACAGTGTTCCCTGAGCAAACACAGGAGAGAATTGATTAATTATGGCAGATGTTCACCAAGAGTAATGATTTTAAGTGCTGGGAATAGAAAGCTTTTCTCCATCACACTTGCAATGCTAATCCCAATTCATTCATCATCAAACCTCACCTTGCCTGGCCATTTATCTTGAACACAAACCCAGCTCTATTCAGGAAAATCGGCCATCTCCATTTATACTTTGACTGCAGATGCTCAGAACGGATAACTGCTGTCTGCTCTATTTCATGCTCATCTGGTCACTTGGTAGGCCGGCATCTTGCCAGGTGACCTCTTAAGTTAAGATGCCTTTTAATTTAACTTAAAGATAAGCCCTGGGAATAAAGCAGCCCTATAGGCCTGATACTGTAATACAGTCGAGAATGTGATGCTTCCTTGTTTCTCATCTGTAATTCAAGTGGAAATGATATTGAGCACCTTCTCTTTGGAGGTCACCAAATACAAAGATGGAAAGATGATTGACATGGTCCCTTTCCCTCAAGAATGAAAGGCCAACATACAGATGAAGATGCAAGGCTGAAGGTGATATAGGAGGGAGATGGTGAAGATCAATGTGCCATGAAAGCATTAAAAATGGAAACAAATTGTAACTGAGGGACTGGGGACAACTCAACTCTCATTCCTCTCTTAAAATAAAAAATGATACTTCTCCTTGTGCAGGCAAACCTTTCAACCTCTTTACGATACCTTGGTCTCTAGCTTCCCTGATGGTTTAATCATTCCTGTTAAACATATACACGTCTTCTCCATGGTGGAGGGCAAAAAAAAACTTACATCAGGATTGTCAGCCTCCTCTGGTTACCCTTTGTCTCCCTTCTCCACCAAATATCTCAAGTCAATCCTACCATGATGCTCCTCACCAACGCTGCCATCACACTATCAACACTGCGTCATAAAACTCCAGGCATCTTCTCTCAATCTTGATTTATCCTGCACTCCTTCTTCCATGATATTCCTGTGTTACTGGAGTTTATGAAGAACGCCACTGAATGTTAATACGCCTTTCCTTTTCTTGTGCAAATTTTATAGGTATTTTGTCATTTGGGCATGGTTTCACTGAAAACTTTCATCCAAGGGTTTGCAAACTGCTGTTGTTGGACAAAACTGGCCCTCTGACTGTTTTGATAAATAAAGTTTTATTGGAACACAGCCATGCCCATTCATTTATCTATTATCTATGCCCATGTTTGTGCAACAACAGTAGAGTTGAGTAGTTGCAATGGGTACTGTTTGGCCCACAAAACCTAAAACACTTACTATCTAGCTCTTTACAGAAAAAGCCTGTCCACTCCCAAGTTAATCTTTCCTGTAGTTCATATTATAGGTGCTATATATGATCTTTGGCTCTTTTTACCTTTGATATATTGATGCTGGACTTTAGAAAGGCCATATTTTTTTTTTCCCAAAAAGAATCCCTGGTTCAAAAAGTTGGGAAAATCCTGATTCTAACAGGGACATTCGTACTTCTATTACCCTGTGCTGTAAACCTTAGGGCAGCTATGGGGCCCACAAAAGATCTCACTATAGAAAAAGAAACCTGTTGTTGAATATTTGTTACTTTATCAGTAATTATTCCACTTTTATTCTGAAAATAATCCTAAGTTCTTGTTATAAGCTGGAGACTATGCTCAGATAACTGAGGCCACCACTTTGATGGACTACGAGTTGTTCTGGTGAAGGCAGGTGTTATACCATAAAATATCTTGAAATAAAATGTTCAGAGTCAACAGGAGCTGTGTGGGTAATACTGAGAAAACCAATAGCCCTACAAAAAAAAGTATGCATACATGTATAAAGTTCCTCCAAGGAAGGGGACAGGGAGGTAGAGGAAGACTGCTACTTTCTATGATGAGGCCTTCTGTTCTAATTAATTTTTTTTCCACATGGGTATGTGTTACTTGGAGAATGTCTTTGGATGAATCACATTAATTTTCAGTTTCTCTATCTTTGTAATGCAGAAAATAATGTCTTCTCACCTACCTTTCCAGAAACGTAAGGAAATGTATACAAAAATGTTTCAAAAATGCTGAAGATGCATTTAATAGGAAATATAGGTACAGCAGGACAGGCTATAACAAGACCTAGAGGATTTGACAGGGCATCAGCCCAGTGCTGTCCAATGAAAACATAATTAAACACTTTCTGGTAGCCACTTAAACAATTTAAAATGAGGCAGACAAAAGTAATTTTAGTAATCTATTTGGCACAATGTATCTAACATATTATCATTTAAACATGTAAATAATATGAAAATTGTTGAGATGTTTTACAGTCTTTTCTTTCATGTGACGCCTTCACTATCCAGAGCGTATTTGATGCCAACAGCACATCTCACATTGGACCAGCCACAGATCAGTTTCTCAGCAACCCCTGCCACTAGTGGCTACTGGACTGGACACCACAGCTTGAGGTTGTGCCCAGCTGGCAAGCATCTTCCAGGTCACCCCTAATACCCATGTACTTCTCCAGGAGCACTGGAATATGCCCTACAAATAAGCAAAAATGACCAAAAGTTAGAGACCAAATTCCAAAAGTGGTGTCATTTCTAGTCCTTAAAGTGGTCATATTCTTTTTTTTTTTTTTTTTTTTTTTTTGAGACGGAGTCTTGCTCTGTTGCCAGGCTGGAGTACAGTGGCACCATCTCAGCTCACTGCAACCTCTGCCTCCTAGGTTCAAGCAATTCTCTGGTGCCTCAGCCTCCCCAAGTAGCTGGGACTACAGTTGCGTGCCACCACACCCAGCTAATTTTTGTATTTTTAGTAGTGACAGGGTTTCACCATGTTGGCCAGGATGATCTCGATCTCCTGACCTTGTGATCCACCTGCCTCAGCCTCCCAAAGTTCTGGGATTACAAGCGTGAGCGACCGTGCCCAGCCAAAGTGGTCATATTATTATTTTAAAATTTTATTTTTAGTTGTTATGGATATACAGTAGGTTTATATATTTAGGGGGCACATGAGATGTTTTGATATAGGCATGCAATGTGTAATAATCACATCATGGAGAATGGGGTATCCATCCTTTTAAGAATTTACCGTTTGTTACAAATAATCAAATTATACTCTTTTAGTTATTTTTTAATGCACAATTAAGTAATTATCAACTACAATCACCCTGTTGTTATCAAATAGTAGGTCTTCTTTATTCTTCCTATTTTTCTACATAGTGTTATTATTAATAATACCTAATATATGTTGAATATTTACTATGTTCCAGACATTCTGCTAACGGTTTTACAAGATTATTTCATCTATTACTCACAAAAAAACTATACAAAAATAATTACTATTGTTTTATCACCATTTTACAAGTAAGTAAACTGGGTAAAAATTATACGATTTGCCCAAGGTCACAGAACTTTTGGGTTTTGGAGCCAGGATTAAGCACCAGTCAAATGTTCCCAGAGCCCACACCACTAACGATCAAGCTATGCACTCATTTCTTTGTCTTCTGCTTTTTTCACTGTCACCACTGCCTCCTCCTAAATACTAACTCTTGTCCCCTGACCTGACATGGCACTGTGTTGCTGAAGCCTGGAAGCAGAGATAGCATTTTCTGCAAGCTATGAGTGATGCTATATTTAAAATGACCAGTCTCCTGGAATGCCAGTCTCTCCCTGCCAACACAAACACATAGTCTTCTACTTTCAGCTTTCCAATGTCTTCTGAGGCAGAGCATTGAATCACTTCTCTTTCTTCTTTTTTAAATTTTTATTTGAATCACTTCTCTAGAGGAAGGCTAGAGGGCTCCTCATTCACAAGTCTACAATTCTTATTCATTTTGCTGACTAATATGAAGCGGACTCTGTTCCCCATTCTTATAAGACGGGCCAGTTAATTCTCTTTCCAGGGCCTCTCACATTCTTCTGTGTGAGGATAAGGTAGGACAGAATTTGTTCCCCTTATTTTATTAAGTATTGGTAGAAGTGGTCAAACAAATGAACATTTCCAAATTATCTTTTTTCTTTTTTTTTTTTTTTTTTGAGACAGAGTCTTGCTCTGTCGCCAGGCTGGAGTGCAGTGGCACAATCTCAGCTCACTGCAACCTACGACTCCCTGGTTCAAGTGATTCTCCTCCCTCAGCCTCCCGAGTAGCTAGAATAACAGGCACACCCAGCTAATTTTTGTATTTTTTGTAGAGACAGGGTTTCACCATGTTGGCCAGGATGGTCTTGATCTCCTGACCTTGTGATCCGCCTGCCTCGTCCTCCCAAAGTTCTGGCATTATAGGTATTAGCCACCATGCCCAGCCCCAAACTATCTTATCTCCAAGACACTCAATCCTTTTTTTTTTTCCATTAGTGACTCGTGATACAGAAGACTCACTCCTTTTACAAAAAGATAGGAAAATGTGCATTTGTGCTTGCATGCATTCTTTAGTCAAAGGAATCCCCTCTGCCCCCACCCAGCCAACATTTTTTTTACTCTGGTTTTGAAACTAATATTGCATTTTCTACTTTTTTTTCTTTTTAATAACAAACATTTAAATTTATAAATATATCCCTTTTATGTGAGATTCAAACAATATAAAATTGTTTAACAAGAACCCTGACAGCCCCCATTTATCTCTGTCACTATCTCAATCATTTTCCCAGTAGTCATTGCTGTTAACAGGTTGGATCATGGTTCTCAGTCCCTTTGCTGTGCACAGTTACACATACGGGTATATATTACATCTTTAAAAAACACAGTTAGGGCCCTAGTATGCATATTGTCCTATAGTTTGCTTTGTTCATCTGAAAATATGTCTTGGTGATTTTTCCATTTCATATTCCTTTTCAAAGCTCCATAATATTTTATAGCAAAGATATAGAATGCTCTATTTCAAGACTACCCTATTGATGGACTTTTCTTGTGGTCTATTTTGTGCTATTTTCAACAATTTTTTAATAAGTAATCTTATACACAAAGATATATAGGGTATAAAATTTCTAATTTATTTTCAGTTTTGACAGATACTATAAATTGCCTTCAGGAAAGTTTCATCTGTTTATAGTTCAAGTAACAGCATAGAGGAGACTCTGAATCCTTCAATGATCACATCACTTGATTTTATATAATTTGAAACATTTTTGCTAATCTGACAGAAATTCTTCTTGTATTTTTCAGAAAACTTATAATAAGGTCTTCATTCTGCATTCATTTCCGTAGCATGAAACCTGTGACCAGACTCCCTCAGTTCATACCATGGCTCTGCCACTTATTTGCTGCATGATCCCAGGCACGTTGCTTTACTTTGCTGTGGTTTAGTTCCTCCCCTCTGAACATGGTGGCAATAATGATACTTTACTCCTAGGGTGGTTGTGAGGACAAAATTGGTTAACCTGTGTAAAACACTTAGAGCTACATCTTGCACATTGTAAAGATATGTACATACTTGTTTTATTACTATTCTCTATATTTTTTATTTTCCTGAATACAAAAAATGGTTTTGGTATGTTGTTTTTCTATTTGGCCATTTTGTTGAGTTATCTTATTTATTATAATAGTTTTTTTTAAAATGACTTCTCTTAGATTTCCTTGGTAGAGAATTGTAAAAATTAGACAGTTGAGCAGTTGAGGCCATCCTTTGCAATAGTTAAAACTCTTTTTTTTTTTTTTTGTCTTATTACATTGGCTAATATCTCTCGTGGCAATGATAATGGAAATCCTTGTCTTGTTCCTAAGTAGTAAGACTTCCTCTGATATTTCACCATTAAGCAAGATGTTTGCTGTAGGATTTGGTAACTATGCTTTAGAAGATGAAGATATTTTATTGTGATAAAATGATATTATTAAAGTATTTTTTTAATGAGAAAGCATGATGAATTTTATTAAATGTTCTCTTTGGCATCTTTTAAGTTTAGCATATATTTTTTCTCTTTTAATCAGCCTATGTGGTGAATTTTATTAGTGGATTGCCCAATGATAAATAAGGTAAGCCATGTTGACATTCTATTTTTAAATGGTTGGATTTGATATGTGAATTCATTTAAAACTTTTCAGTCTATGTATGTGATACTAGCCTACTTTTTAAAATGTACTATTTTTATAGATTTAGTGGAGAAATTTTCTATCTTTTGTTATGCTGTAGAATATGCTATATGACATGAAATTGTCTGTTCCTTGAACAGACTCATGGGTCCAGAGTCTTTAGTGGCAAATCTGTGATTACTTTCTTGGTTTTTTGTATGGTTATTAGTATATTCAGGATTTATACTTTTTCTTGAATAATTTCTGTTTTCCTAGGAAGGAAGTCATTTATTTCACCTAGAGTTTGAAATTTGTTGGCATAAAGTGTTGCAAGATAGCCTCACAATTCATAAGCCTCCTGCATAGCTGACATAATACCACTTTTTTTTTTTTTTTTTAAGTAAAGTAAGTCTTACTTTTGTCTTTCTTTTCCCCTTAGTCAGACCTACCAAAGACTTATCTAGTCCATTGGTCTTTACAAGGAGCAGACTTCGGTTTTGCAGATTAGTGAGAATATTTTCGGGGGGCTGTTTTCTATATCATTAATTCTTGCTGCTATCCTTATAATTTCTGCCTTTTACTTTCTTTGGGTTACTTTTATTATTTTGTTCATATTTTTTCACATGGGAAGTAAGACAGAGGCAGAAAAGCATTATAGAAACTATAATAGAAGTCTATACTTAGCCTGTTGAGAACACAAAAGAACAATAGATTTATTCTATAAATGGGGGTTGGGAAAGAGTGGGTGTCTTAGTCTGTTTAGGCTACTTCAACACAATTCCATAAACTGGATGCTTATAAACAACAGTTCTGGAGACTAGAAAGTCCAAGATCAAGGTACCAGCAAACTCAGTGTCTAGTGATGGCCCATTCTTCAAAGATGGACATCTTCTCATTATAGCCTTACATGGTGGAAGGAATGAGAAATCTCTCTTGAGCCTCTTTTATAAGGGCACTGATCTCATTCATGAAAACTCTGCACTTATGACCTAAACGCCTTCCAAAAGGCGTCACTTCCTGATATTATAACTGTGATGGTTAGGATTTTAACATATGAATTTTGTGGGGACACAATCAATCAGACCAAGGCAGTGGGGGCTTCATGATTGAAGATACAAGTGAAGGGGATAGGTGCTCAGCCACTTATGCTTTTAAATGGTTAAAATATTTCTGGAAACATTCACACTCATACACACACACACACACACACACACACAACTTGTTACAGCAATTGCATATGAGGAAGGTAAGTGAAGGTGTTTAGCATACACTCTTTTAGGCTGTTTTTATTTTACCATGTGCAACTACTATTTATTCAATAAATATATTTCAAATGAAGTAAAATCAAGCTCATTCTGTTGAACACAAAAACTCCTTGAACTGGAAGGACTCTGAGAGATAAACTAGTTTCAACTTCCTGCTTAATTTAAAATATTTTTAATGCTGGGAAGGAGAGGAGACATTAGCACTCTCAGAGGCGAGCAAGTGCAGGTTGGATGTCTCTATTAGAAGCCAGACCACATGCCTGCATGAATCCTGCTGTCTGGTGTGCTAATGTCAGCAGAGGCTACAGGAATGAGTCCATGATCCTGGGAATGCAGTTAACAAGGGTGAGGAGGAAGGCCATGGTTGGATCCAGCCGCAACAGTGACAGAGGAGGGAATGAGAGGTTTCCTGTCTGAGGCAGACCTTTGCTTTCCTTTCAAGACCCCTTATCTCTGGCAAGTTGTGTCTGCCTCCATTCACCTAACAGCTTGCCTGGCTCTGGTTTTTAGCTTCTGAATTGACTCCAGCACCAGACAGCATCCTTGCCTGCCCTGCCTTTGACCCACAACATCTTTTGATTTCCTAAGCACGCAACCTGTGTCCCCAACTTCAGCCACTTTACTGTGTCTCCCACCAGGGAACAGGGAGGTATTGTACACACAGGTTGTAAATAACCGTGAGGTCAAAAACAAGTATTGAAATTTGAGTAGAACAGACATGGAAAATGGAATTAGCTAGATGGATGGAGTTAATAAGTGAATATTTATCTGGATGAGGTGGAAGAACAAATTTGTGTCGGATGGAGAATGAGAGAAGGAGCCAGCTAAAAGGTTATATTTGGGAACGTGAAGTACCAAATTCAAGATCTCGAAGGCCAGCGCTAAGAAGGAGAAGCAGGGAGGAAATAAACACGCATTTATTGAATGCCTTCTGTGTTCCAGGAGCTCCGCAGATATGATCTCATTTAATTCTCTTGACTGTCCCACATTTTACAGATGAGGACTCTCAAGCTCATGGGACTAAATATCTTGCCAAAGACACAGAGCTGATAAGTGGAGAGGCTGGGATTAGGGGTAATCATAGAGAGGTGAATGGTGGGTTGAAGGTGAGACTGGAGAGACAGAAGCTTCATGTAACTTGTCAGCTCCAAGTGAGTTTGGGGAAGTGGGAAATAGGTGCTGATTAGAGGAAGTAACACCTTCATCTACTTGGTTACTCATGCCAGAAAAAGCGTATCCCTTCTATCAGCAAGTCTTGTCAATTCTATTTCCCCCCCAAAAAAAAAAAAAAAAAAACCGTATTTAATCTCCATCCTCTTCCTCTCCATTGCGATCACCTTAGCCCAAGCTGGGATCCTAAAATAAACCACCATTTCCTTACCTAGAAGGCCATACTAAACTACTGGTCGTTTTTTTTCTCTTTGATTCATTTTCCATAGATCAGGTAGAATAATCTTCCTAATATGCATAGCTGATCATGTCTTGCCATCCTTTAAAACTTTCCAATAGCTTCTCTCATTTTTAGGAGAATCTTCCTTAGCCTCAGTGTGGACTGCAGGGCACTGATGGTCCATCCTTTGCTAACTCCGAAGCCACCTTTTCCTTTGCTTATATCCTCTGATTGTTTTGGCCTTTTCACTGTTTTTCAAACTCAACAAGCTTCTTTCAAGCTTAGAATTTTTCACATTTTCATTTTTCCATGTATCATTTGTCTTTCTCTTTTTTCTGGCTTGTTTCATCATTTAGGTTTCAGATTCTATGGAACCTCAGCAGGGATGTTCTTCTTACTTAGGCTAGGTAAACTGAGTCTAGATTTGATTCCTTGTATTATACAGATCATTAGTAGAATAATTTATTTAAGTCCGTGTCTACCACTAGATTGAAAGCTGCATGAAGCTGAGATTGTTTTATGACTTATCCAGCTTTCAGTTGATTCTCAGTTCGGATGAATGAGTAAGTGAATAAAACATTAAATGAATGAAAAAAGTACCCTTAAAGGGAATCACAACTATGGGCTTGATTATTTAACCAAGTGTATATGGAAAGGATGAAATGATCCTTTGCACAAACTCCTTCCTTTCACTCACCATAACCTAAAAGCAATGGCTTATCTGGGTAGCTTCTCCCACGTGCCACCCAAATGAGGTTTGGCTATGTCTTTCTTCCCCGTCTGATCGGTGAAGAAATCTGAGTTGTTGCCTCTTACTTTTTTCCTTCCTGCTTCTCTGTGTCTCTGTCCCTTCACTGTCTTATTCTAGCTTGGGATTTTAGGTACTGCTGTTGGGCTGTCCCCTACTTCTTGCATGTTAAATGTCATGATCATGGTTTCCCCCCCCCCCCCACCCTTGGAAATATTAAAAAGAAACTTAAGTAAATATATGCAGGAGGAATAAAGCCCCTCTACCCTTTTGGAATCTTCATAAAGCCACTTTGGGACGGTGTCTCCATTTCTCCCTGCACAGCTCTGATGCCCCGCGAGCCACAACCCCCTGGCCACATCACAGACCCAGCAGTGAGGCGGCCAGGCTCAGCAAGGGGCACCAGCTCCCCTGGAGGGATCTGGGCTTTTTCCATGTTGTGAGTCAATCTGGGCAGACAAATCCTGCTGAACACAGTTATAAATCGGGGATTGTGAACTTCTCCTGCTGAGACGCACTAACAGTTTATAAGGAAGAAAAATTGATAAACCCCTGGGTATCATTTTTTTTGTTTTCATTTCACTCCGGGGCCAGCTGTGAAAGGAAAATGACTGTAAACAGCCTATTAGTAAAACTGCTTTAGTAAAAAATACCGCAAGGGAAAGTCATAAGCAGTTGTTACGTCAGCCAGGGCTCCCCAGCTTGCTTTGAAAGGCAGAAGCAGTGGAAGAAAGCCCTGAAATGCACCTATCTTGCCAAAAACAAAACAAAGCAACATCTAGCACTCATTTTGTGAGTGTAGACAGACCATAATGTCCCAGAAAGTGGTAACACATCTCTACTTCCCTCATGGCCTCTTTGATGACAACTGCTCTCTGCCACATGCTTAGGTTTTCTTTGTTTGATTATATCTTTTTACTTTTATTCAGGGCAAAGCATACAGGGAAAAGAAAATTGTGTCTAGATCTCTACCATATGAGAAAGCTCATTACAATGGCAGCCAGAGTTCCAAGGGCCAACCACATCCTTCAGGGAAGCAGAAGAGACAAAGTTCACTTTGGGTTGTTAAGCAAAGGCAACATGAAGGACGTTGCTTCTGGACAGGATCTTGAAATATAAGAGGGAGAGAAAAGAAGGAAGATGCTTCTACATAGAAGGGAAGTGGGGATAGGGGTTTCAAGGAGAAAGTTCCTTGATAGGGCCGGGAGTCATTCTAAGGTCAGCTTGCCAATAGGACGTCAATATGCAAACCTAAATTATAAATCATATCTAAAGGGTTAAAACATTAAAATTCAAATCTGTGGTCTGAGAAGAGGAGCTGGGTGGACCTCAGTGCTGTGGGGCACTGGTTTTCCCAGCTGGCAGTGTCCCTGGGCTGCGCCTCCTTCTAGACCTTCTAGAGGGTAGGTAAAATAAAGCTCCCCCTTACTGCCAGCACCCCCCACCCCCCAGCCCCAGGCCTGGCTTCTCAGAAGCCATTCCAAACCCAAGGCCCCACTGGGACCCTGGAGACCACTGGAGAACTCTGGGAGGCCAAAGTGATGTGTTGGTCTCTTTGGCTGGATTTCAGACCCAACACCTCGGGTCCCAGGGAGCCTGGCATGACCTTGTGGATTTGTTTATTAGCTGTTCTGTTAAAGTTCCATTCATTTATTTAAATAAACAACTCGGATCTCTGTTCCTAACTCAAGGCTCTCTCCCCCAGCAGCCTTAAATCAAAGGAAGCTTCTGTTATACTTTACTACTTTACTTTGCAAATTTGAGTTAAGAGGGCAGCCAAGACCAGATGACTTTATGGCTCAGCTGCAGCCACGTAGCAAGTTCAGCTAAAAGCCAGAGTTTGCACCCCAAATCTTACCAGTGTTTTTATTGTGCAAACCCCTTTGTTGTTAGGGCTGCAAGAGGCCAGGCGAGAATGCCTGGCTTCTACTAAGAAATGAATGAATTTGAGGTTTGAGGTGGTGAAGACTAGGGGAGACTGGGCTCCAGACAGGAATTAGCTGTGAGGTTGGGGAGTCATTTTGCATCTCTGACCTCCAGTTTCTTCTTTTGAGATAATTTAGCGGCAGAGCAAGATAATCCATATGTTCTTTTTCATTCTAAACTTCTGTGGCTCTGAGGCTTGACAGATTACCATGACACAGCTGGTAATGGGAAGCCGCAAGTGAAATGCTGAGCTGGTAGGTCCACCCTTGGTGTGAAAGGAAGGCAGAAAGTATCTAAGCAGTTATTGGAACGGACAGCATCAGCTAAGGGATCTTTCCAACCACAATCAGCTTATTATATACGAAGGGTGTGGTGAGAAGGATGTCAGATGTGAATGGAAGTGAAACGAATGGAATGTGGGTCTTAGGAGATCTTGAGGTGCCCAGGCAGAGGTGGAGATGAGCATAATCCTCAGCTTTCTGGCTTGCGGGTTCCAAGATAAAATATTAAAGAAAACATGAACTTAGGAGACTAGGATGATTAATTCATTTTGGGACATAAAAGCCCTTCATTTTGATTTTTAAGAGCTAAATAGAATATTTAAAATCCTTATTAATCTAATACTTAGTATATACTCATATTATAAAAAAATACACACAGAAAAATCAAAATACACAGAAAAGCACAAAGGAAAATAAATTGCAGTATATTGTCCATAATTTGATCATTCAACTCAGAGGTAATCACTATTTACAATTCAGTGAAAAAATATATATATATTATTATATACGTATGTATGTAAGTATACATATATATTATACATATATATGTATATAAGTATACATATATATGTATATAAGTATACTTATATATGTATATAAGTATACATATATATGTATATAAGTATACATATATATGTATATAAGTATACATATATATTATACATATATATGTATATAAGTATACATATATATTATACATATATATGTATATAAGTATACATATATATTATACATATATATGTATATAAGTATACATATATATTATACATATATATGTATATAAGTATACATATATATTATACATATATATGTATATAAGTATACATATATATTATACATATATATGTATATAAGTATACATATATATTATACATATATATGTATATAAGTATACATATATATTATACATATATATGTATATAAGTATACATATATATTATACATATATATGTATATAAGTATACATATATATTATACATATATATGTATATAAGTATACATATATATTATACATATATATGTATATAAGTATACATATATATTATACATATATATGTATATAAGTATACATATATATTATACATATATATGTATATAAGTATACATATATATTATACATATATATGTATATAAGTATACATATATATTATACATATATATGTATATAAGTATACATATATATTATACATATATATGTATATAAGTATACATATATATTATACATATATATGTATATAAGTATACATATATTATACATATATTATACATATATATGTATATAAGTACACATATATTATACATATATATGTATATAAGTACACATATATTATACATATATATGTATATAAGTACACATATATTATACATATATGTATATAAGTACGCATATATTATACATATATGTATATAAGTACGCATATATTATACATATATGTATATAAGTACGCATATATTATACATATATGTATATAAGTACGCATATATATTATACATATATGTATATAAGTACGCATATATTATACATATATGTATATAAGTACGCATATATATTATACGTATATATGTATATAAGTACGCATATATATTATACGTATATATGTATATAAGTACGCATATATATTATACGTATATATGTATATAAGTACGCATATATTATACGTATATATGTATATAAGTACGCATATATTATACGTATATATGTATATAAGTACGCATATATTATACGTATATATGTATATAAGTACGCATATATTATACGTATATATGTATATAAGTACGCATATATTATACGTATATATGTATATAAGTACGCATATATTATACGTATATATGTATATAAGTACGCATATATTATACGTATATATGTATATAAGTACGCATATATTATACGTATATATGTATATAAGTACGCATATATTATACGTATATATGTATATAAGTACGCATATATTATACGTATATATGTATATAAGTACGCATATATTATACGTATATATGTATATAAGTACGCATACATTATACGTATATATGTATATAAGTACGCATACATTATACGTATATATGTATATAAGTACGCATATATTATACGTATATATGTATATAAGTACGCATATATTATACGTATATATGTATATAAGTACGCATATATTATACGTATATATGTATATAAGTATACATATATATATATATATTTTTTTTTTTTTTTTGAGACAGAGTCTCACTCTGTCACCCAGGCCGGAGTGCAATGGCATGGTCTCAGCTCACTGCAACCTCCATCTCCCAGGTTCAAGCGATTATCCTGCTTCAGCCTCCCAAGTAGCTGGGACTACAGGCAGATGCCACCACACCTGGCTAATTTTTGTATTTTTAGTAGAGAGGGGGTTTCATTTCATTGTGTTGGCCAGGCTGGTCTCAAACTCCTGACCAAACATTCTTATAGTTAAATCTTTAGTCCAATTATTTTAAAAATACAAATGATTAGAAGCAGAATTTTTGGGTAAAAACAGGTGAGCATTTTTAAAGGTTTGATAGATTTGTATATTTTGCCAAAATACTTTTCCAAAGTTGAACTAACTTACACACTCAGAAATGCTATATAGATGTATGTTTTCCCATATCTTTGTCAACATTGGAAAGTGTATTCCTTTTTATGGTTAGTAATGAAAATTGCTATTAGATTTTGAGCAGTATCATGCTTTAAATATGGTTACTAGCTGGAAGCAGTGGCTCACTTCTGTAATTCCAGCACTTAGGGAGGCTAAGGTGGGAGTATTGCTTGAGCCCAGGAGTTTGAGACCAGCCTAGGCAACATAGTGAGACCTTGTCTCTATTAAAAAATTGTAAAAAAAATTTTTTTAAATGGTTATTTTGTAAATTTTATGTTCAAACTCTTTTTTTATTTTAGCTTGTTGCTTATCTTTTATTGATTTTTGGACGTTATATATCTTGAATTTAATCTATTTTCCTGCCTTCAATATTGCTATTTTTGCCCCAATTTCTTCTATCTCGATTTGCTTATTGTGTGTTTTGGTAAATGGTTCTATTGTATCACATATCTTTTCATTTATGCTTTTACCTTCACTCTTATATGTATATAAAGACCATACTTGCTCTAAATTATTTAAAGATACTTTTATGATTTTTTTAGGTTGCTTTTTAAATATTTTTACCTATGATTCGCTTCAGCTTCATTTTGATGTAGGGAACTTAATTCTTGCAGTTAATGGTAGATAAGCTACCATTTGGCGAATTACATCATTGATATGGCTTGGCTGTGTCCCCACCCAAATCTCATCTTGAATTGTAACTCTCACAATTCTCACATGTCATAGGAGGAATCCAATGGGAGGTGATTGAATTATGGGGGCAAGTCTTTCCTGCACTGTTGTCGTGATAGTGAATGAATCTCATGAGATCTGATGGTTTTAAAAATGGGAGTTTCCCTGCACAAGCTCTCTTTTTGCCAGCTGCCATCCACGTAAGATGTGACTTGCTCCTCCTTGCCTTCCACCATGATTGTGAGGCCTCCCTAGCCATGTGGAACTGTAAGTCCAGTAAACCTCTTTCTTTTGTAAATTGCCCAGCTTCAGGGATGGCTTTGTCAGCAGTGTGAAAACAGACTAATACAATCATGTATCAATTGACTTAAAATATCTCTTTTAGCATATACTAAATAAGTGGGTTAGTTTCTGGTCCTTATTTACAGTACATTGATTTCACTGTTGTATCTTATATTTTGCCTAAACTTGTGGGACTTCACCCTTCAATAGAGTAGTTTAAGCATTTACTGTCAGTCCTCTATACCAGTGGGGGATTGGTTCCAGGACCCCCAGGATGCCAAAATCCAAGCATGCATAAAAAATGGCATAGTATTTGCATATCACCCACACACATCCTACTGTGTCCTTAAAATAATTTCTACATTACTTATAATATCTAATATAATGTAAATGCTATGTAAATTTTTCTTATACTGTTATTTTTATCTTTTTAATTATTGTATTATTATTCTTTATTGTTCATGTCTGAATATTTTAAATATGAGGTTGGTTGAATTTGCAGTTGTGAAACCTGTAGATGCAGAGGGCCAACTATACATTTAATGTAATGAGTGTTATTTTTTCTTTTATTTCTGTAGTTTTGTACTTTATTTTTAATGTTCTCTTATTTTTCCTTTACTTTTAATTTTTTGTTGTATGGGCTGTAATTCCTTTTCGTAACCACCTTTTCCTCTAGTGACTTAGAACAGATACATTCTGTTTTTGCTTCATTGCCATCGATAACCTAATTGGCAATAACAAGTGCAAAACACTCATGAGTCCTCTTTATATAAAATGAAGAAACTAACACTCTTATTTAACTTCTTACTTTGCTCTGCCATCTCCTAGGTTTTGGCTGACAGATAACATAGGGCAGTGATCAAAGGGTTTACCTTCTCTGTGCCTCAGCTGCCCCATCTCGAAAGTGGGCATAATAGTATCATAGGGTTATTATGAAAATAAAATGACATAGTGCACAGGATGCATTTACAACAGTGCCTAGCACATGGTAAGTCAGCAGTAACATTGTAATGATCAGTAAGATTGAATACATCCTTTAACTTTTTAAATGATAATCATTACTTTACATCATGAAACTTTTTATTCATTAATTACTTTTACAGCCTTATCTGGGGAATTATTTAGACTTTATGTTTTACTTTAATAGTTTTCTCACCTACTCTCAATTCTTTCATATCATAGTTTTCTATGTGAGGACTCTTTATTGTGATCCATCTACTAGTTGATTGGAATATTTCTTTGGGTAATTTTAGGTTATACATGTATTATAGTTATATTAAGTTTGTAAGGGCCAAGGGGAAAAAAATAATGACTTTTACAAATTCAGTTGATTTTTTCTTTCATAAAAAAATCATTAGGCAGTCTGGAGCTGCTGTGGAAGTTTAGTTTCACAGTCATCAGGATGCCCATCTTATTTTCATTTTCATTCCTAAGTAACAAAATGGCTGCTGCAGCGCCATCTATCACATCTTCTTCCATCCAGCATGAAGGAAGAAAGCCCAAAGAAGAGGTTGGACCCTCCTATTAAGGAATCTTCCTAGAAGGTGCATATACCTTGTTGGCTTATATACAATTGGCTAGAACTTAGTTACAATGCGAGGGAGGCCATGAAGCATCTTCTTCACTCTGACTAGCCATCTGTTCAGCTAGACATTTATTTCTGGGATAGAAGAAAATAGATATTGAGGTCAATTATCTGTCTCTGTCATTCTGCCCTTTTGACCACCTGAATATCCAGGTGCATTTGTTCCATTCCTTTGGCATATTCCTCTTCCACAGGGAGACAGTCCCAAGTCCTATTTAGTTAGGGCGCTCAACTCAAACTCCATGATTGCAGGATGATGTGCAATCTTCTCCATGTCTGCTATGGCTCCTCATCAATCAGTGTCTAACCCCAAACACACATTTCCTGTCCTTCCATATCTAATCTATATCAGTGAAGGAGAAATATGATGACCAAAACAAAAATGTATTCTTGGAGAAAAAGAATTGGAAACACACAATAGTTACTGAGCAGTGGCTACTGTGTGATCCTAATTCTGTTCTTCCTTCCAACTGGATCTATAGCAATGAGCCATGCCATGAAGTAGCCACAGCAAAGACCCTCCTACCTGGCAGGTCGGTCGATGGCTTGGTGGTCCCATCCTGCAGCCTCAGCTTCTGCTCCTTGCTTTTTGTCCTTGGTGGTCATATCTGGGGTGGGCTTTGGAAAGGTTGATCTTTCTGGGGGCTGTGCCCTTTATTCGCTCTCTTCCTGCTGGTGCAGTTTTGAGGGCCTGGGAGTTGCTTAGGGGTTGAATGATTACTGGCTTTTGAGGGTAAGCTTGTGATTTATTTGGATAGAATTCCCTTAATAATTTAGTAGATTTCCTGTTTATTTGCTTCCCATCAGTTGCATGTGTAAGTAACTACTGCCAAAGATCTTGTTTCCATATAGTTTCCAAACCGAACTCTGTGCTCTATGCAACCCTCCTCTCAATAGTGACCTTGAAGTTGTCTAAAACAACAGGCTTTGGGGATAATCCTGGGTAATCTTACCATTCCTACCAGGCTAGAACATGTCATCTGCTAGGGATCCCGTAATGAAAGATTTTTGAGCAGAGATTTGGGACCAAAGTTTTATATCTTGCTAATTCCAGGACTTCAAGTCATTACTTAAAACTGCTTCAGTTTGGAGTTTAGGAGAAATTGGTTTTTGTTTGTTTGTTTGTTTGTTTTTAGCCCTGTAAGGGTTACTAAACTCTCAGTCTACTAAAATTGAAGACTACAAGCAGAAAATGTTCCTCCTGGAGAAGCTGTATTCCCTTCCAAGGGCTTGCAGCCCATCCCATTGTAAACTGGCGGTCATCTGTCTCTTGTGGGTGTTGTTAAGACTGGTAATGGCAGCCAACACACCCACATTCTGACTGTTTCTGACCATTTTCCCTAATTCCTTCTCTACTTATTGAGTGCGCTATTTCCTTTCTTTTCTTTTCATTTTCTTTGAATCCCTCAACAGTGTCCATGTCTTATATTTGTCCCCTTCCTTTCCACAGTCATCCTCTCAGCTCTTAATCTGGGTGTCTGGTTACCAGTTCAGAAGCCGAATAACGAGATAGGTGGGTGATGCTTCAGCAATTCATCCTGGCATTCTGGCAGGATGAATTCCTCTCTGCAGTTCTTCTCTCTATCTGGCCAACTGCTGTAGTGACCACTGCCTGCTGCAATAGGGAATCTTGCTTTGGAGAGAATCCTCTATCCTGCCTCCATTGCCTTTGCTGGTGCCTGGCTTCTGGCCCAAGTGTTCTGTCAAGGCCAGTTGTGAATTCCACATGTCTTCTTCTCAGGCACTGCCACTCCTTATGCCTAGAGGCAGGGGTGGGGAGGAGGAGAATGACTGTTTTGTGGAAACCCCCAACTCAGAACCGCACAGATGCCCTGCAGTTCCACCTCTGCATGGTAGCCAAAGAGAGTCCTCTAAATGAAGCAATCTCTTTGAGCCTCTCAGCATCCCCGCACTTCCAGCATCACTCAACCCAGAAACAATAGAATCTACAAGGGGACTCCCTACATGTTTCTTATGAGGTCAGAATTGCCATCCTGGAAAGGTGAGTTACAGTGCTGCCCAGGTGATTCTTGTGTGTTACTCTATGTTATATCTATTGTATAATCTCACATTTAAATAGCACCATTCCTTTTATTGCAATGCTTATGAAAACTTTCCTTGTTTTTAGGTTTCCTTCGTCAGTCCAGGCAGGACTGTGCGGTTGGAAAAGGGACGGATGCTGGTCCTGGAAGGGGCGTCGTTATCTAGAAGCTCCCAACCTAAGTGGGTGACTCATAGGGAGGGCAAGGAGAGAAGGACACAGCAAGCAACTTACATGTAAAACAAGACGTGTGGGTTATTATGGAAGAAATTCACAACCAAACTTGGGGTTAGCCCGTATTGTTTTCCAAGAACTCTATGTGGACAGTGACAAAAAACAGACCTAAGAACTAGCAGACTGGGCAAAGCTTTTTCACATAACAACAACAAAAAAAGCAATTCCTCAGGAAAAAATGGTCAATGGGTCATTGTGTGTAGACAAAACTACAAGTTCTGCTCCAGACTCTGGGGAAACCATGCTGCCATCTTCAAGCTGTGGCCATTCTGTAATACAGACTACGCTAAATCACATGTTGTCATCAAGGCAGAATATTTTGTTCCTTTATGGGTCAGCCTGGGATACAAAATTAGAGAAACTTTGCAATGAAAAATCCCTTGTGTCTCATTGAACTTTTTCCTTAATTCAAACCTTTCCTTTCACAGTTTTGATTAGTGCCTTTGCCCATGTGGACAATATTTTATGATCAGGTTTTAAGAGTAATCCATCCATGGCTGCTTGGCTGCCTGGAACTTAAAACAACGACAACAACAATGTCCAGATAAACCCAATAAAATAGGTTTTTAAATGTGTGTGTGTGTGTGTGTGTGTGTCTGTGTGTGTGTGTGTTGTGCTGATCTTTAGCCTTGAAGCTTCACTCTTTCCCCTCTTCTGAAGAAAAGGTGTTTGCAGGGTGGCTGAACTTGCCAAACGCTGACGCAGAGTAGATCCAGCCTGGCAGCTGTCTACAATTCCTTGATGGGCCTCTTCTACAAAGAAGATTGATGTGAGTCAGCAAAGCCCTCATTAAGTGAGTCACATCATTAATAAAAGGCGCAGATTGCAAAGCGGTGTTTATTTCAGTGTTGATAGAAACCAGGACACAGTGGCCTTGAATCAAAAATAACCTTGGGCCAGACACATTGAACTTGGATCAGATCTGAAATCCCAGGCATTCATCCCTCCCTGAAGGCAAACATACGTCCAGATGATACCGCTGCCTTCCTTGTTGTACAAATGACTTGCTCCTCATCACCAGCATTTACCTTGTGCTTGACAGTTTGCAAAGCCTGTCCACTTACAAACTCTCTTGTTCTGACATGAGTGAGCCTTAAGCAGTGATTAAGTGCTCTTGCTCAGGTGTCGAGCAGTCCTGGGTCAGAATCTCAGCTCTACCATTTTGAAGCTGTGTGAACTTGGTTAGCTCATTTAACCCCTCCAAGGTTCAGACGACACTAAATAAACTCTAAGTACTCTTACTACACTAAGTAACCCTCTCTAATTTCCTCATGTGGGCCCAGTGTCCTTAGACTCTCCAACTTATGGGTGAGGATAATAATAATATCTCCACCATACAGCATGAAGATTAAACAAGGTAATAAAATTAATGAAATAATTGCAATGTGTGGCACATCATAAAGTTCAAGAAATGTAATAACCCTGAGATTTGGATAGCATAGGCGTTATGCTGATTAATAGATGAGGAAACAGGAGCTGAAAAAGTTTACTCATTCAAGGTCATAGGGTTGGGACTGGATGCCACCACAAGTTGAAACAAGTTCTCCTGACTTCAAAGTCAGTGTTCTTTCAAAGCCACCCATGGCACAGGTATTTGAACAACAGGCATATTTTCTCTTGCCCTATTCACTTTCCAGGAAATGAAATTGTATCATACTTTCCTCCTGGCTCTCATTGGTTTACCGTTTTGTCTGTATTCACTTTGATTTCTATGTCAGCTGCTGCAACGCTAGTGAAAAAGACAAGGTCCTTACCCTCAAGATGCTTGCTGCCTAGCAATTTGTTACCATCAAGCCATGAGGCTGTTGTAAGTTGTTGTGATGGCTGATATGCCAGACATAGGATTAATACCTCTTCAGCCTTGGTTGCGGAGTGAGGGTGATCATTGGTCTGGCATTTAGTAGGTGGCCCAAGAAATATTTATAAACTGACTGCCAGCCTTTCCTTGAGCAGGGAACATGGAAACTGAGGGATAAATAGGAGTTAGCTAAGTGAGAAGCAACCAGGTCAGGCAGGAGGGCTCCAGGGGAGAGGGCATGACATGTGCAGGGAGCCGCAATTGAAGTAGGTGCAGGGGCCAGGAAGAGGAGGGTGAGCTGCGCTGGGGAGAGGCTAGGGAGGCCTGTGGTGAAAGGCTGTGTAAGCCATGTTAAGGATTTTGGACCTTATTCTAAAGGCATCAGCTGCTTCGAAGAAGAACATTTTGACTTGGGTGATTTGATACCATTCTGGTGACATCACCATGTTTAACACAGGAGAATCTGATGCAGGAGTAAAAGCATAACCATTAATATGTGAAAGCACTCTTTCATTACCAAACAATGCACTCTAGATTATACATGGTATATATGATTCTTAAGTCATGCCCAGGCAGGGAATAAATCTGTTAAAAGTTTCAGTTAAAAGCTCAATAATTATAAAAATATTAGAAGAAAATGTAGGAGACTATTTCTTCAATCCTGGGATAAATAGATAGAAAAATAGGCAAACATAAAAAATGTGTCTACATAAAGTCAAAACTTCCCTGAGATTCCACAAAAGAACTCTAAAGAGCTAAAACATAAACAGCGTGCTACAAATTTTTGTAACACACATGACAAAGGATTACTACTCTAATGCATGAATGGTTTGTAAAAATCAAAGGGAGCAAGAAGACCAGCTGAGTAGATTAACAGATAGCTGGTAAAAGAAGGAAGACATGGGGTTCTTGAGGGCAGTGAATCGCATTTGGTTCAGTGATGTATTCCTATTGCTCGGGAAAGACCTGGTGCACGTATTCACCAGTCATTCATATTGAATGAAAAAATATAAGAGGATCTTTAGCTTTAGTGGCACTTTCTTTTGTTTGCTTGTTTTGAGAGAAGTTTGTTGCCTAGGCTGGAGTGCAGTGCCATGAACTTGGCTCACTGCAACCTCCACCTCCCAGACTCAAGCGATCCTTCCACCTTAGCCTCCTGAGCTGAGTAGTACTTTTATTTTTCGATTTTATTTTTAAAATTTCCACAGCATATACACTGCAGAGTAGTACTTGTAAAAGAATATTTTAATAAACCCAGAAGATGTATTTTTTAGTCATTAATTACTCAAGATTAAAGATATTGGTAATATCCAATCAGATTTAGAGAGGGTAGAGGAATTTTCAACTGTCATGCACATTTTTCAATTTTAAATTAGACATCATCAATCCCCTACAAAAGAGGGACTGACTAAATACATTAGAACACATCAGGTATAGAATGAAATAGTATGCAACCCTTCACACTCTTTGTATAGATCTGTATCAATTTAGCTTGAAAAGTTACGTATGACATATTTGAAACTGAAAATTAAAATTGACAAACTATAAAAAGAATAATTTAATTGTTTCACCATTAAGTATGACGTTTGCTATAGGTTCCTAGGATTATCATTTAGTTAGTTAGTAAAATTTCCCTCTGTTTCTAATTTATCAAAACTTTTTTTAATTTTAATGTTTAAATCCAACATTGCTGATGAGAGCATTGGTATTAATTCAGTCTTTTTCCCTCATAGGTATCCTTTTCTCTACCTCAAATTTTATTATTCTAATAAAAATTTGCCGCAATGTATCTCAGTGATGGCCCTTTTTCATTCATTCCTTCTCAAATATTTGATGAGCTCTTAATTCTTCGATATTTTTTCCCATCACTACTTCTCACATTTGCTTTCCTCCTTTCTTGGATCTATCCATCATTTATCAAGATTTATAGTTATTTTTTTCTTTCTTTGTGCTAAACATCAGGTCAAGTTTTAGGCTGTATCTAGGAACTCAAGAATTTATTCTTCTTTGTCTGTATCCATGATACCATTTAGTCCACATTTCTGAGATTTTAATTTTAGTGATAGCATTTATAATTCACAAGCTGTCTCATTGATTCTCTCTTCCTTTTTAAAAAGGTCTGTAATATCCACTCTATGTCTGTGAAGATTGCAATTAAAAATTTAAACTATTGTTCTCATTGCTCTATTAAATCTGTTCCCTGGAGTATTGTGTCAGTCAGCTATTGTTGCAATAATACTGCATAACAAACAATCCTGAAAAGTAGTGACTGACAATGATAAGCATTTATTTTTCTTGCTCACACATCTGCAGACTAAGGTGGCTCTACTCTAGGTGACATTTAGCTGGGCTGGGCTTCTGCATTTGGGTTGGATTCAGGTTTGCCCCACTTCACACTCTCCTTGGACAAGCAACTACGTGGGTGCATGTTCTCCTCCTGGTGAATGACAGGAACACAAGAGACCAAGTCACCTGGTGCAAGCATGTTTGGAGCCTTGGTTCACTGCCACAACCACTAAAGGTGACTTTTGTTGGTATGTTCAGTCTTGAATTTGATTTTCCTAAACTATTGTTTCTGTTACTGCTGTATCTGTTAAGCACTGCCTGTTTGTAGGGGAGGGTAGAACTTGGTGCTGGATTGGGTCTATGCCAGCCAGTCTCTAATGATTGTGTGGGAGGCGCTGTCCATGCCCTCCTGTGCCTCTGTACCACACACTGTTCTGGTGCATGCTCTCTTTTTAATGTACCTTCCCCCGAGTCTCAGCCTAAGGGCTTTCTTTGACCATGGTAACTTCGTCAGTCTGTGCTTGGAGCAGGACCAGAAGACATGAGTGGGTGCCCAGCAAGTTAACATCCCTAGCAGCAGCCCTCAACCAATCATGGGCCGGACATGGCATATGAATACATCAATTTACTTTTAACTGAGTGGGACAACTCAGAGGTCTGTATTATATAGCCTCACAGACATCCCCAGCAGGATTAAGCCCGTTGCTTATGATGGTGACCTGCTCTTCAACACACTTTCTGTCGAATACCTTCCTTCCTCCTCTTACTTCCCCACTCTCCTACAGGTGATCTTGAGGTTACTTCCAAAATAAATAACGTACATGCCAATTCTTCTCTCAGTGTTTGCTTTTGAGAAATCCAGCTCAAGAAAAAAATGCTTATTTTGACAATAAAAGGTAATTTAAGAATTACAATTCCTTCTTTATACTTTCAGAATTCTCTGAATGCTGTACAATGGGTGGGCAATACAGAAAAAAAACAAACCATCACTACCAACAGGACAATCTCCTGTCATATCACATTGCCATGAATGTCTCCTGTTTTTTCTTAGAAGTAGAAAAAATGCAAAAATCAGATAAATTAATATACTGTTTTCCCAAAAATACCAAGCAACTTATTTTGGTATTTATGACCCAAATTGTAATTTGGAAAATAAGTTGAACTAAATAGAAAAACATGAGCAAGAATTTCAAATGTGATAGATTTCCTACAGTTTCATCTCAAAAGGAGAACCTGGAGGAAAAAAAAAACCCTCTCTTGTTTATTTAAAGTTCACCAGCTTAATGGGGAACATCATGTTTATCTCAAAAGAACTACTGGGTATGAAGCTGTAACATCAGTGGAGATGTCAGACACCATGTCTATCTGCCTCCCTCCTCTCCATTCAGGGCCTGTTAATCCTTCCAGGACCATGGAGGAGCTGCTAATCCATCAGTACAACAAATTCAACTTCATTCTCTGACAGCCACTGGGCCAGGTTGGAAAAAGAGTACAGTAAAAGACACACAAATCTCGGATCTCAAGACACTGGTGCTCCACCAGTGATATGGTTTGGCTGTGTCTCCACTCAAATCTTGTCTTGAATTGTAGTTCCTACAATCCCCATGTGTTGTGGGAGGGACCAGGTGGAGATAATTGAATCATGGGGGCAGTTTCCCCCATCTTGTTCTTGTGATAGTGAGTTAGTTCTCCTGAGACCTGATGATTTCTTTTTTTTTTTTTTTTTTTTTTTTTTTTTGAGACGGAGTCTCACTCTGTCTCCCAGGCTGGAGTGCAGTGGTGTGATCTTGGCACACTGCAAGCTCCACCTCCTGGGTTCAAACCATTCTCCTGCCTCAGCCTCCCAAGGAGCTGGGACTACAGGCACCCACCACCGCACCCAGCTAATTTTTTGTATTTTTTAGTAGAGATGGGTTTCACCATGTTAGCCAGGATGGTCTCGATCTCCTGACCTCGTGATCCACCGAGATCTGATGGTTTTATAAGGGGCTTCCCTTTCACTGGGCACTCATTCTTCTCCTTCCTGCTGTTATGTGAAGAAGGATTTGTTTGACTTCCCCTCCCTCCATGATTTTAAGTTTCTTGAGGCCTCCCCAGCCCTGCAGAACTGTAAGTCAATTAAAGTTCTTTCCTTTATAAATTACCCAGTCTTGTGTGTGTGTTTATTAGCAGCATGTTGAGAATGGACTAATACAGTAAATTGGTACCAGAAGTGGGATGCTGCTCTAAGGATACCCAAAAATGTGGGAGTGACTTTGGAACTCGGTAACGGGCAGAGGTTGAAACAGTTTGGAGGGCTCAGAAGAAGACAGGAAAATGTGGTGAAGTTTGGAACTTCCTAGAGACTCGGAGGGCTCAGAAGGCAGGAAAATGTGGGAAAGTTTGGAACTTCCTAGAGACTTGTTGACTGACTTTGACCAAAATGCTGATAGTGAAATGGACAATGAAGTCCAGGTTCAGGTGGTCTCAGATGGAGCTGAGGAACTTGTTGGGAACTGGAGTAAAGCTTACTCTTGCTATGCAAAGAGACTGGTGGCATTTTGGCCCTGCCCTAGAGATCTATGGAACTTTAAATTTGAGAGAGATGATTTAGGGCATCTGGTGGAAGTAGGCAGCAAAGCATACAAGAGGAAACAGGGCATAAAAGTTTGGAAAATTTGAAGCCTGACAATGTGATAGAACAGAAAACCCCATTTTCTGGGCAGGAATACAAGCTGACTGGAGAAATTTGCATAAGTAACAAGGAGCCAAATGTTAACACCAAGACAGTGGGAGAAATGTCCCTAGGGCATGTTAAAGACCTTCATGGCAGCCCCTCCCCTCACAAGCCCTGAGGCATAGGAGAAGGAAACAGTTTCCTGGGCCAGGCCCAGGGTTCTCCTGCTGTGTTAAGCCTAGGGACTTTGTGTCCTATGTCCCAGCTTCTCCAGCCATGGCTAAAAGGGGCCAAGGTACAGCTCAGACCATGGCTTCAGAGGGTGCAATCCCCAAGACTTGTGGCTTCCACATAGTGTTGAGCCTGCAGGTGCACAGAAGTCAATAATTGAGGTTATGGAACCTTCATTTAGATTTAAGAGGATGTATGGAAACACCTGGATGTCCAGGCAGAAGTTGGCTGCAGGGGCAGAGCCCTCAAGAAGAAACTCCACTAGGGCAGTGTGGAAGGGAAATGTGGGGTTGGAGCCCCAGTGCCGAGTCCCCACTGGGGCACTGACTAGTGGAGCTGTGAGAAGCGGGCCACAGTCCTCTAGACCCCAGAATGGTAGATCCACCTGCAGCTTGCACCCATGTGCCTGGAAAAGGCGCAGAAACTCAACACCTGCTCATGAAAGCAGCCTAGAGGGGGGCTGTACCCTGCAAAGCCACAGGGACGGAGCTACCCAAGACCATAGGAACCCACCTGTTGCATCAGCATGACCTGGATGTGAGACAAGGAGTCAAAGGAGATCATTTTAGAACTTTAAGATTTAATGACTGCCCTATTGTATTTCAGACTTGCATGGGTCCTGTAGCTCCTTTGTTTTGTCAGTTTCTCCCATTTGGAATGGGTGTATTTACCCAATACCTGTACCTCCATTGTATTTACGAAGAAACTAACTTGCTTTTGATTTTACAGTCTCATAGACAGAAGGGACTTGCCTTGTCTCAGATGAGACTTTGGACTTGGACTTTTGAGTTAATGCTGGAGTGAGTTAAGACTTCTGTTGGAAGGGTATGTTATGTTTTGAATTGTGAAGACATAAGATTTGGGAGGAGCCAGGGATGGAATGATATGGTTTGGCTATGTCCCTACCCAAATCTCATCTTGAATTGTAGTTCCCATAATCCCCTGGTCATGAGAGGGACCAGGTGGAGATAATTGAATCATGAGGGTGATTTCTCCCATCCTGTTCTTGTGATAGTGAGTTAGTTCTCATGAGATCTGATGGTTTTGTAAGAGGCTTCCCCCTTCACTGGACACTCATTCTTCTCCTTCCTGCCATCATGTGAAGGACATGTTTGCTTCCCCTTCCATCATGATTGTGATTTTCCTGAGGCCTCCCCAGCTCTGCAGAACTGTGAGAAAATTAAACCTCTTGCCTTTACAAATTACCCAGTCTCGGGTATGTCTTTATTAGCAGTGTGAGAATGGACTAATACAGAGAGAGAGAAAACAAATAAATACATGGTCAAGGGTATTTCAGATTCTGATACATTCTTTGAGGGAAATAAATAGAGAAGTGTGATACAGATGGTTACTTTGGAGTGAATTGGGATTTCTCTATAACAGTGGAGAGGGAAATTCTGTAGGGAAAATTTTGTTTGAGCTAAGGCTTGGAAGATGAGAAGATGACAACTTAGCAGAATCAAAGAAGTCTCCCAGGCCAAGGAAGGAGTAAGGATATAGACCTGGCCCTGGCTGGAGCTTGCTGTTTGAGAGGAATATGAAGCAGACAGGGAGCCTGGAGAACAGTAAGCAACATCATTTTGTGAAATGAAAACAAACAAACCCCGAACTCCACATTCATAAACGCTCAAGTTTACACTGAGACACATATACTAAACTATTATACAAACTATGCAAAGGAATAAAAAAAGGGATTTCTCATATACTGTTTGTGAGAGTATAAATTGGCACAAGCTTTCTGTGTAAGACTATTTGACAATGTCTATTTAAATTTAAATATTCTTTTACCTTTTGCTTCAAATACTTTCATATAATTTGAAATTTAATTTAATTTTATTTACATTTAAAATTTTAAAAATAGATTGTTGGGTGCAAGTGCAGCTTTCTTACATGGTTATATTGCACACTGGAGAAGTTTGGGCTTTCAGTGTAACTATCATCCACATAGTGTACATTGTACCCATTAGGTAATTTCTCATCTCTCACCAACACCTCCCGCTATCCACTATCCCACCTTTCTGAGACTCCAGTGTCTATTATACTGCTCTATGTGTCCATGTGTTCACATTATTTAGCTCCTACTTATAAGTGAGAACATGCCGTATTTGATTTTCTATTTCTGAGTTATTTCACTTAATGGTTTAAAGTTTTCTAATTATGTATTCCTTCTGCACTAACAAACTAATGAAAAATTTAAACCTGCTGTCTTCACATATATTATATCATGACACATATACCCGCACATGCATAGATAAAGTGGTGGGGGAAGAGTCACAGCAGTAGAGTCTAAAACCCAATGAATAAACAGGTATTTCAAGGGAGACTTAAGCAACAAACCCAAGTCCTTACAGCAGCCATGAAAATGTTAGATTAAATATGAAACCTGAATCTAGAAGAAACAAGCTTAAGACCAATTTTTTCTTTTAATTAAAAATGTGTTGCTTGAACTATGTCCAACCCTGGGTTTTCTGGCATTCATAAGTCCTACTTTTGGTTCCAAACCTTTTCACCATTTATCACACTTTACACCCACCCTGCTAGGAAGAAACACAAGGTGGGTCTGTGTAAGTTAAGTGTGTGAGTGTGTGCCTGTGCTGTTGTTGAATCATTTCCCCCAGGTGATCCAGGAAGAAGCATATCACAGACGCCAGTTTATTACAATCAATTTTCCAATAACTCCTAACTGGGCCAGATTCAATTTAATAACAAAGGATGAAAGTGTCTAAGTCCATTAAACTACCAGATTCCTGAATTTACTTAAATCACATATTAATTTCCTTTCCTGATCTCACTGCTAAGCTGTCAAAGCTCTATCCATGTGTCACTGAGTCAACTATTTGGGGGTCAATTATGTTGAATTGCTTTGCCATTAATTGGATCACAGCCCAGCAGATTTCATGCAGTCTTCAGTTTGAAATGCTCCATGGTCTAATCACCACCTTGTCCTCTCTCTGAAAGCAACACAAAGGAATATGTTGTCTGATTGTCCTCCTGAATGTCAACCTTAAAATACAGGCAAATATACTAACATCCCAGTTAAAACAATGTTTAGTATAACTGCCTGTGAGCTGATAACTTATCCAGGTCCCAAGAGCAACTATGTTACTCAAATCATAAAGACATAGTCTTTCTTCTTCTTCTTCTTAACCTAACACCATAAATGTAATGCTTTATTACTTTTCGAGTTCCCCTCCCAATTCCCATTCTTTATAACTCTTACTCTTCCAGAATGGAATTTTCTACCACCTACCCCCAACCACCTTCTTTACAAAGCTAAGTCCTGTTCATCTTTAGCACCTTCGCAAGTGCCCACACTCTCCTGCTCCAGTTTCCTGCTTTTAATGTTCTCCAAAGCCCACTTTCCTCCTAGCCTCCTGGATTGAATCCAAGAGTCCTTTCAGCAGCACGATTCATGGTATTCATTTTCATTGAGAAAGGAGTGTGGCAGTGTAGTATCTTGAAGGAACAATGAAAGGTTCTTCTTAGCTGTGACATTTTTGCAGCTCTTAAAAACACCTGGATGTATTCTGTGATATTCTTGATGCTAAGAATTTCTCCATCCAAATATGGACCTAACCCACAGCTGGAAATAACATGCTCTTCAAATCCCCCTGCCAAAGACTTAAATATCTTCCCAGCATTTTAAATCATTTAAAGGCACTTAACCACTCGAAATGGTATGAGTTCTCCTTCCACTCACATGGAAAGCATTGCACAATTGACAAAGAGCATTAAAGGGGCTTCAAAACCAAAGTTAGAAAAAAAGTCATGAAAAGCAAATACTCTAGAGATTTATGAATAAAAATCTTTACCTAAACCATAGTAAAAGGCTCATCAGGAATGGGTGGACAGTCCTCCCCCACTCTCACTCCGAAAATGGTAAGAATTCACTTGTTCTGGTTGGATGTACAAAGAAAAAAAAAGGCTTCTATAAAACATAAAAACCACAGGGGAAAAAAAATCTGTTTTTCTTTTTCTTTTTCCTTAAACAGGGGAAGAAAATCAACTGATAGAAATATTTCGATAGAACAAACACTGGGGAATAGGTGAACTTTCTCCAGGCCAAAAAACCTTCATCTCTTACCTGGACAACTGTAATAGCTGCCCAACAGGCTTCCACTCTGACCACCAAAATTCATTCTCCAAAAAGCTTCCAAAACATATCACTTGTCTGTCAAAATCTTCCAGTGACTTTCAACTCTTCTTTGAGTCAAACCCAACCCCTTTATCAGGGCCCGCAAGATCCTGCATGACTTGATTCCATGCTTGTTTCTGCCACCTCACCCTGAAACATTCCTGTTCTCTGTGAAACCACTACATTGATATTCTATTCTTAGAACACACTGAGCTTGTTCCAGCTCAGGCCTTTTGCACTTGCTATTCCTCTGTCTGGAGCACACTTTTCTGAGTTTCTTTTAAAGAGGTTCTCATAGTTTATTAATAAATCTAACTCCCATTAGCCTGCCTAACGTAAACTACTCTTTACCCTTAGCCAGTTTCTGCTATTTAATGAGTTTTATTCTTTCACAACACCTCAAATATATAACTAGGTTATCCTGTTTACTACTTTTTTTTTTTTTTACTATTTAGTCTCTTATTAGAATAGAGATGCCAGGTAGTAGGGACTTCTATTTGTTCAACATTATATCCTCGGTACCATTGACCCTTGAGCAACATGGATTTGAACTACATGAGCCTGCTTATTGCAAATTTCCTTCCACCTTTGCAACCAGTGGGACGGCAAGACCAAGCCCACTTTTTCTCCTCCTCCTCCGCCTACTCAAAGTGAAGACAGCAAGGATAAAGACCTTTGTGATGATCCACGCCTCCTTAATGAATAGTAAATATATTTTCTCTTTTAATTTTCTTAATAACATTTTCTTTTCTCTAACTTACTTTAACAATACAGCATATAATACACATAACACACAAAACGTGTGGATTGGTAAGGCTTTTAGTCAATAGCAGGCTATTAGTAGTTAAATTTTGGAGGAGTCAAAAGTTACATGGGGGTCTTTGATAGTGTGGGGGTCAGTACCCCTAATGCCCATGTTGTTCAAGGGTCTACTGTAATTAGAACTTGGTCTGGTACTTATAGCCTTCAATAAATATTTTTGGAATGAATGAATGAGTAAATGATGAATTTAAAGATCCTGTTCTAAAATATAGAGATTACTAGTCAACACAATTCATTAGTGAACCAAGCACAATAAATTCATAATTGTGCCTCATGAATGGGCATTTCTATGATGACACACGAAGTAATGCCATGTATTAGGAGAGTCAAGAAGCACATTGCTTTGATAGATACTCCTTCTTTTCTGGGTTCTATGTCTTTGAACTACTCTGAAACAGTGTTTTCCAAACGTTCCTGATGAAGAGTCACCTAGGGTGCTGGTAAAAATGCAGCCTCCAAAACCTGGCTCTTGGAGATACTGAAATCATGAGTCCAGGAGGAATCCTGAGAATTTGAAACTATAACATGCATTTCCTGGAGATTTTTATCAATGAAGCTTGAGAAACTGCTCTAGAGCGGAGGTTGGCAAACTGCTACACATTAAAATCCCAGGGCCCAAGTTGTACCCTCATATTAATTAAATCAGAATGTCTAGGGGGTCAGACTCAGGCATTCGTCTTTTCTAAAACTCTTCATTATTCCAAAGTGTGTTCAAGTTGTGATAACTACTTCTCTAAAACAGGGTTTCTCAAACTTTAATTTGCAAATGAATCACCTGGGGATCTTGTTTGAGTGTAGATTCTCATTTAGTGGGTCTTGGTGGGAGCCCAAGACTCTGTTTCTTTGGCACGCTTCCAGCAATGTCGATGCTGGGGGTGCCTCTCATTAAGTAACAAAGTCTAGTGGATACATAAATTGTCCAATACCTAGTGTCATTGGCCATGCATATGGTATAGGAACTGTTAGGATCCTGTGCTGGAATCTGTGGGGCTGTGGCTCAGAACATGATATCTCAAACTACGGCACCTTGACCCACTGAGTACTTTGAACAAGAGGACTGGAAGGTCTCAGAAGCAAGGCTTCTCTAATATTCTTCTGCTCTCCCCTCTCTTGTCCCTCATTCTCCTCTGGAGCAAGTCATAGAATCCAGAATTCCTCTTCCCAAGTCACGTTATATAAACTAGAACTCTTCACTGAGCGTGGTGGCTCATGCCTGTAATCCCAGCACTTTGGGAGGCCAAGGCCAGTGGATCATGAGGTCAGGAGTTTGAGACCAGCCTGACCAATGTGGTGAAACCCTGTCTCTAATAAAAATACAAAAAATTAGCCAGGCGTGGTGGCCCATGCCTATAATCCCAGCTACTCAGGAGGTTGAGGCAGGAGAATTGCTTGAATCCGGGAGGCGGATGTTGCAGTGAGCCGAGATTGCACCACAGCACTCCAGCCTGGGCGACAGAGTGACACTCTGTCTCAAAAAAAAAAAAAAAAAAAGAAAAAGAAAAGAAACTAGAACTATTCTCCCCAAAGCAAGTCGTAAAACCCAGAAATGTCACTCTTCCTTTCTCTCATCTCCCTTGAAGACCTAATTCCAGAGGGGTCCTGTCCTATATCTTGGGGAAGAGACACAACATTGAGAGACCAAGAAGAATCTGAACAGATGAACCTTGCTGGGTCTGTCCTGTCCTCAGTCTATTACCACGAGATCACACCCTTTTGTCCAATCAGATTTCTATATGGCTGTGCATTCTTTATTGAACCTAAGCATAAAAATAGATAGTTTTCTCTAGGTCTTTGGGTCTTCAGTTCAAAAAGCTCTGTGTCAAGTAAGACTTTGATAAAATAAGATTGTTATGCATTTCTCTTGTTACCTTGTTTCTTATTATAGGAGTGTCGACCATGACGCCTGTGATGGGTGAAGGAAGGCTTCACACTTTTCTGCCCCTACAGTGGTAAGGCTGGTGTGTATTTAAGGCATTTGTGTTGCTGCACCAGCCATATTGTTCAGCTAATCATATTTTGTTATGGACAAGTTTTCTTCCTGGAGTCTGGGGCTGAGTAATACAGTCCATTTATTGTTGGTAAACACACCTGATGGTCCACTTCATGTGAGGTGCTGTGCTTACTCTCCTATGGATGGGACAATCACCATAAATGTTGAAATAAATATCCTCGGCCGGGTGTGGTGGCTCACGCTTGTAATCCCAGCACTTTGGGAGGCTGAGGTGGGCGGATCACGAGGTCAGGAGATCAAGACCATCCTGGCTAACATGGTGAAACCCCGCCTCTACTAAAAATACAAAAAATTAGGCAGGTGTGGTGATGGGCGCCTGTAGTCGCTGCTACTCGGGAGGCTGAGGCAGGAGAATGGCGTCAACCCAGGAGGCGGAGCTTGCAGTGAGTCGAGATCATGACACTGCACTCCAGCCTGGGGGACAGAGCGAGACTCCCTCTCAAAAAAAAAAAAAAAAAAAAAAAAAAAGAAAAAGAAAGAAATATCCTCACACGAAACAGTCATATTTATGTGGTGTCATTTTACAGTGGTCTTCCGTCCTGAAAACACACAAAAGTATTAAAAACTCTGCAAACCTTTGAAACCCATAGCTTGAGTTGGATGACAATCTTTTAAGTGCATTCATGGATGGAGCCTAATTGCTTACAACCTTGAACAAATTGTCGCATCTTTTTTGTAAATCTGAATCTTGATTCTGGAAACACATACATATTGGTAACATCAATGGTCAGTTTCTGAGTCTTTTCATTATCTGTCATGCCAAGGCCTTATTATAAGCAGAAGCTGTGAGTGTGGAAAAAGAAGTTTCCCTTGACTGGCTTTGGTCAAAGGCCATGTCCTTATATTCAATTAGTTAGGCCTGTGGCAGTTCCATCACTGAGTAATAATAGATCTGATTACCTTCTTAATGACTAACATAATCAAATCCTTTATTGATAAGACCACTGCTTTGCCCTTGACCATAATGAAAGTTGAGGAAAAAAATTGATTTTGTTGCTGAAGACTAATCAGTGTCCTTAAATTGTGAAGTCTTTTGGGAAGGGGGAGGTGCCATGATTCCAGTTGCTCATGAGCATCAGTGATTTGAACCGTCCTGGCATTGAGTCTTGAATTATAGTATAAAGTCATTCAACATGGGAAGCATCCTTATGGCTTGAGTATTCTTGCAACAAGATGATTATTAAAAAAAAAAAATTCAATACAAAGTACCAAGTAAATTGAAGTAAAATATCATAAGTTCTACTTATGGAAAGAGAATCTGCCATATTCTAGAGCAGTAGCATGTTTAAGAGGGGGTATTATCACATTGTGGAAATAAACCCAGTCTTCCCACTTGCTAACTGTGCAGAATTAATCAAGCTCCTCAGAAATTTAGGGTTCAATTCCCCTATGTCTAAAATTGAACCTCAAAGTCCTTTTCATTTTCAAAATCCTATGAATCTATGAGTGTTTCAGCTGGTATGCTCCTATAATGGCTCAATTTAGAAATGGGAGGTTTGTAGCTTTTAGTTAGCAGCCCTTGTTTTCTGATAGTCTCTGATGGCCAGCGAACTAATTAAAGATTAACACGACTTTATTCGAAACCTCTCAGACTGAGAGTTGTAGATTTGCTATGGAATAAATTGAGGATATCTGTACTCTAAACTAGGCTCTGTGGGTACTTTTCACTGGGCACAAACTCACTTAACAAAATAAGAGGACATACAGCCACATATATGTTTATTCAGCCCCTTGCAACCAAGTCCTTTTTCAGCACCTCCGTAACTGTTGGGAAAACAGCAAGGTAATTGCCAAGTTCAATCAGCTTCCATGATGTAATAAATGGAAAGACCTGTGAATTGCTCCATTGCTACACATTAAGGCCTGGAATGATGTCATTCTTTAAAAATAAATAAGCATAACCTAATGTCTTTTTATTAATAGTCGACTAATTGCTGCATCAGAAGAAGGAAAGCTTTGTAGAAGGGAGTGAGAAACTGCCCCTGACATCATACCAACAGTACAAGAGGGACTTTATTCTCTGTGTGTACACACATACACACATGGGTAAAATGGCTTCTTAAATAATGAATCCCTAGATAATGCTGCAAGAGACATGAAAGGGGTGTCAGCAATCTGATTGGCTCACAGCTGGAAAAAATTAGAGAACTGAAAAATGACAGAATGATACAATGTACTACATGGTAATAGCCTTGGCTTGGCAGGGAAAGGAGGGAAGGAGCTCTGTTTTGAGCGACCCCTCCTGCTGTCCCTGGGCATCCTCTGTTTCAGACCCCACACCTGCACAGATACTTACCTGTGTTCTCATTTATTTGTTCAAGTACACTGCAACCACTGCAAAGACCTAGTAACGTGCAACTTAGTTGAGTGAAAATAGAATCAATGAAATGGCTTTACTATTTGGGGGTCAATTATGTTGAATTGCTTTGCTGTTAATTGGATCACAGCCCATCAGATTTCATGCAGTCTTCAGTTTGAAATGTTCCATGGTCTAGTCACCACCTTGTCCTCTCTCTGAAAGCAACACAAAGGAATATGTTGTCTGATTGTCCTCCTGAATATCAACCTTAAAATACAGGCAAATACACTAACATCCCAGTTAGAACAATGTTTAGTATAACTGTTTGTGAGCTGATAACTTATCCAGGTCCCAAGAGCAACTATTTTACTCAATTCATAGAGACATAGTCTTTTTTCTTCTTCTTCTTAACATAACACCATAAATGTAATGCTTTGTTACAATTATAAATTGTAATGGGAGCAATATATTAAAAATAAAAATCAAACAAGACTGAACCATTCCTCAATAAGGAAAGTAGAGAAGTCAAGGCACTGTAGAAGAACCAGATTATCCAGGTATTAGGAATCCTTAAGTATTTATGGCTTTAGAGACTGAAGTTTTTCTTATCAATGGGTTTGAATGCAGCAATGTTTTTCCCCAGGAGATTGAATCTGTCCCTTTCTCATCTACTTGGGATGTGTTTTTGCAATGACTTTTGTAGCAATGGATAAAAGAAAGGTCCTTTCACAACTTCTGGAACATGTTATCATATTTCCTATGGACAGACATCATAAAATACTGACTCAAATTGAAATGCGTGATTCATTGTTAGTGGGAACACAATCCCACGTGCATTACCATATATAATGTGGATAGCAATATGCCTCTTATTTTCAGCATAGAATTTCTTATGCTATGTAGTCAACATATGTATCAGTTGCATGAGGCATTTCGACCTGAGTCATTATTATAAGGGAAAGAGGTTCAGAAGCTATTATCAAGGGAAAGCAGTCCTGGTATCTGGTATCTGGCTTGTGATCAGTGTTCTAACAACTCTGCATAAGCCATTCAAATATTACTCCTTTGATACCAAGTCACAATTGGAGTTATGAGTGAGTCAGAAGAAATAACTTATCAAGAATATGAAAGCGTTCTCTTGGCTTCTCTTGCCTGAAGATTGTAAATGCGAATGATTGCCTACCTCTCCCACCACATTGCAGAGCTGAAATGACTTAATTGAGATTCTAGCCACTAACAGTGCTTCAGTACATAGAGTGACCACTCTAGCATGGTAGCTCATCTGTGTTACTCAAGCAGAGTGTTATTCATCATTAGACACATAACAGGAGCTTCAGTGATGACAGAGGAAGAAGGATAACAGTGAAAAGGAGAAGAGGGAGAAAACCTAGTGTGCGGATGCCAATATAAACTACCTTGCAAGGAAGCACAGCCATGTGTTGGGAAGAGCACTGGACTTGAGAATAATAACAATAATGATTAACAACAACAATTATAATAATTGGGAGTCAGGAACGTGAGTTCTGTTGTACTTACCTAAGACTCTGTTTCTCAAAGGGTAGTCCCTTTGTTAAAAAGGCAAATGCTCAGGCTCCATGGCTATCTGAATCAGAGACTCCGGGGCAAGATCCCAGCAATCTGTGTTTTAATAAGCCCTCCAGGTAATTCTGATGCACTGTAAGGTTTGAGAACCAACCTAAGAAATTTGTTGAAGCTAGGCCAGTTGCAACGTTTACTTTTTGAAAGCAATTCCCCCACACTCACATGATCCTCACTCTGCTCTCCACTCTGCCCTCACTACATTCTCTTTCATCAGAGATATTGACTAGGAAAGACATCTGAGAGTAAGAAAGAGTTTGTGTTGTTCAATAGCTGTGGGACTTCAGGCAAGTGCAGCCACTTTTGGGGCCTCAGTTTCCATATCTGCAAAATGAGGGGTTGGCCTAGAAGATCACCAAGGTTCCTATAGATTTAATATTATACCGTTCTAAGAGTTGTTAAGTGTTATTCTAAACCTTAAGCGTCCACCATCACTCTCATTATGCATGTTACCAAGGCATCCAGAGGATAAGAGAGGCTGATAATACTCCTCAAGATAACAGCACAATAAACAATCAAAGCCTTGCAGATAATAAGACCCTTGGCAAAAAATGCCTGACTATCTAAGACAGGAACAGTGATGTATAGCAAATACATTTAAACTTAGCAGTCTGCATTCTTGGGACATAGACTAAAGATTGTGTGTTAATGTTAGAAAAAGCAACACATTCCCCAGAAGGGTTATTCTGAATGTTTAAATGGTAAATCCAGGTGAATAGGCATTCACGCAGATAAACAATGAGGTTTCATAATGGATTTATTAATAATAACATACAATAATAAATGTGAGACAGAAGCCACTGGTAAACATTTTGGAAACCAGATGGTGCATGCATTAGATAGAAGAGACAGTTTAGGCTCATTTTATTATTTTATTTTATTAAAACAATTTTAGCTATTTTAAATGGAAAATTTTAAACTGACAAAAAGTAGGTACAATAGAATAATGAACCCCTGAACTTGTTGGAACCAAAGTTTTAGGCGAAGACTATAATGGGGAAATAGGAAAACAGTGAAGATCAGAGAAGTGGGAGGCGACAGGTTAGACCCAGGGAAGCAGAAGAATATCAGCAGTGAAATTCTGTCTTCAAAGAGCACATGAAGAAGACATCTGAGGCTGGGCTCTGGATGGCTCATAGTGAGATGGGCCAACCACTGATAATAGCAATGACATAGGAGAGGAGATGACAGTCTTTTAAACACTTTACACTTATTCTCCCAACACCACTGTATGTGATAAGTACTGGTAGTAACCCTGTTTTGGAGGCATGTTAACAGAGTCCCAGAAGGCTAGTAAGTGGCAGAGAGGGGACTTGAACCCCGGCAGGTGGCTTCTAGAGCCTGCATGCTTATCCACTAAACTGCTTCTTTACCTTAGAGGTATATCAGACCAAGCTCCTTGTTATACAAACCAAGGGGAAGAGAGAGAAAGTGACTTCCTACTGGCAGATAGAGTCTCTCAACGTGTATTGGGCAACCCCCAAATACAAAATACTGATGCCGCCAGGCACAGTGGCTCATGCCTGTAATCACAGCACTTTGGGAGGCTGAGGCAGGCGGATCACTTGAGGTCAGGAGTTCGAGACCAGCCTGGCCAACATGGTGAAACCCCGTCTCTACAAAAACACAAATATAATTAGCTGGCTGTGGTGGTTATGCCACCTAGCTACTTGTAATAATATAAAATAAAATAAAATAAAATAAAATAAAATAAAATAAAATAAAATAAAATAAAACAAAACAAAACAAAACAAAACAAAATAAAAAACTAGTAGTAATCCTAGCTACTTGGGAGGCTGAGGCAGGAGAACTGTTTGATCCTGGGAGGCAGAGGTTGCAGTGAACCGAGATTGCACTACTGCACTCCAGCCTAGGTGACCAAGCTAGATTCCATTTCCAGAAAAATAAAAAATAAAAAAAGTACTGATGCCTCACCCAAAGCAAATGAGTTAAAATCTTAGAAGGGTAGGGTCGCAGCCTTCTTTGAACCTCCTCGGTGATTCTAATGTGCAGCCGAGGTAGAGAAACTACTAAGCGTGGAAATAGCTTTAGGTGTCATCTATTCTGAAATTCCAACTCTGTCACTCTACATTTCCTCACTTGTTATATAAGGAAATATCTTTTTTATTGAGGTGATTATAATACAAACAGTTTTTCAAAGGCCTTTGGCACAACTGCAAGTACTCAACAAATTAGAGTTGTTTTTTCTCCTATTAGTTGCTGACATATTCAAAGTTAAAAGAATGGATTTTATTTTGCTTTGTTTTCCCATAATCTTAGTATATGACATCCAGCTTCAGCAACACATTGCAGTAATAACTCACATATCAAAGGAGCCGCCTGTTGTAATCAAGGCTTGGGATCAATGAAAGTCAACCAGGCTAACAAGTAGAGTATCACTGCCCCCAGATGTCTGACACTTGTGCTCAGTAAAACGCAAATACCTCCATTCTGATCATCCAGAGAAGTTTTAAGTGCTTTTTTTCCCCCCTCCAGTTTATCTGTGTGAATTGCCTTTCTTGAAGAGGCTAGTTAACCATGGCAAGGCTCAAGATAACTTGTTCTCTGCCTTCAACTATTTGAAGGGCTTTTGATGATCATGAAACTGAAACATTATTTATTCTCTCTGCCTGCAGAGGACTCGGCAATGAAGCATGGACCCCTGTTGAAAGGAAAAATTTCAATTGCACAAGAAGAAAATATGCTGAAATAGACTACAGAATATTTAGATCTTGGCCACTGAGTGAAAATATGCTGGAATAGACTACAGAATGTTTAGACCCACCACTCTCCTACCGTAAAATACAACCCGGTTCTGGTTGGATTGGCCTTCACCTGCCTAACCTATTTTCCTTGGTCTTTTCACACTCTGTGATTTAATATTTATTTCAATTCCCTGATTCAAACCAACCATGTGTCCAGAGTGACTTTGTAAACCCAGTCCGGGCTGAACTGAGGCTGAAACTCCAAGTCCCTCTGGGCTTTTAAGGTTTACAGATCTCAGGAGTGAACATTTTCTTACCAAGTCACTGCTCTCAAAACAAACCCTGGAATGGAAGCTTCATTATCTTGTGGCCATCAGTCCACGTTTCTTCCCCTTCTGCCCTGTTGAGTTTATGTGTGTTTTATCTCCCTCCCGAGAGGGACTATACTTTGTTGGTGTTAAAGTGATCACGCTGGAGAGTTTATATATTCTCTCATTTTCAAAAAAATCTATCTTTGATTCCTAAATGCCTACATTCACAGCACTTTACAGCTGAAAGTGGCTGAGGTTGGGGCATTCGCTGGAACATCTTGAGAGAGTGAAACTGAAGCTTCAGAAAGGCGAAGCGACTTACCCAAGACCAAGTGGCTATTCCGTTTTGAGAGTAGTACCTTTTCCCAGTAACGGGGCTACAGGAATGTGCCACCATGCCCTGCTAATTTTTATTTTTATTTTTTTTTTGGTAGAGATGAGGCTTCATCATGTTGCCCAGGCTGGTCTCAAAATCTCGGGCTCAAGTGATCCACCCATCTAGGCCTCCCAAAATGAAAACTTTTTATATAGTGAAAAATTAGTCCGGGCACAATGGCTCACACCTGCAATCCCAGCACTTTGAGAAGCAGAGGTGGGTGCATCAGTTGAGGCCAGGAGTTCAAGACCAGCCTGGCCAACATGGTGAAACCCATATCTCCTAAATATACAAAAATTAGTCAGTCATGGTGGTGCACCCCTGTCATCCCAGCTACTCAGAAGGCTGAGGCAGGAGAATCGCTTGAACCTGGGAGGCAGAGGTTGCAGTGAGCTGAGATTGTGCCACTGCACTCCAGCCTGGGCAACAGAGTGAGACTGTGAAAAAAAAGAAAGAAAGAAAGAAAGAAAAAAAAGAAAGAAAGAGAAGGAGAGAGGGAGGAAGGAAGGGAAGTTAAACATATATAATAAAAGTAGATAGCATAGTATATCAACCCCCATAATCCTGAAACTCAACAACCATCACTGATGATTGGTCAAATGTGAGAGGTGCCCTCCATATACCTGGAGGAAACGAGCATCTTTCTCTCTGAACACACAGGGACACGGAAAAAATCTGAACAAACAGGCCCTACTAAGTCCCCTCAGTTTATTACCATTGGATCCTATTGTCACGGAGAATCTTATTCCTCCACGACTCTCCGTTCTTCATCAAGCCTAGCTCAGGTTTGTCTGGTCTTTGCTCCCTTATGAAGGCCCCCATGTCACATAAAATGTACATTAAATACATTTGTATGCTTTCTCTTGTTAATCTGTCTTTCATTCAAGTGGCTTTAGCCACAAACCTAGGAATAGCAGAAAGATATTTTTCTTCCCCTACATATTGTCTATACCCTAAATTACCTCGCTCCTATATTAATTTTAAGCAAATTCTAGACATTACATTACTTTATGCATAATTACTATAAAAAAAGTTCTTAAAAAAACCCAACCACATAACCACCGTAATACTATCACACTTAAGAATTTCAAAATAGTTCTTTGATACCATCAAATAGACAACTTTCAGATTTTCTATTGCCATACAGGTATTACTTTTTTAAACAATGTTTTGATAGAACTATTATGTTAAAATAATAAGAAATTATGTGTCTGGAGCTGAAAATCTGACTGAATGACTTCAGAGTAAAAGACTATCAAGAATGTATGAGTCTTTAAGAAGAATGTTATAGATATTAAGTATTTTATAAAATCAGAGAGTGGTATCAACATCCACTGAGTCCTATGCTCAGAAGGCCAAAGGAAGCATAATTTTTAACTGGGCCTGACATTTAGGCATTAGGTAAGTAGAATTTAAAAGGGCAAATTCAGACTAGGAAGAGATGTGCCTAAAATCTCAGAAGCAGGAATATGTAAGGACTATTTGTGAGATGGTGAATAGAACACTTGTTACAGTCAAAGCTTTGCACCTTTACAACAAAATATGGAATGATAATATTAAGTATTTGAGTTGGATGTGATTCTGAAAGTCCTTAAATCTCAAGCTCAGGGTTTTTAGCTTGTCTTTTTATACATTGGGGTTCCAATGGAGGGCTTTTGAGCTATTATAAATGCAATCTGATTACATGAATAGTGGCAAAACAGAAATGCAACATTTTGTCATTATTACACAAAATAAATTCATGTGGAAGCAACACCTATCTATCTTCGTACACCATCAGAAAATATAATTAGAGAAGGAAGTGTAATTTAAATGATAACTTCTAACACACTGTAAATATGAAGTTTTTTTTTTCAGGGACATTCCAATATCATTTGTCAACAGACATCAAATTAAACTGGGAAAAAAAGAACATGACTAGTTTATGTCTCCAGTCAAGATATTTGAAGTTGTTTATTGAACTGGAATTCAATCTCCATAATTCTGTGGCTTCCTCTTTTTATCCATAATAATTCATCTCTATAATTAAAGCCTAATGAACCAAACAATTTCTCTCTTCATAATCAAGTTCAGCTGTGTGAGGGGCCAACATTAAAATAGAATCTTTCCAGTAAACAGATCCAGTGCTCCTAGCTAAAAAAAAAAAAAAAAGGAAAAGAAAAAGAAAAAAACGCACACTTTCTTTTTCTCTTGAAATTTCTCATTTATTCCCATTAATTAGATTTATTTCCTTAAGGATGCTGGAATGTCATAAAGAGTATCAATAGAGACTCCTAATAACCTCCAGAACTAAAGAAAAGCTTCATTTTTATTAAATTAATTAATTGATGCCACTTGAAATCTAAAATGTGCCATGTCATCTATGATCTATTGAGGGCCTTCAATTCATTTGTTTCATGCTTTGTTGTTTAATAATGCTTTGGTTCTTGGTAAAAGGATTGGTAAGAAAGAAGATGGAATTTCCATCTTTGAGTTCTTATTTAAAATTTAAATAACTCTTGCAAATGTAAGGCTTTAAAGCCATTATCAGTTAATGTCTTTGGACATAATTAGCTGATATCCAGCTGGGACCTGTATCGGTGCCTGTTGAAATGAAGGCCCAGGCTGAAGAATTGCAGAGTGAAGATAACAAGTACAACATTATCAGTCTCTACAGCTTTGCCAATCAAGCCAGTCAAGTCACTTCAAAGCAAATCTCTTTCCCCCGTCAGCGTAAATAAAAACCAGAGATTGCCATGTCTGAGTAGCTACCATTTCTTCTGAAAAAACTTCTATTGTTGAAATAATTGTAAATAATATTTTACATATACTGCCTTATACATAACAAGGTCCTTTCTTTTTTTTTCTTTTTTTAAATTTTCTTCTTTGAGACAGAGTCTCGCTCTGTCACCCAGGCTGGAGTGCAGTGGCTCAATCTTGGCTCACTGCAACCTCCACCTCCCAGGTTCAAGCAATTCTTCTGCCTCAGCCTCCAGAGTAGCTGGGACTACAGGTGTGCACCACCACGCCCCGCTAATTTTCGTATTTTTAGTAGAGATGGGCTTTCACCATCTTGGCCAGGGTGGTCTCGAACTCCTGACCAACAAGGTCCTTTCTATTGGAGCCTCAGTGGTTGCCCACATTTGGGACCTGTTTTCCCTTCATTATGGCTCTTAGGAAGCTCAAGCCAATATTTAAAAAAGATATTTCACAGAAAAAGGTGGATCCCTAGCTTCACTTGGAAACTAGGAAGATGGCACAAAACTAGTCCTGTCTTCCTATTTTCTCAGGAGGCTGGGATCAGCAGACTCTGAGGAGCAGCCACCCTCTTTGGAAGGGGCATGTGCCCCCATTTCTCCTGGGCTCCAGTTCCCCCCACCCCTGAGGATGTATAACTCTCCATTATCATTGTCTTGCAATTAATTTCCTTTTCTTCTGGTAGAGAACTATCTTCCTACACTTACGTCTCCATAAAAAGTGGGAGAATGAAAGATGGCCAAGAGGCACACTGGCTTTCCCTACACCTTGTCTGCCTTATTCATTTAGGTTTCCTGCCTGACGCCCATGGACAGTGAGTCCTTACTCCTGCCTCAAGACCTTCAGATCAATACCCCTCCTCCAACTGGTTTCTTTACATTTTTTGCTTTGTCTTTTATCCTTTTCATTTTACTATTTCCTCTGGTATCTTTTTTTTTTTTTTTTTTTTTTTGTTGTTGTTGTTGTTGAGACAGAGTCTCGCTCTGTCGCCAGGCTGGAGTTCAGTGGTGCAATCTCGGCTCACTGCACCCTCCACCTCCAGGGTTCAAGCAATTCTCTTGCCTCAGCCTCCCAAGTAACTGGGACTCTGGGACTTCAGGTGCGTGCCACCACGCCCAGCTAATTTTTGTATGTTCAGTAGAGATGGGGTTTCACCATGTTGGCCAGGATGGTCTCGATCTCTTGACCTCGTGATCCACCCGCCTCGGCCTCCCAAAGTGCTGGGATTATAGGCGTGAGCCACCGCACCTAGCCTGTACCCTTTAAAATAAAACCTTAGAACCTAGAATTAGCTCAGTTCTGCCTTTCATTATTTTTTCCACATTTTCAAGCATAAACATCCTTTGTTTGGTTTGTTTCTCTTGACATTTCACCATTTACCAACTCTCTGACAGAGAATTTAATAACTACCAGTTTAAAATTTGTCTGTAAATATTATAAAGGGACTTTTCAAAATCTGGAAATTTTCTGGCTCCTCACATGCATGTCATGCATATCAATTTTTTCAGGCAAGGGTTGCATTTATCGTTGTGTTCTCAATGCCTAACAGTGTGAGAAACAGAATAGTCACTTACGAAATGTTTGCTGAGTGAAGATCCCTTCAGATAGAAGCTAGTTAGATCAGAAGTCTGTAAAGGTTTGTCACCCGAGAAAAAACAGGGTTTATTTGCCTGGCGAGTAACATGAGAATGCAGATTTTAATCAATAGGAGTTTTATTACTTGTCACAAGTAAGGAGAGCACTACAAGTGTTCTCCAAAGCGGTGTCTCCCCAAGGGAAGCGACAGGAGGGTTTTATGGGGGTGAGAGAGGAAAGGGTGGATCATCGCATATAGAGGACAGGCCCCATTTGGGCAGATGTAGTGAGTCATCCTGCCAGCAACACGGGTCTCATGTTATGCTAATGAAGCTGTAGCCCCTCCCACGGTGGAGAATTTAGCATGGAACTGAGGATAGTTCACTTAGGTTCATGTATAAGTTGTTGGGGTCTGTCAGGAGCTGGTTTCAATAGACGATGTGGCTGCATTCCACACAGAATTTGGGGGAAAACCGGCTGTCAGCTGGGAGGATGTAAAACAGTCTGATTGCTCAAGTTGATTAAATTCCTGTAGTCCCTGGGCACTCTTCCTCTCTGCTCACACTTTTTCTGCAAAAAGACAAATAGCAAATACTGCAGGCTGGTCGGACCATATGGCCTCTGTAGCACAATAGCAGCCCTAGAAGATACATAATTGAATGGGCAGGGCTGTGTTCCAATAAAACTTTATTTACAAAAAAGGTGGTGGCCTGGATCTGGCATGTGGGTCTGTAGTTTGCCAACTCTTGGCTTAGAGGATGTGTCATTTTAAAGCATTTGGAGAAAATAAAAAAAAAAAAAACTATGCTCACTTTCCTTTCTCTGTAGAGAGTAAGAACTGAAATTTAGAAAGGCCAGTCAAGTAGCTATTGTAATCCAGGAATTCAATCCACCGTTTACTGAGCCCTCCTCTTTTCTAGACCCTGTGGCAGGTTTGGGAAACATTATAGTGGACAGAAAGAGAATCTCCCTTGCATCAGTTTTAGAGTGTCAGGGACAAAAAAGACTTATCCTCTACCTTCTTAGGTTCAGTTTTTGAAGGATTAAACTGACAAACTGCAAATTAAACTGACAAAAGACAGTTTAGCAAGAGGGGGAAAAATCCCAGATATAATTACACAGGCACACACAGGGTTTCGCCAAAAAATGTGTCAGAGATAGGTTGGAAATGTGGGGCTTAAATAGCATCTTAATAGGGGATGAAGAAGGGCAGAGGGGCACTTCTGGGAGTCCACATGACTTTTAGGAAAAATAAACGGGCCCTTAGAACACATGAGAGTTCTGGTTGTTTTATGACAATGTTGGTTTAGGTGATTTCTTATTCAGGAGCTGACGTGACTTCTCATCTCTAGTGATAGGAGTCCTTTTTCTCTGGTTGTGAAACTCCTGGGGAGGGAAGTTATGACAACTGAATTCTTTTGAGAGGCTTTGCTTTTAGGGAGATAAAGGGTGTTCAGAAAGGCTTCTTCCTGCAGCTGTTGATTCCCAGAAGTCTTCAGCTCTAAATGATTCTCATGTCACTGAGGCATAGTCTCAGACTCCTGGGAGAGAGAGGCAGGGTTACAGGGAGAGACAAGATAAGACTTACACTGTGATGACAGAGAATCCTGGAGTTCACAGCAGATAAAAGGAGGACCTCCCAGAAGAAGTGATTTCGAAGCTGGAGCCTGAGGGATGGGTGGGAGCTCAGCAGGAGGGGTAAAGATAAGATGTAAGCTGTCAGTATAGAGAGAACACATCCAGCAAAGGAACCAGTCTGTAGAGAGGCCCAGAGGCCCGAACAGCAAGGAAATGCAGTGCGAAAATGCAAGTACATCTATCTGAGACAGAAATGCCAAGGGTTATTGCTGGAGAAGTGGCAGGCCCTGTGCTTTACTTAACACACATGGAATCATTTACTGTCTGCTTTCTCTGTTAGCTTGAAGTCAGGAACTGTGTCCTTGTGGTTCATCCCTACACCCCCCCAGTGCCAGACATAGCTGGATGCTCAATAAATATCTGTTGGCTGACATTTGAGCACTAGGCTTAATTATTGAGAAGAGAAGGTTATGGGTTTTTTAACATGGGGAGCTTTTCCAGAGGCCTCTACCACAGTCGGCTTCACATGCCTTTCAGGAATCCAAGGGTTACACAGGAACCCTTACCTCCAGCTTTGTGCACTCTACCAAAAACACATCCACACTCATGTAGGACTTTCACAAGTTCATGAAAGGCAAGCGTAGTATATTGACTGCAGCCAAGGGAATGATTTTCCAGCCCTCCCTGAATCCATATCCTATGCAAAGAGACTACACAGCTCCTCCCAGGAGGACACAGAATTAATATCCTACCCCTTGAATGTGGCCCGCCTTATGACTTGCTTTGGCCAATTGCTTGCAGCAGAGGTGATACTGTACCATGGCCATTGTAGGAGAGAAGATTTATTTTCTCATCCATTGCTAGGATTGTGGTTGAGAAGCCTTATAACAAGAAACAGATCATCAAGAGAAAAGCATAACAATTTAATGAAGTTTTACATTACATGGGAGACTCCAGAAATGAAGATTCAAAGAAAGAGAAAAAACTATTTTTATGTTTAGCTTTGATAAAGAGTAAACAGTTGTGCAGAAGTATGAGTGGACAATGGGGGTATGACCTAATAGTAATAAACTGGGGAAAACTTAGCAAAGCCTGTTTGTTTAGATCCTTCTTGATTTCTCCGTGTCCTCAAGGATAAGAATGTTTCTTTCCTCCAGGTATAGGGAGGGCACCTCTGGAAAGAAGTTTTTATGATCTACTTCAGGAGAAGGTCAGCTTCAAGGGAGAAGCGTTGAGAGGAAGGTGAGAGTGACCTGCTTACTTCTGCTGTTTTCTCAAATTCCAAGGTGCTATATTATGGGGTGGCATGTTCTGAACCCAATCACTGGCTTCCGAAGACCTTGTATGCTTCTACTCACTTGGAAATCCGTAGTCATATATACAGGCCTGGGTTAGCCTGCTGGGTGTTGGGAGACACATGGCCTAGTCTGTCTGTTGCCTCAGGAACAGCCAACCAACCACAGACATGGGTAAGGGCATCCTACATCTGCCTCTCAATGGCCTAAACCTGGCCTTACCTGACCTGCATAAGTAAGCCTGGCACAAACTGGCAGGTGAGCCCAGCTGATGAGCAAAGTAGCAAGAAATAATAAATGCTCACTGTTTTAAGTCACTGGGTTTTGGGGTGATTTGTTAGGCAGCATAGCTAACTGATACAGCATGAAAAAGGGATCTCTCTTCTCAGCTTTTTCTCATTATCTATAACTTTTTTCTCTCCAAACCATCACCCCTATTTTTCCCTTTGGACCGTCTCTTCAAAGTTAGCTTCTAATAGGCTTTCTCTTTCTGATATTCATCTTTTAAATATTATAGTCATATGTGCAGATTTCTAGATCACGACTGAAAATTGAAAGTGGAATCTGAATCCACACGAAATGGATTTTTTTTTTTTTAAAGAGCAAGACACATATCATGCAGTAGCTAATTGTTTGTGCATGGTTGAATGACTGAACACACCGTGGTGAGGTTTTTCAGCCTTCCATCACAGCTTGCCCATAACAGGGAACACAGAAATGGTGTGTGCAGCCCAGCATGAAAGAAAAGACCTCAGGTCGGTTCCTTTCCAGTCTGCCACTCACAGACAGAGGTGAGGCACGATGCTGTCCATCTTTTTCAAGTGGACACAGGTTGCTCTCAGGGCATGTTTGCTGCCTTGATCCGGATGAGCAAACAGTGATCTTGTGGAAGTAACAGGAACGGGAGTTTTGACATCAGAAGAAGAGCACTGTGGTCAACAGAATTGCATCTCTTTGTCCTCAACAGCCATTTCTCATGAGATCCACGACCCTTGGACCCATGTCACTTGGCATTCCTGCAAAACCTCATGCCAAGATTGTCATTGTGGCTGATATATAGATTCGAAGGTAATCTCACATGTAGTAAGAAAAAGAGGTACACAGAGGCCAGCTATTAGCCCTCATGAAGAAACTAGTCTCTCTGCTTCTGCAAAAAATACATTACTTACATTTGCAACTTAATGTTTTCAAGGCATTTCCTGAATATTTATGGCACTTGGTGCTTATAAGATATTGTGAGAGAAATAACAGAGGCTCAAAGTTACCCAACTAACCCCAAATCATAAAGCAATTTAGTGGCTGAGTGGTTAACCTCCTGACACTTTCATTTCCTTCATTTTATTAATTCAACAAATATTTCTTGAGCATTTACTATGTGCCACTTTTGAAGTGAGACTGAACACATGATTTCGAATTTTTAAAAAACTTTGTTAGTTTTATAATATATGTGAATTTTGAATTACTATTTTAAAAAAGTTTTCACAAATTGCAGACTTAATTTAGCGCCAGCTGAAAAAAAAAAACAGAATATGGCAAGAAACAATTTAATACACTAAATTAAAATATTATTCTTGACTTATTCTAAATAGAATAAAGGTGGAGAAGAAAATATAATATTTCTGCAAGTATCTCAGGTTAGACATTTATTAGGAAGACAGGTATTCCAAAAATGATTAGGAAGCTGGTATAAATTCTTTTTGATAAGTGGCAGAGTTTAATTAAAATAAAAAAGCATGATTGGAAATGTTACGAGAAAGAAATGTTCCAGGGTTGTATGTGAAAGCATTTGTATTTTCTGGAGAAATGTGGAGACTTTAAAAGGTAGCTTTAAATTGTTTGCCTATAGTTTTATAAGATCTACTACCAGCAGGTTAGCCTAAATCAGAGAGGAATGTCTTTTTGTCCTTCTTCAACACAGTCATCTGGTTGTAAAGTAAAGAACTTCCCAGAAAACAAATCCATGTCAAAGTGTACCAGGGCTGGGCAGACCTGAGATACGGACTAAAAGAGAGGAGTACACTAATACAGAGGAGTAAAGAAGAAAGATGACATTAAGTCAGAGAAATAGGCAAAGGCTACGCTGGCGCGTGTCGGGAGCCAGGGCTTCCAGTTTTGCCCAAAGTAAGATGAGATAAGGCTGAATCCTGCAACTCGACAGGCAGGAGTGCTGTGTCAAGAGAAGAAACCAATGCAGAGGGATACACACTTCCTGGTGTGCAGTGAGGCAGACCAGAGCTTCAGAGCCTGGGAAATGTCAGCCAGTTCTGGGTCGCTGACAGCTCCCTCCATTTCCACTCACCGCCCTGCCTCAATGGCTCTCCTGGCTTTGCCCTGAGGCTCCCAAGCACGCTCATGTATGGTCCCTTGGATTTTGGTTTGCTCTGTGTCCACTTTCAGGGACTTCCTTCATTGGATAACCACTCCTGGCCCCTAATGCAGGCCCTATCCCCTCATAGCTCAGCCCACAGGTGAAGGCCCATACTATCTACTTCCAGGTCCAGATGTGGCTCCTCAGCATAGGACCTAAGCTTGGGCCCTGGGAATAAAGCTTGGGAAAATGAGGGCAGCAACCCTAGCAAATTTGCAATAGAAATCCAGATTAATGATTTTGAGTGGAGTTTCAGTAACAAGCTCTGGGCATAAGCAACCATCAAAAAGTTTCAGTATACCAAAGGTTTTTTAATTCAAGAAGTACCTTCTTCCTCGATTCTTACATTCCTTTTGTCTGATCCAAACTGGTTTTGGAGCTGATTTTGGAATTATCTTTTCCAGTGAATTGTCCACATGTCAGGATCATCTGAGATGTTGATTGAATATGCAGATTTCTATCTCCAGCCCTTGTCTAATTGAGTCAGTTGCTTGAGGATGAGGCCCAGGAGCTTGTGTTACTAGCGAGTGGCCCAGGTCCATGAAAGTTATATAACTCCTCAAGTATTTCACAGCACAATGACCTGGATATGGAGGCAGCTCTGGAATCTTCTTATCAAATCTTCTTATCAAAATTTTGCTCTTCTCCATGGGCCTGTTAGCTGCAAGAGCCATAGACAGCGGTTTCCCCCTTCCCACTTGTTGCCTGTTGATTTATTGGAGAAACATTGATCGGTGCCTGTATTAGTTCATTCTTGTATTGTTATAAAGACATACATGAGACTGGGTAATTTATAAAGAAAAGAGGTTTAATTGGCTTACTGTTCTGCAGACAGTACAGGAAACATAGCAGCTTCTGCTTCTGGAGAGGCCTCAGGAAACTTACAATCATGGCAGACGTGAAGGGGAAGCAGGTACCTCCTATATGGCCAGAGGAAGAGCAGGAGATGGAGGGAGGTGCTACACACTTTTAAACAACCAGAACTCACGATAACTCACTCTTGCTGTGACAACACAAAGGTGGGTATTGTTAAACCATGAGAAACTGCTCCCATAATGCAATCACCTCCCACCAGGCGCCACTTCAACACTGGGGATTTGGAAGGAGATTTGGGTGGAGACACAGATCCAAACCAGCGTCAGTACCATGCAATAGGTACTGGTTTGCATATACAGTAGAAAAAAAGTTTACATAAAACTACCTGCCCTCAGGAAGCTAACCTTCAAGTGGGAGGAGACAAGCCATAACCAAGTAAAAACAAGAGTGGTAACTGGCAGGAGAAAATGCATCTGAAAAGGAGGGAAGAAGGGATGGGGCTGGGTAGAGGGGGTTGTAATTTTAAATAGGGGGCCTGGGAAGGCAGCCCTGAGAAGATGGCTTCTGAGTTGTGATCTCATGAAGGGGAAGACACAAGCCTTCTGCAGGGTTACCTGATAAAATAAGTTCGCTGTTATGGACTGAATTGTGTATCCCCTGGCAAAAATCATGTATTGAAGCCCTAATTTCCAGGTGACCCTATTTAGAGATAGGTCCTTCAATGAGGCAATTAATATTAAATAAGGTCACAAAGGTGGGACCCTAATACAATAAGACTGGTGGCCTTTGAAGAAGAGAAAGAGACACCAGGGAAGAATGTGCACAGAGAAAAAACCATGTGAGGACACAGCAGGAAGGCAGCCGTCAACAAGCCCAGGAGAGAGACCTTGGGAGAAACCAAACCTGCCAACTCCTTGACCATGGACTTCCAGCCTCCAGAATGGTGAGAAAATAAATTTCTGTTGTTGAGGCCCTCCAGTCTGTGGTACTTGGTTATGGCAGCTTCAGAAAACTCATGCAGATACTCAGCTACAATTGAATTTCAGATAAACAACAAATAATTTTTAGTGTCAGTGTATAGCATGCATAGCAAAAATGTACTTGTTGTTTATCTGAAATTCAAATGTAGCTGAGCATCCTGCATTTTTATCTGCAAAGTCTGGCAACCTTGGTTACGTGAGCACCTGAGAGAAGAGAATTCCAGGCAGAGTGAACAACAAAAAGGATCTGAGGTGATCAGCATGGTGGAATTTTTGATAGCTGTAAGCTTTTCAAAGTAGCTTCTGTGACAGTTGATCATATGAATTGAGTCATTATTGTCACACCCAACTAAAACAGTTGAGAAACCAAGAGGCAAAAGCACTCACGACACGTAACATTGCTCCCGAAGTGTCATTCTCTGCAAGCCTGGCTGCTGAAACCACTTGCTCCAACCTGAAACCAGTTTTACCTAATGACTTCTGAAGCTGCTGCAACTCTAAAACTAACTTTACCCACTGCTGTCACTCACCAACCAAACTTGCCAGCTCCCCCAGTCCTGACTAGTGCCAATAAACTTTCTCAAAGAGCAAGACAGAACATGTCTCTTTTATAATACCCAACCTTCTCTTTGTTCTTTGGACATAGTGAAGACACCTAGTGGGTGTGTATGTCCTGAACTGCAATTCATTCTTCTTAAATAAAATATTAAATATAGAGATTCATCTCTTCATTTTTATTTTGACTTTGATGCTTTTCTTTTCTTTCTTTCTTTATTTTTTTTTGAGATGGAGTCTCACTCTGTCACCCAGGATAGAGTGCGGTGGTGTGATCTCAGTTCACTGCAACCTCCGCCTCCCAGGTTCAAGCAATTCTCCTGCCTCAGTCTCTTGAGTAGCTGGGATTACAGGTACCCGCCACCATACCCGGCTACTTTTTTTGTATTTTTTAAGTAGAGATGGGGTTTCACCCTGTTGCCCAGGCTGGTCTCGAACTCCTGAGGCTCAAGCAATCCACCCGCCTCGGCTTCCTGATTTTGACACTTTTAAAGCAATTTCTTTTCTTGGAAAGCTGAGGTTTTCTTTCAGATTTTCTACTTGGAACAAAGGTTTTCTTTTGTAACTTTCAGGAACAAGAGAGTTGCTCATCCCACTGTCCCAACTGACTGAGTAGTAGCTGGAATTTGGAACTTATAAAAAAATTGCACTATACTCATTTTACTCCATTAGCACTGTGGCAGATGTTGAAATTTTACATCTTCTGATTTTTTAAGCCCTCCCCTCTCGTTTTTGGAATACCTGCACCCAGATCATGTAAAGGGAAAGAAGGAGGCAAGAGCCGGATTGTTTAATTAAGCTTTTCTAATTGGAAATTTTTATAAGTGAAAATCTAATTCTCCTGCTTAATTTTGCTTATAAAACTTTCCCAATTAAAACCTATTGGAAAAGAACTTTAAAAAAAAAAATTAAAGCTTTGAAAAATTCCCTAATACCACAATGGAAAACTGTTAGGTACTGTTCTATTTGTTCAGAAAGTTTACTGCTAGGAAAATCTCATAACTTGTTTAATCCCCTGCAGCTGGGAAAAGCAGTTGAAGGTAGGTGAGGGAGGCTGTTAGAAGCCTTTTGCAAAGAGCAGGAGGAAAGAAAGATATTTCATTGTGAAGCATAATCATTCATAGATTAAGGAAAATCCAAAGCTTTGATTACAGGTATGCTAAAATATTGATTAGGACTTAGTTCCTGCTCTAGATTCGAGAACTTGTGGATTTTACATCTCTTACAGGCTGTAAAGAATAATAGGACAACAGAAAAGTTTTTAAAAATCACATATGGGCCAGGCGCGGTGGCTCACACCTGTAATCCCAGCACTTTGGGAGGCCAAGGTGGGCAGACCACAAGGTCAGGAGATCGAGACCATCCTGGCTAACATGGTGAAACCCCGTCTCTACTAAAAACACAAAAAATTAGCCGGGCGTGGTGGCGGGCACCTGTAGTCCCAGCTACTCGGGAGGCTGAGGCAGGAGAATGGCGTGAAACTGGGAGGTGGAACTTGCAGTGAGCCAAGATCACACCACTGCACTCCAGCCTGGACAACAGAGTAAGACTCCATCTCAAAAAAAAAAAAAAATCACATATGATGACAATAGGAATGGTTAAATAGAACAAAGTGAATGATGGATTACTTGGTCTTTCCTGGTCTGCAAGCTCAGACGTAGACACAGCACTGTGGGGGGCCGAGGCAGGCAGTTCATGAGGTAAGGAGTTTGACACCAGTCTGGCCAGCATGGTGAAACCCCATCTCTACTAAAAACACAAAAATTAGCCAGGCACGGTGGTGCACACCTGTAATCCCAGCTACTCGGGAGGCTGAGGCAGGAGAATTGCTTGAGCCCGGGAGGTGGAGGTTGCAGTGAGCCAAGATGGCGCCACTGTACTCCAGCCTGGGTAACAGAGCAAAAGTCTGTCTCAAAAAAAAAAAAGAAATGTGCATTAAGTAGTGTATTATTTAAAAGATAAAGCAATTTCCAAATATTTTATTTAAAACATCTCTTGTTAGTTTGCTTTTAAACGAGTCTAAAATGTCCACAGTAGACTTCTGTGGTTTGGGTAGGTTCAGAATTCTCTTCCTACTCTTTTCCATAAAGCTTACTCCCTCTTTCTTCAGGAAACCTTCTTGAGGAGCCAGCAGTTGCACAACACCAGCTTTAGGGGCAGATGATCCATCTAGGCAAGGTCAGTTAAAATAACTCACAAGATCAGATAAGACTAAGAGTCCAAGAAATGGACCAGCAATCTCAGGTCCTCTTTGGGGACTTTTTGTATGTCAAGCATTTGGAGAAACAGCTTTGCCTTTTTTTCCTTTCTCTGCAGTTGCTAATTGAGGATGGTGGAAGGCTACCATTGCTTGTTCTGTGTGTTTTCCCTCGTCACAAAGAACTTTATGAAAGAAGAGAAAAATAATCCCAATATATAGAAAAGTAGAGATAAGAGAGATGAGTTGCCAAAGAGACTAGTCAAGAGTGAGAGGAAAAGCAAAAGCGAATACCACGTTCTTTTAGTCCTTGGATTTGATCGGTACTGAACCCACTTCATTCTTGTCCTTTGTGTATATGACCTACTAAGTCTCTGTATATGTTTTCTTGGTATGAGTAAAGTGTCTGTCTTAAAAGCCAACATCCCTGACTAAATAAGACCTAATTCCCTTGTGATAGATATGTCTTAGGTTTTATGTAAGTGAAACTTACATGTACCTATCTATGATTATAAAGCATCGTTTTTATTTTCCCCCAAAAAGTTATCAGTTAAAAAAGATGGGGTTGTGTTATTTTCAGATCCTCACAAATTCTCCAGTACAGCATTTGCTTTCTTAATCACTTTAATTTGAACAACATACCATTTGGGAAAGACACATAAACCTGAAAGAGCTAATTTTGGATCTTTATAGTGGAGGACTTGATATCATTTATTTGAAAAAACAGAAAAGAGGCAAAGAAATTTAAACAGATCCAGTAATTATTCCTGGGGGTATCAGATTTTTTTTCAATCAAGCCATTTATATAGAGTATTATTTTTAAAAGCCAAATAGTAAGTGAATATATTTCAGAGACCACACATAAACCCCTCAAGGGTGAATGGGAAAATAAACAAAAAACAGTCCTTATGCTATGAAAATGGGAACTTGTGGCCTGGGGCAAAAATGTAAGTGTCATCATTAGACACAGCTTAAAAGGGTACTTTATCTCAAAAAAGAAGCAGAAATGCTGTTTTCTGGGAAACCACGTTTGATGACTCAAGAGAAGTGATTTAATGATGAGGAAGACATTGATGCGTGGGAAAAATCTGAAAAACATTTCTCGCTAAACATAAATTTGAAAGAATAAATTTTCAAATTAAAAGATTATTTTATATAGTATGTATTTTTAAATATCATATTACCTAATTAATTATTGGGCATAGGGATTTTATTTTTTCACCTATATCACTAACATTTTAATTGACCAACATTTTATTTTCTTCAATATTCTCATTGGGACATTGGATAATCATCTTATATTTGCAGATATACGTGATATCTATCATATATATTAGGTATGTACATGGAGGAAAAAGAAAAAGAGGCTTCAAAGGGTCAGAAACACATGTGGTAGTTTGACCAATAGTTTAGGGGAGGGTTCGTGGACAGACCGACCAGGTAAGACAAAATTGTGAGCTTGAACTTCACCTGAAATGGTTATTCAGTGTAAGGTTTCTCTGGTTTCACATAAAGTAAATTTAAAGGTAACTACTGAGTGGCAGGGCCAAGAAAAATATTATAAAGCTCTCTGCACATTTTTAAGTGAAATTCTGCCAAAATTCCCTCTCCTCCCCTCTCCCCACAAGTCTCTGTTTGCCGATGGGTAGAGCAAGCTGCTGGAGCCTCATCCTAGCGTTTAAGGGAATTAAGCATGGCAGGTAAGTCTGAAGCCGGTGACTCCTGTGTGTAACAAATGATGGAAAGAGAAGGCATACAAAGAGTGGGAGGTAAGGTTCCTGCTCAGACGCTGGAAATATCGTTCAACCATAAGCAAACAGTATGTCTGTGTCTCTAGCTGAGTACTCATTGGACTGTTTTTCCAGCTGAATTTTATTTTCCCAGCTGTGTCTGTCACCAGCCACTGTCATCATCACTGCTGCTTGGGCTCATCATCATCAACAGAAGACTCGTCCAGTCTACTGGGTTGAAACACTCTCCACGTGCCAAGCCTTGTCCTAGGCACTCCAGGCACTTCATTTTGCCTACTGACCACAGTTTAGTGGATGGCACTGTGATACCTTTTAGGGTTACAAAACCACACACACAAAAAACATATTCTTGCCATAAAGAGAATGTAACATAGTAGGAAAAATGCAACATATGGATAACACATGAGCCAACCCTGAAAGTGAAGCTAACTGATAATAAATTAAAACAAATAGTATCAACCATAAAGGTGATTATTTTGTGTTCAGTGAATCTGTTATTCTTTGTCATGTTGTCCAATATAATTCACCTGAATCCCCTAAAGGAGTTATGAAATGGGTACCAAAGAATACCAAAGCTATCCAAATAATTCAGTGACCAAAATATTGAACAACAGAGCAAAAGAAAGCAAAACAAAAGCCTCAAATATGACTAAATATGACCACCTTCCCACTCTTTAAGGAGAAATTAAAGTTTCAAATTAAATCTCACAGAAATAAACAAATGGAAGTTTTTGTCCTCTGAATTTTATTTTCTGTTTATTCCCAGCTGCTTTCTTTGTAATGTCTAGATTAAGTCAGGATTCCTTTTCCAGCAATTGTAACATTTACTATCTTCCACCAAATTGAGTAAAAATTTAAGTAATCTAAAGCAAAATAAACCAAAGATTCTCATACGTCCTACATTCATAATGTTGGAGGGTCAATGGGAGTTATAAGGGATCACAGATCCTGATCCACCATAAAAGTCTAAGGAAATTGACAAGAATCACCCTTGCCCTCTAGCAATTACCTGCCATGAAATTATGCTTCTGGAACTTAGTACCTGGTTCTAGTAAAGACTGAATGATCTATTGAAAAAGGAGTCCAGACAAAGAAAAGTTAAAAAGAAAAAAAAAAGAAGAAAAGAAAATAATTGAAATCTCAGGTTCCAAGATGCCAGTCAGATTCTTGCGTTGGGTGTACAAACTCCAAAGCCGACAAACTTAGGTGTCGAGAAATCTCCCATCAAGTAATTCCGGCACCTTCCATCTGCTATTTTGGTATTTTGGAGGAGGTAGTATTCAAGACGTTTCTATCTTGCAAAATCTGCCATGGTGCTGGTCTAAGTCATCATGTCTTATTTAGAGTGTCCTTTCTTCCTTTAGGCTCCATCATGGTCTTTGTGGACCCCCAATTTCTATTTTCCTTTGAATATTATTCTCAGCACCTGAGTGCTGAACTTAGTTTTGTCAATTTTTGTTGACAAATCTCCCATCCTTTCTTGTGCGGAGGATTCTTCACAGTTAGCGGTTGGGAAATTGAAGCATGCATGGAGTTGCTGCTTTTACTCTTCTGACCTCCTGTTCTCCTTCCTTACTGCATCTTCAGCCAGGTCCCAAGGCCTGTGAGTTCCGTGCTACGTGTCTGTGAGCATTAGTCTTTGCTTCAGAATTTTTAAAGCTTGTGAAAACAACCTCCTGGAAGCACTTTGCCATCAGCCTTAGGTTTGTTCCCACAGGACCTTCTCTCTCAATAACTTTTTAAACTGAAACTGTTGGTGCTTTAAATATCTGTGTTGTGGGTGTCCCCAGGTGAACCACTGTGGCTTCTGCTACAAGTTCCACCAAACTTGTTTTCTCTCAACCTTTGAATCTTCCGGACCCCGATATATCAGCATGGAAATTCTTCAACCTAGCACTATGACTGGTGTTTCATTTTCAGAGGTTCAACAGAGTTTGTAAGAGTTCTACGGGCTTTTTAAGCATATCCCTTTCCTTTTTGACCACGTGCAGGACTAACATGGTTGGCTGACTCCAAGGGTCTCCTTTCCTTGCTTTCCCTTTTCTTTTTGGTTCAGATATTTATCTAAAATAGGATTCTAGATTTCTCTCCTATGTGTCAGTCCTCATGCCCTCACCTCTAACAATGAAAGAGAGGATATTACAGAGTTCTTAGTCTACCAGAATTATCCGTTATACACACAACCCCCTTTCTCCTAGAATTGGATATTTCTCATGTGGGTGTCCTATCAACCTATCATCTCCCCATGCCTAGACTCCATCTATTGCTGTCTTCTCCTTCCTGCATCTCCATAAATTTCCCTGGCATGTCCTCTCAGGCAATCCCCAAATCATCACCTACAAAAACCTTGTTTTCTTAAAACTTACCTAATAATATTTGGGATGTCTTACACTGCTCTCCTCATCTTCTTCTCTCATCTCTTCTGTCTAAAAAAACTAACACAGTAAAACATTTTTTTCTAATTACAAAACACATGTTCTCTGTAAACAGCGAAATGATACAAATTAGAATAAGAAAATTCGAAATAACATTCTTTTATGTTTGTAAACATCCACATACACTTTTACAAACATAAGATCATATCATGCTTTTTGTTGTTTTGTTTTGTTTTGCTTAACCTCTGCTCTTCCTCTATTCTTTTAATCCATCCCACTCCAGGGAACTCATGTTAATAACCTATTAAGTGTCCTACTAAATAATTTTCTGTGCTTATGTAATCAGAATGGTGAAGACAGTGTCCACGGGCCCTCCTAGAGGTACGATGGGCTGGGGTGACCGAGGAAGTCATACAAAATAGGCTCCTCTAACATAACCCATTTTTCCAGGCCTCCAGACTCCTTCCTACCACATACTAGGAATGCAATGGCATTTCAAGCTCTTCATCACATTCAAGGTTTGATTAGGCAACCTAGCAACTATTATTGCATTGTGGGGCTTTAGTGTGAATCAACCCACAAAATCCCCAGATCTGGGTGATAACATCTATGTCAGGAAATTCTGCAGGATCCAAATTCAATTTGTGTTTCCTTTTGGCTTAACACTCTTGGGATCCACTCCCACACAAGTCCCCTAGGCTTCTGCTGATTCACATTAGCAAAAATTTGTTGCTTTCTTGAACAGTAAACTGTCCTTTCTGGAGCAAGCCTTTCACCTCTACATCTGGGCTGGGAGGACTCTAACTAGCTTTATGGGGCTAGAAGAAATGAGAGATGTTGCTATGAGTAGGGTGACTATTGTTCCAGCTTTCAGCAATTGAGGGAGTTCCTTGGGCCTAGGATTTTCAGTGCTAAAACCAAGAAAGTCATGAGCAAACTGGGACAAGTTGGTCATCCTGGATGTGGGTGCTGAGAGAATAGGCATCGTGTTATAAGGCCTGCCCCATGTGAAGAAACTGAACGGCTTTTATGCAGGTAAAAGCCAGTTCTTTTATATTGGGGAGGAAGAGAGGCATCCTCTTCCTGCAAAGAGAGGTTCAAAGGAATAATATTCCAAGTTCTTAGGTGTATCTATGTCTGCTCAAATGTCCTCAACCCAGGTCTCAGGTTCCCAGTTTTCCTCACTAGTGTCTTTACCATAGCCTAAGAGGTGTGGTGGGGTTGAGCATCTACTTGGAGCTGTACCTTCACCCTCATACCCTGGGCCTCACCTCCCCTAAGGTCACAGGAGACAGAAAGGATCCTTTAATGCTGACATGGAGACTTCTGATTTTCCATGCATGTCTTCGATTGTGTGCTCATGGTATTTAATTTCTCTTCTTCTCTATGCACTCTCTTTATAGGCCTAAGAAGATGCCAGGTGTCTTCGTAATATTTATTATTTCAATTTCGCCACAAGAAATCAGTGTCACAGCCTGATGAACTCCCAGCACCCTTCCCTCTCCTTACACTCCCTATATTTTATCTTGCTCTGTCCACCAGTGATAATTTGAATGACTGAATATCACAGGTTACTCATATTCTGTGTTTACTCAACAAGTAAAACGGAACATTCACTCCTTGCATATACATCCAACCCAATTCCAGAATCTCATTTTGAAAACTTCTTTCCTGGGGCCACTTCTGGAACCAATTATCAGCCAAGTCCCAACAGAAAACAGATGGCACTCTCAAAATCGGATAATTCCAGATAGGAAAACAGATGGCAAACTCTTTATGAAGTGTTGGTGTAAGGGAATCACAAGGATAGTGTGCAGACCTGGTGTTAGGAGAATTGGAGCTGTTACCACCCCTAAGGCCAGAGGGACAAGGGGAGAGAGAGGTTACTGGAATCTGGAAAGACAGAGACTTGAGTATAGTCAATTATCTTGGGAGGAGCAAGGGATTTTCACTGGGGAACAGAGCCAGTCCAGGCTGTTCACATAAGGAAGAAGCTCGTTCTCCTCCCTCCTTCTTATCTCTCCCTCAGTGATCCTCACTGGCTGAACCTAAGTGGAAACCAGGAGAAAAGGGACCCCTACAGGCCAGCTACTCAGAGCCGATCACAGCTTGGAGAAAGAAATAGACAGACCTGCAAGAGCAAGTGAAAGAGACCTCACACAGTGTGTTTGTCATGGGCTGCTCTCTGTGTGTGACTCATTTCAACAATCTCTGTCTTTTTATGGGTGAAGTTTGCTCTCCTACCTTTAGTTAGTGACTCTTATACTTAATATTATGCTTCCCATTTTATTTTACATTGACTGGTTATTTTCACTCAGTGCTTTCTCTTAGTTTTTTTTCCTCATTTTTGCCCATTGGTCAAATGATTATTCACTCCTTTCTTTTTTTATTTTCTCCTTGTTAAATTGGAAGTTTATGATACATTTCCTTTCCACTGATTGTTACCTTCCCATATTCAACACACTTGCTATTAGATCTTAGTACTACATAAAAACAAAATATCAACTTTTACTCCTCCTGGGTACTCACTTCCCAGATTGTTTCTATATCTGCTTCATTGGAAACATGAAACTTTAAAATAGTTTTACTTCCTTTTTCTCCACACCATAACTCTGGCCCCCCACAAATGCTAGGTTTGAAATACATAGTTCAGTATGTTCAGTCCCAGATGACTTGGGGGCTTCCCTTTGCAGCATGCCTAGTTTAAGAACCCTAATTAATACATATTACAAATCCCCTGTCATTCTATTACTTCCTGTTTGGATTTCATTGTATACTAGTGTAGGTTTTTGTCACTTATCATCTTCCCCATCTGACGGTCCCTGTTCTAATTCAATTGTTTTTTTGGTTAAAATAATTTTAGAGGTATTTTCCACAGATGGAGTATGTGGGTGTATTCTTCCATTTTCATACTGCTATGAAGAAATACCCAAGACTTGGTAATTTACAAAGAAAAAAGACAGTTTATAAAGACTCATGATTCTACATAGCTGGGAGGCCTCACAATCATGGTGGAACATGAAGGAGGAGCAAAGGTACATTTTACATGGTGGCAGGCAAGAGTGCATGTGTAGGGGAACTGCCCTTTATAAAACCGTTAGACTTCATGAGACTTATTCACTATCATGAAAACAGCACAGGAAAAATCCACCCTCATGATTCAGTCACTTCCCACCCCGTCCCTCCCACAACATGTGGGGATTATGGGAACTATACTTCAATATGAGATTTGAGTGGGGACACAGCCAAACCATATCATTCCACCCTTGGCCCCTCCCAAATCTCATGTCCTCACATTTCAAAACCAACCATGCCTTCCGAACAGTCCCTCGAAGTCTTAACTCATTTCAGCATTAACTCAAAAGTCCAAAGTTCAAAGTCTCATGTGAGACAAGGCAAACCCCTTCTGCCTATGAGCCTGTAAAGTCAAAGCAAGTTAGTTACTTCCTAGATACAATGGGGGTACAGGCATTGAGTAAATATGCCCATTCCAAATGGAAGAAATTGATCAAAATGAAGGGGCTACAGCCCCTATGAAAGTCTGAAATCTTGTGGGGAATTCAAATCTTAAAGCTGCAAAATGATCTCCTTTGACTCCGTGTCTCAGATCCAGGTAATGCAGATGCAAGAGGTTGATTCCCATGGTCTTGGGCAGCTGTGCCCCTGTGGTTTTGTAGGGTACAGCCCCCACTCCCAGCTGCTTTTACAGGCTTGTGTTGAGTGTCTATGGCCTCTCTGGGTGTGTGGTGGAAGCTGTAGGTGGATCTACCATTCTGGGGTCTGGAGGACTGTGGCCTTCTTCTCACACCTCCACTACACAGTGCCCCAGTGGGGACTCTGTGTGGGGGCTCTGACACCATTTTCCCTTCCACACTGGCCTAGCAGAGGTTCTCCATGAGAGCTGTGCCCCTGCAGCACACCTCTGCCTGGACACCCAGGCACTTCCATACACCCTTTGCAATCTAGGCAGAGGTTCCCAAATCTCAATTCTTGAGGACTTGCAGGCCTAATATCACATGTAAGCTGCCAAGGCTTGGGGCTTTTACCCTCTGAAGCAACAGCCTAAGCAGTATTTTGGCCCCTTTTAGCCATGGTCGGGATGCAGGGCACCAAGTCTCGGGGCTACACAAAGCAGCAAGGCCCTGGGCCCGGCCCATGAAACCATTTTTTCCTACTAGGCCTCCATACCTGTGATGGGAGGGGCTGCAGGGAAGACCTCTGACATGCCCTCGAGAGATTTTCCCCATTGTCTTGGCGATTAACATTTAGCTCCTTGTTACTTATGCAAATTTCTTCAGCTGGCTTGAATTTCTCCTTAGAAAATGGGTTTTTCACATTGTCAGGCTGCAAATTTTTGGAACTTTTATGCTCTGCTTCCATTTTAAACAAAGTTCCAATTCCAAACCATATCTTTGTGAATGAATAAAGCTGAATGCTTTGAACAGCACCCAAGTCATATCTTGAATGCTTTGCTGCTTAGAAATTTCTTTCGCCAGATACTGTAAATCATCTCTCTCAAGTTCAAAGTTCCACAGATCTCTAGGGCAGGGGCACAATGCTGCCAGCCGCTCTGCTAAAGCATAACAAGAATCACCTTTGCTCCAGTTCCCAATAACTCCTTCATCTCCATCTGAGACCTCCGCGGCCTGGACTTCTTTTATCAAAACCAATCAACAAGGAAGCTCCAAACTTTCCTATATCTTTCTGCCTATTTCTGAGCCCTCCAAATTGTTCATACCTCTGCCTGTGTGATGATTAATAGTGAGTGTCAACTTGACTGGATTGAAGGATGCAAAGTGTTGATACTGGGTGTGTTTCTGAGGGTGTTGCCAAAGGACCTTAACATTTGAGTCAGTGGGCTGGGAAAGGCAGACTGTCTAATCAGCTGCCAGCATGGCTAGAATATAAAGCAGGCAGAAAAACGTGAAAAGACTAGACTGGTCTAGCCATCCAGCCTACATCTCTCTCCTGTGCTGGACCCTTCCTGCCCTCAAATATTGCACTTCAAGTTCTTCAGTTTTGGGATTCAGATTGGCTTTCCTTGCTCCTCAGCTTGCAGACAACCTATTGTGGGACCTTGTGACTGTGTGAGTTAATACTTAGTAACCCCCCCATATAAATATATTCTACAGAATATATATTATATATAATATATTATGTATATTAATATATTATATATATATATTCTATTAGTTCTGTCCCTGTAGAGAACCCTGACTAATACAGCCTGTTACCCAGTTCCAAAGTTGCTTCCACATTTTCAGGTATCTTAATAGCAATACCCTGCTCTACCAGTACCAATTTGCTGTATTAGTCCATTTTCATACTGCTATGAAGAAATACCCAAGGCTGGGTAATTTATAAAGAAAAAGAGGTTTAATGGACTCAGAGTTCCACATGGCTGGGGAGGCCTCACAATCATGGTGGAAGGTGAAGGAGAAGCAAAGGCATGTCTTACATGGCAGCAGGCAAGAAAGCATGTGCAGGGGAACTGTTTTTTATAAAACCATCAGATCTCCTGAGATTTATTCGCTATTACGAGAACAGCATGGGAAAAACCCAACTCATGATTCAATTAGCTCCCACTGAGTCTCTCCCATGACACATAGGGATTATGGAAGCTACAATTCAAGATGAGATTTGGGTGGGGGCACAGCCAAACAATATAAGTGGGTGACATACATCTTTTCATTTCTACAAGTGATCCCCTCCCCCTGGAGAACAATGCCTGTCTGGGTATAGCATTTTAAAATTGCAACTTTTTTTTTTTCAGCATGTACAGGTCCTTATACTAATTTCCAAGTTCCAGTGCTGTAAGCAAGAACTTCAATGCCCTCTGATTCTTTCTCTTTTGGTCTAGAAGCTTGAGAATTATTTCTTTTATCTGGAATTCAGAGATATTATAAGGCTATGTCTTGGATGTATGGTTTTATTTTTTAATTAAAACTAATTATATGTAAAGCCTAATGAGGCCTTTATGTGCAGATTAAGCTCTTCATGCTCAGATAACTTTTCTTACATTATTTGTTTAGTTATTGCTTTGTCTCTATCTATACATTTCTTTTTCAAAAACATCTGGCATTCAGACGAGGCCTGTCAGGTCTACTCTCCAAGACTTTAATTTTTTGCTCAACATTTCTGTGTTTGGATTCTTTTTCCTCCATATTTGCTTCATGTTTTAAGCCATTTCTTTCATTTGATCTTTGGGTCACACGCACTCTCCTTCAATTCATCTACAGAATTTAAAATCTGAAAACCAGGTTTAAGCCGTACAAAGTCTTTCTATTTTTATTTTGTACATTTTAAATGACTTTGTCATTATGTTTATGTTAAAGTTGCCAGCTCCTGCCCCAACTGTCCTATTCTATCCCAGTGCCCTGTGTTGAGAGCTCTGGCAGCTCTTCCCCTCTAAGGCTACCGAGCCTTCTTACCTGCGCTATCACTTCCTGTTGTCTGTTTCACCGGATGCTGCATGCTTTACCCAGATCCTCTCTTTAGGGCCATCATGTGCACCTTTTGGCTGCTGCCGGCTTCCAGCCATATCCCTCAGCTGGAGTTACATGCAGCAACAAAGAATTGCTTTGATCAAAATTATGGGAAGCCCAAAGCCAAGAATTCGCTGGTATAAGGAAGATCTGATCCTCTTGCCTCAATCTGGGACAACTCTGAAGGGTCAGCCCAAGTTTGGGCTTCCATAGGATGTGGCCAGTTGAAACCACATTGAAGATGAGATTTTCCCTCTTCCCTTTCCTGGCTTCCTTTCTTTTACATAAATGTGTTTCTCAAGAGCTCTCTTCAGTAAATCTTCAGAATACAATTGTCCATCTCAGAGTCTGTTTCCAGAGAACTCAACTGAAGACATCCATACATCACTGTATTTCCTCTTGGGGCACAGTTCCCCAAGTACTTTGAGGTGGAGTTTGGGGGCCCAGAGCATAGTAGAGGGTATTTAAGTCTCTTCTCCATTTAGCTGGTAATGTACCAGCTGTAAGTTTCTGGTCCTCGCGGGGGCCCCAGGAAAACCTTGCCTGCTCCCCTGGTTTCCTTAGCTGCAGGGCCTTGGATTTAAGGGGGAAGCTTAACTGCTTGACGTTTCAGATCTTTGCAGCTCCTTTGTGGCCACGGGTCTCTTGCGCTGCCCTTTGCTTTGGGATATGTATCGGTTTCCAGGGCTGCAATAACCAATTCCCACAAACTGGGTGGCTTAATAAAATAAAAACTCATTCTCCAGAAGAGGCCAGATATCTGAAATGAAGGTGTCAGCAGGGTCATACATCCTTTGGATTCTAGGAGAAAATCCTCCTTTGTCTCTTCCAGCTTTTCATGGCTGTTGGTATTCCTCGGCTTCCATGACTTGTGGCCTCATCACTCCAGTCTCTACCGCTGTCTTCACATTGCCTTCTGCTCTGTGTGTCTGTGTCTTCCCTTCTGTCTCTCCTTGTCTGCGAGTTTAGGGGCCACGTGGGTAATCCAGCATGTTCTTATCTCAAGATCCTTAACTTAATCATATCTACAAACGTTTTTCCAAGTAAGGTAACATCTACAGGTTCCAGGAATTTGGACATTGACATATCTTTTGGAGGGAGCACCATTCAACTCACTAATAGAGTATATGGATCTTCTTAGGTGAAGCTATTTCCAGCAAAATTGATGCTTAAATTCTTCCCCTCTGGCAGTCTCTTGACTCTTTTTTTTTTCCTGTTTATTTTTTTGAGTCAGAGTCTCGCTCTGTCGCCCAGACTGGAGTGCAATGGCGCGATCTCGGCTCACTTGCAACTTCCACCTTCTGGGTTCAAGTGATTCTCCTGCTTCAGCCTCCTGAGTAGCTGAGATTACAGGCATTGCCACCACACCCAGCTAATTTTTTGTATTTTTCAGTAGAGATAGGGTTTCACCATGTTTGTCAGACTGGTCTTGAACTCCTGACCTCAAATATCTGCCAACTTCGGCCTCCCAAAATGCTGGGATTACAGGCATGAGTTACCACACGCGGCCAGGCTCCTGACTCTTAAGGGGCCTAGAGGGGTCACTGTCTTGTGCTGCTTTATTTATACATAGCAAGCCCTGTGCCAACCCATGGACGGAAAGACAGAAGCCCTCACTCTGCAAACACTCCCTGGGAGCCCCTTGACTTTGTTCTAACAACTCTACACTCAAGCAAAGTCATTTATAGTTGGATTGGAATTGGGAAAAAGTACAAAAGACACGTAATCAGATTCATCAGCTATTCTACTTCACAGAATCTCACCTCTCCCCATCTAAAAAAGGTGATATTAATATTATGAAGAATAACTTTAAAAATGCTAAATCTGTAAAAGGGGACATTTGTTTACAAAAATATTCTGGCATAATGTACATATTTGGATATAATGAGTCACTAATTATTTGCTACTCTGATCTGTTTAACCAGAATATATACATGGAAATTAATGGCAAGTCTTTATACTACAATTCAAGTCAGAAAAAAAAAAAAAAACCCAGGCCAGTTAAAAACAAGGGGGATTAGAGAGTGGGGTTCTTTGGACATATTTTTCATCTAGAGAACATTTCCTGATCTCAGTTTACTTGACAAGTATCCATTGGTCAAATGGCAGGCAAGTTTACATCATTGGATATCATTTAATTATCTCCAGAGAAGATACCTTCTCTCCTGTACCTTCAAACTCAGTCTTGGAAAACAACATTTAGCACATTTAGTTAATGACCATGGAATGTCACTATAATATCATTTAATGGGAATGGAATCTGCTATAACCTCCCTCGTTAGTGACACACGGTGAAAGGTTAGTCATTCTGAACTCACTTCCCGCTGCTGTTAAAAGATTTTATAGTCCATGCAGCAAATGGAGATGCTGGTCAGAGAGCATTGACATTTGTTCTACTTTCTAATGCAGCAACGTGTCTTTCTTACTTTCCTGTCCCTCCTATTATCCTCTTTAGAAAACAATTTATTTCATTCTTTGAAAGCTCTAATTAAAAAGAAAAATGGTCAGGGCAATTTGAGCAAGCTCCATTGCCAATGAGGGTTTGGGAGTTTGAGGCAAAAGCGTAAGAATAGAGACTGCCGGAATCACTACTTATAATCTACTGTTCAGGTCATTAAACTATAGTGGGCAGTAAATATAAAAGGGATTTTTTGTTGTTGTTGTTGTTCAGGAAATAATATTTACTAGCAACAAATAGTTTTTAGAGCTGTCCTGACACGGCTGACTCCTAAAAGGGTAAGAGTAACTCACAGTCCTTTCCCCAAACACATTCATTGGTGCAGACGGCTGCCAATGTTGAGAAAAATGAACAGCATCAGGAGTTGAGAAAGATGAGTTTTAGTGAATGTTTTATAAAGAACATTCATGCAGAAAATCTTTCTTTAAAAAAATTTCATTCCAGCATTTTTCACAGCAGCCATGGTATACAATCAAGCTAAGCATCCATCAACGAATGACTGGATGAAGAAAATGTGGTATAAATGCACAATGGAATACTATTCAACCTGTAAAAGGAAGGAAATCTTGTCATTTGTGATAACATGGATGAACATGGAGGGCATCATATTTAGTGCAATAAGCCAGACACAGAGAGATAAATACTGCATAATCTCACTTGTATGTTGAATCTAAGGAAGTCAAACTTATAGAAGCAGAGAATAGAATGGTGGCTACCGGGGCTTGAGGGTGAGTAACTGAGGGGGTTGGGGAGATATTGGTCAAAGGATACAAAATTTCAGTTAGGCAACAGGAATAAGCTCAAGAGATGTATTGCACAACATAGTGACTATAGTTGATGACTTATATATTTGAAAATCACTAAGTGAGCAGATTTTCAGTGTTCTCACCACAAAAATATGTGAATTAGTGCATGTGTGAATTAGATCAATGCAGCCGTTCCACAATGAATACGTGTTTCAAAACATCATGTTGTACATAATTAATATATATAATCTTTGTCGGTTAAAAATAATTAATTTTAAAAAGCTCTGTTTAGTTTTTATTTACATAGCAAAGTGACCTCGCCTTTAAAGATGCTGTTGATAAACCAACTTTCAAAGCCTACAGTCATCCTTAGCTCAAAGCAAGTATTAGTGTTTGCTGGATAAAATGATGAATGTATTTTTCTGATTGCCTTAGAATAAATTCCAAGTCTTGTGGTACAACTGCAGTAGCATTGAGGTAGGAGACCAGCAGGACTTGTTTTCTGGTCAACCTTGCTGACCAAAACAGGATCTAGTCTAAACAGGATAAAGTGAAGAAATGGGTGGGAACGGATAGGCAGACACAAAAGTGATCCCTAGCCACCCTCATTGCTCATTAATATTAGACTTTCCCACCAGTACCCTGACCGTTTACAAATGACATGGCAATGACCGGAAGTTACCACTCTTTACCATGGCAATGACCTGGAAGTTACCATTCTTTTCCTAGAACGTTTGAAATAATCCACCTCTCAATTTGCATTAATACACCCCTTCATTTGCATGTAAATGAAAGTGGGTATAAGAAGGTATAGAGTTGCCAAGAGCCCATGGACTGCTGACTGTAGATGTACTGCCTATGGAGTTAGAACTGCTTCACAAGGAGCAGTGCTGTCAGAGGCGTTTGAACAAGAGTGACTCCATCTTGAATAGGGGCTGGGTAAAATAAGGCTGAGACCTACTGGACTGCATTCCCAGGAGGTTAAGGCATTCTTAGTCACAGGATGAGATAGGATGTCAGCACAAGATACAGGTCATGAACACCTTGCTGATAAAACAGCATGCAGTAAAGAAGCTGGCCAAATCCCACCAAAACCAAGATGGCGACAAAATGACATCTGGTCATTCTCACTGCTCATATGCTAATTATAATACATTAGCATGCCAAAAGACACTCCCATCAGTGCCATGACAGTTTATAGATGCCATGGCAATGTCTGGAAGTTACCGTATGTGGTCTAAAAAGGCGAAAATCCCTCAGTTCCAGGAATTGCCTACCCCTTTCCCAGAAAACTTAAGAATAATCCACCCCTTGTTTAGCATATAATCAAGAAGTAACAATAAGTATAAGCAGCTGAGCAGTCCATGCTGCTGCTCTGCCTATTGTAGCCATTCTTTATTCCTTTACTTTCTTAATAAACTTACTTTCATTTTACTCTATGTACTCACCCCAAATTATTTCTTGCATGAGACCTGAGAACCTATTCTTGGGGTCTGGATTGGGACCTTTTTCTGGTAACGGTACAATTCAATCAAAGATTGCTGTCTAAAACCACCTGCTTGCCCTGGAATTCTTTCCCTTGGCAAAGCCAAGAACCCTCCTGTACTAAGCTCCAATTTTGGGGCTCACATGTCCTCCATCAGTATCAGCCATTATCCTATAGCAAATGTTACTGCTGAAGAGCTAATTCTATCCCATCCCATACATTTAGTGACTGAAGACCTGATTCTTTTTTTTTTTTCTTTTTTTTTTGAGATGGAGTCTTACTTTGTCACACAGGTTGGAGTGCAATGGCACTGTCTTGGGTCACTGCAACCTCCGCCTCCTGGGTTCAAGTGATTCTCCCACCTCGGTCTCCTGAGTAGCTGAAATTACAGGCACCCACTGTCATGCCCGGCTAATTTTTGTATTTTTAGTTGAGATGGGGTTTCACCATGTTGGCCAGGCTGGTCTCAAACTCCTGACTTCAGGTGATCCGCCCACCTTGACCTCCCAGAGTGCTGGGATTACAGGCGTGAGCCACGTGCCCGGCCTTAAGATGTGATTCTCTTACAAGTTTCTTATAACTCTTTAGGAAAGGTAAGCTTACACATGTAATAATAATAAGGTGACAATAATGTAGAATCTGTTTTTAGAAGGGTGAAAGGCACAAGTGCAATCTAGATTTTTCAGAAAAAAAATGCTGGAGGGAGTTGAAAGGGTCAAAGTCTCTGGAGAGTGTGCGTTTAGGAAGCCAGGACAAGACGAGTCACTGGAAGGCTGTAGTCTGGCTCTGCCCTCTCTGGGGTATGCCATGTGCTTGTGCTCTAAGGATGTAATCAGTGTGGCTTTCTGTGAAGGGACTCCCTTCCTGGAGCCCCTGCTGTCCCCTTGGGGTGCCTTGCCTTGAAAAGCTTTTCCACTGGATACCTGTAAATTCTGTCAATTCCTTTCCTCAATTCCTGGAGTTTCTCTTCAAATGCCACCCAGTCAGTGGGGCCATCTCTCACCCCTTTATATAAAAACAGCAGACCACACCTTTACCCCAGCTTATCTGTCCAGCAAGCCCCATCCCCCTTGCCTTGAATTAGCTTTCTTTATTGAACTTTGCATCTTCTGCCATGCTACAGATTACACTTTTTATTTGTTTATGTCTGTCATTCCAGGAGAATGTAAGTCATTTGAGAGCAAGTACTTTGGTCACTGCCCTGTCTCCAGCACACAGAATAGTTATTGAAGACCCTCACTAACATTTTTTGAATAAATTAATAAGTGATAGTGACAGACTTAAATATCAGCTTTTTCTTTGAACATCATAGATATTTAAAAATTGTATTATTCTATTCATAAAAATCTGGTAAATTTTGATAAGTATGTTGAAAGAAGTATTTGATTATTCAATGAACATAGTTAAATTCTATTAAATATTTTTAAATGCATTTATAAATTTAACATGCTCAATTTTCTAATTGTCACTAACAAACAAAGCTTCTCCAACATAGTAGACCTAATAAATTCAACATAACTGTAGAAAACCTTAACTTTTCTTAAATGTTTTAGTATTATGTACAAAGTTAGCAAAGTTTTTACGTATTTCAATCAATGTGACTAAAATAAATTACAGTTATAAAGTTTAAATTGGGATCACAAGACTAATCTGTCATATTAGTCAGCATGCCAATTGCTCTTAATCATCAGAAGTACTTTACAAATTACGGGTTCACAGATTATTCCTAAATTTAATTAAACTCATATCATGAAAGTGATTTATTCCTTCCCTGTCCTTTCTAGGATATTAAGATATACCCACTAAAGAAACAACATGGGCTGGGTGCAGTGGCTCACGACTATAATCCAGCACTTTGGGAAGCCGAGGCGGGTGGATCACCAGAGTTCAGGAGTTCAAGACCAGCCTGACCAACATGGCGAAACCCCGTCTCTACTAAACATACAAAAATTAGCTGAACGTGTTGGCACACCTGTAATCCCAGCTACTCGGGTGGCTGAGGCAGGAGAATTAATTGAACCCAGGAGGCGGAGTTTGCAGTGACCCGAGATCATGCCACTGCACTCCAGCCTGGGAGACAGAGTGAGACACTGTCAAAAAATAAAAATAAAATAAATTAAAATAAAATAAATAAATAATTTTTAAAAATAAAATAAGAAACAACATGATAGTGAGTTGGGGTTACCATCTTAATGGGTGGAGGTTCATACAGGTCAGAAAATTTAAGTCAGGATGTGAAATCTGGTAGTCCCCAAAACATTCAACACTATTAAACCTTATTGTTTCTTGTTTCGTTTTGTTTTTGAGACGGACTCTCACTCTGTCGGCCAGGCTGCAGTGCAGTGGCACCATCTCGGTTCACTGCAAGCTCTGCCTCCCAGGTTCACGCCATTCTCCTAGCTCAGCCTCCAGAACAGCTGGGACTACAGGCACCTGCCACCACGCCAGGCTAATTTTTTTGTATTTTTAGTAGAGACGGGGTTTCACCATGTTAGCCAGGATGGTCTCGATTTCCTGACCTCGTGATCTGCCCGCCTTGGCCTCCCAAAGTGCTGGGATTACAGGCGTGAGCCACAGTGACCTGCCTAAACATTTTTGAATATTCATTTTCTCCAAGTAGTGGGGGTCTCACAGCCCTCTACTGCTCAGAGAAAAGCATGTTCTTGGGATCAAGACACATCCAAGATACATCATTCTTCTTTCTGACTTTAGGGAGTCTTCTCCTTGCCCCCTTCCTCTCTTCCACCATCCTTCACCAACCAAGGTTGCTTTATAATTAGATGGAATTATTCAACTGATCTATCTCTTCCTCAATTTTATTTTGAGTTTTTTTGGTATTCTTTTTTTCTGGCTTATTTAAAATTCTTATTTGCATTTCAGTGGCATTCTGTTGGATTCTATATCTCAGTTGGTTTTCTGTCTCATGTTAAGGTCAGGGTAATAAAGACTGCAGTCTGCTGTGCACAATGTATGGCTCAAAAACCTACATCCAACTTTTCATTTTGCCCCAGTTCCTTCTCTGCCATGCCATCATAGTTTCCAAATGCACTTTCCTTCTCAGTTTTTTTTTCTCCAGGGGAGCTCTAATTCCATATTTCATTACTTTTCAGAGCAATTCCAGAAACCAACTTTTGCTACTAAGCATCTTATTGGGGTCTCAGCCTCAAAGTAAATCTCTCAATGAATACAAGAGAAATTTTGATCAATACTATTTCCTCCAGTTTATTTCAAACAAATGGCAAGAGGGATTAAATAATATATGTCAAAATGTTTAGTCTGGGCTGTGAGATCACAAGTGATTGTTATTTTCTTTTATATTCTTCTACAGTAAATATGTATGACTTTTATAATAAGAAATGAAAAAATATACTATGGATTTGAGCCTCAAGTTGGACTCATTCGGGGATTCAGATGTGTCTGGGCCTGTTTCAGAAAACTTATGGACAAAATAGCAAACCATGATCTTTACAGTAAAATGGTATTTCCAGGAACAATGTAGTAGATGTTAACCTCAAATTCTGGGGCGCTCCAGTCATACGGTTTGTTGAAGGGAAAAAGAGCTGCTTCATTAAATGCAGTAGCATCCTCTGCCTCATGGTCTCTCAGAGCCCACAGAGACTATACACAGCCTGGGACTGGGGGTAGCATTGGCACTTGGTGGGCATGGGGGTGCAAGGAGGGTCTGTGGTACCTGGTGGAACCACCGAAGGAGAGTGAGGAAACACCAGGCGACAGAAGACAGACCATCGACAGTATTCTGGTGGGGACCACGGGGCCCGTCAGAGTCATAGAAATAGCACTTTTTCAGATCTTATGTGACGCTTCCTGGAAACTCTCAGAAAAAACATAGAGGACATTACAGTGCTGAACACTGGAGGTCTTGATTCTAAAGATGAGCCCAAGAATTGGCACTGTTAGTTGGATTAATCACTGATGATGCTATGATCCCATCTTTATCCGCAATGTGAAAGTTTAGGGGAAATTAGGCTTAAATTTTTTAGAAAACCTGTGGGTCTTCTATATTCTCAGTACTGAGATATACACAGTGATACGAAGCTGAGTTAGCCCAGTTCTTGACTCAAAAAATTCACATCAGCAAGATGTCTGAGACGTGTAGATCTGTGCAGTACATTAGATGACACAATTATGTTTGAGGAGTGCCACCCCTGGTCTCAATCAGTTGCTTAATACAAATTAATGGGCAGTGAATGTACTGTTCAAGAAATAAATGTCAGATGAATTTTAGAAATAATAAATGCTACAATGTTCTACAAGACAGAGGAAACAGACTGACCTATTTTAAAGCCGTAACCATATTGAAATAACTATGAAATGTTCTTTTGTAAGTGATATCTGTATATTTCATGCGGTAGAGAAAGGCCTCAGCTACTAAATGATGTAGAAACTGTGCTCATAAATATCAGATGAAGTAGAAGTGATGGTAACAAATTCTCAGTGGTCGAGGTAAGAAGTTCAATGGTAAAGAAAGGAAAGGAATAAATATTGCATGGCAATTGTGAACCCAAACCTTCTGCGGATAGACAACCTTGGCATAGTTGTCCTGTGACGAGGGAAGTGAGGATGTAAATAATGCCAACAGGCAGAGGGTAGGCTGGGGAAAGTCTCCGATCTGTCTCTCCAACTCAGCAGGCTCTTTTCACCTTTGCCAAGAACGATATGTTCTTACACTGATCCTGCCACACGAATTATCTGAGGGCAGCCTAATGCTTTCCTAAGCACTAGCATCTCCATCAGCAGCCTTCAAGGAATGGTTCCTAAAGAGATGCCAAGTTGAGTTGTGAGTTTCTTTTGTGTGGGTTTCTGAAGGCCTGGCAGGTAATTCAATCAAGTTCCACTCCCCACCTACCCCATTTTCCTCTCACCCTTGCCCTACCTGCCAAGAAAGAAAGATAAATGGAAACCAGAACTAACTGAAAACTATATGGAGTATTACATTCCCATCACAGATTGTTTCAGCCTAAGCCCCTGAGATTTGGGTTGTTTTGGGTCAATGCCAGTCCAGGGTTTCTCTGAGGTGGCTGTGGACAACAGCTGTCTTACGGGTTTTTAGTCTCAAAGACCCTGAAATACATGCAATGCAACTCCTGACCCCTGACCCAGGGAAAGGAATCAGGTGGGATTGTGTCTGCCTCACAGAGTCCCTGCTTAGACTGCCTTCAACTCCTTATCTGCCATGGAAAAACACCACAGAGTGTTAATGACCCCACATAGTAAGTTGCTTTTAGGAAGAATGAGTACTGGCCAATAGAGATAAGCAAACAGGAAGAAATGAAAGGAGTGTACTTTTTATAAAGTTCTCCTTGAATCCTTCATTTAAACATTTAACGTATATTTATTGAGTACTTCCTGTATGCCACAGCTGTGATAGATACTGAGGCAATAATGATGAAAATTCTTGACATCTGACAGCATGGATTTCATAATATAAAATTCCAATCAAACGTTAAGTTATTACAGGGCAATGTTTTGCACAAGAAAGCAGGAGAACTGACAGAAGGCAGTGATTGGCTTTTCCTATGGAAGTTAGGGCAAGCTTCATTTACAGTAATATTTGACCTGATGCTTGAAGGATAAATAGGCATTAATGTGTCAGATGAGAAGAGAAGATCCACGAGGAGAGAAGAGTATATGAAGAGACCCAGAATCATTAAGCAGCATGCAGTTCTAATTCAGGGATTTAAAAAAAATCAACTTTATGGGCTTTAAGGATAGATTTTGTGCTACCGAATTGTAAGAGATGAGCCTGGAAAATTAGACACCAGATCACACCATTCTATATTCTGTAGATAATAGTGTTTCTGAGGACAGAAGGAGCATTAATGATTATTAAGGAGGAGAGAGGCATGATCATATTTGCATTTTATGATGATCACTTAATAGTTATATACGATGTGGTGGATAAAAAAGGCTGGGACACCCTTAGGAGCCTCTTGCAACAGCCAACCAGGAGGTGAGCATTGTTTGAAGTTGGGCATCCTCAGGTAGGAGAGTAAGGGGCCTATGAGTGTGGTGAGGGAACTTAACGTGGTGAAAGAGAAAAAGGCCACAGGTGTGGGCTCTTGGTCTCTTATTGTTTGTAAAATTTTATGAAATTCACTTAAACTTCTGATTGTCAGTTTAACCCTCTGTTGAATGAGGATAGCACAAGCTCCACCTTCCTCACAGGATTGTTTGAGGATAAAACTGAGACAATGGATGCAAAACTGCTTAGTACTTTATAAAATGCCGAGTAAGGGTTGGGGATGATTAATATTATCATAGGCAATAATAGATATAATATTACTTCAAATTTCAGACAGAAAAATGCTTGATTTTCTCTCCAAAATGTGGGTCAACACATCTGTGTTTGGGATTTGTTGCTGTTGTTGTTTTTGAGACGAAGTCTTGCTCTGTTACCCAGGCTGGAGTACAGTGGCACCATCTCAGCTCACTGCCATCTCCGCCTCCCAGGTTCAAGCAATTCTCCTGCCTCAGCCTCCTGAGCAGGTGGATTACAGGCATGCACCACCATGCCTGGCTAAGTTTTGTACTTTTAGTAGAGATGGGGTTTCACCATGTTGGCCAGTCTGGTCTCCAACTCCTGACCTAAAGAAATCTGCCCGGCCGGGCGCGGTGGCTCACGCCTGTAATCCCAGCACTTTGGGAGGCCGAGGCGGGCGGATCACGAGGTCAGGAGATCGAGACCATCCCGGCTAAAACGGTGAAACCCCGTCTCTACTAAAAAATACAAAAAATTAGCGGGGCGTAGTGGCGGGCGCCTGTAGTCCCAGCTACTTGGGAGGCTGAGGCAGGAGAATGGCGTGAACCCGGGAGGCGGAGCTTGCAGTGAGCCGAGATCCCACCACTGCACTCCAGCCTGGGCGACAGAGCGAGACTCCGTCTCAAAAAAAAAAAAAAAAAAAAGAAATCTGCCCGCCTCAGCCTTCCAAAGTGCTGGGATTACAGGCGTGAGCTACTATGCCTGGCTGACACACCTGTGTTTGCATCCTCCCTTAATATGCCAGGACTTTGGAAGCCACCACTAATTTATTTTTCCGTAATTGTGGAGTCGTTAGTTTTATACAGTAATGGAATCTTTGGCTGTGCAAATTTCCATTGCTTACACAATCCCCAAAAGACCATACACCATTGATAGTAATGCTAGTGATACTAGGAATGGAGATACCGCCGTTTCCCACAAGGCAGATGTCTTCCACATGTATACAAAATCAGGTCTTCAGGCATGAATATACATGGGGTGCACCTCAAGGTCCCCCATTCCTGATGATCCTGTGTAGGAAGAAAGAGGGGTCAAGGAGACATTTGGGCACTTAGACAAGAAGACAGAGAAAAAGGGAAATATTTTTCTTTTCCAAAGAAGTGGAGAACACAGATTTCTCAGGTGATCTGCAGTGGAAAGTGTTACGAAGCAAAAGGTGAAGTTAGTGAAACATCTTTTCCATACTTGCATTTCTGTCTTCAACTTTTCCTCTTCCTCTCCTAAATGAGTGCATTCACATGGAGCTACTTTGTCTGTAAGTCTAACAGAAGCAAGTGTTATAGAGTGGCTGGGCTGGAAGAAACCATCCAGTCAATGGCAACGCCCTTATAAAATTATAGACACTGAAGCCCAGAGAGGAAAAGTAATTTGATATTATATATTCATCCATTTAGTCTGTAGGACTAGTAGTTGTTGTTTGTGTCTCTAAGCGGGGAAGAGATCAAGAGTTTGTCAGAATTCAGCATAATCAAACCTTTAGTCGTCATCTACAATGGTTGCAGCCATCTCCCTTGTTTCTCAGGGGAATCTTTGTACAGAGGGCGTATCAGGAAAACATATTCCCTATTGCTGTGTTGGGATCCATTACATGAATGGTCCCACTTCTTCATTTCTCCCTGTACACATTTGCCATGCAACTTTGCAGTACCTTCCAATTGTTTTTCTAATTGAGCTGAAATTCACCTAACATAAAATTAATAATCTTAAGGGGTACAACTTAGTGGTAATTAGCACATTCACAATGTTGTGTGGTCGCCGTCTCCATTTTGTTCAAAGCATTTTCATCGCACCTCCCAAAAATCCCATACACATTAAACAGTTCTTGGCAATCACTCATTTGCTTTTTCTTTTCTATTGATTTACCTATCTGGATATTTTATGTAAATAGAATCACACAATATAGACTATTACGTCTGGTTTCTTTCACTTACATAATTTTTTTCAAGGTTCATCCACATTGTAGTATGTATCAGTATTTCGTTCCTTTTCATGACTGAATAATATTCCATTGTGTGTCTATTCATTGGTGGGCATTTGAGTTGTTTCCACCTTTTATCTGTTGTGAATAGGGCTGCTATGAACATTTATCTACAAATGTTTATTTGAACGCTTGTTCAATTATTTGGGGTATATAGTCAAGGATGAAGTTGCTTGTCATATAGTAAATCTATGTTTAACTTTTTGAGGGACTTCCAAACTGTTTTTTGCAATAACTATAATAATTTTTATATTTCTGCCAGCAATACACAAGGGTTTGATTTCTTCATGTTCTCACCAAAATTTATTTTGAACTTTCTGAAATAGCCATCCCAGTGGGTGTGTGGTAGTGTCTTATTGTAGTTTTGATTTGCATTTCCCTCATGACTAACAATGTTGGACATCTTTGCATCTACTGTTGGCCATTAGGATATCTTCTCTGGAAAAATGTCTAATCAAGTATTTCATCCATTTTTTTTTTTTTTTTTTTTTTTTTGAGACGGAGCCTTGCTCTGTCGCCCAGGCTGGAGTGCAGTGGCACGATCTCGGCTCACTGCAAGCTCCGCCTCCCGGGTTCAAGCCATTCTCCTGCCTCAGCCTCCCGAGTAGCTGGGACTACAGGCGCCTGCCACCACGCCCGGCGAGTTTTTTTTGTGTGTGTTTTTAGTAGAGACGGGGTTTCACTGTGGTCTCGATCTCCTGACCTCGTGATCCACCTGCCTCGGCCTTCCAAAGTGCTGGGATTACAGGCGTGAGCCACTGTGCCTGGCCTCTTTTGCCCATTTTTAATTGGCTTGTTTTTTTTTTTAGCTGTTGCATTGTAGAAGGTTTTTAAGTATATATTTGGAATACCAGGCTCTTGTCTGATACAAGATTTAAAAATACTTTCTGCCATTCTGTTGGTTGCATTTTCATGTTCATGATAATGTCTTTTGATACACAGCATTTTTAATTTTGACGAAGTCCAATTTATCTATTTTTTCTTTTGTTTTCATACTTTTGGTGTCATAGCAAAAATGCATTGCTAAATACAAGCTCATAAAGATTTATTCTATGTTTTGTTCTAAGACTTTTACAGGTTAGCTCTTACATTTAAATCTTTGATCCACTTTGAATTAATTTTTGTGTGTGGTGTGAGGTAAGAGTCCAATTTCCTTATTTCTCGCATATAGATATCCAGTTGTCTCTGTAACATTTGTTGAAGATACTATTCTTTCTCCATTGAATGGCCTTGGGACTCTTGTCAAAAATCAGTTGGACATGGATGTACAGGTTTACTTCTGGACTTTCTATTCCATTGGTCTATGTGTTTATCCTTATGCAAGCACCCTACTCTTTTGTCCATACCCTTCCACTTCTGTGGGTGACTGATTCTGCCCCTTGACCCTAAGCTGTGCCATATGGTTTGTTTTGGTCAATGGGATGTGGGCATATTGGCACAAGCAGAGTTCTGAAATGGGCTGTTCCCTGGGACTTGTTCTCTCCTGCCTGTGCCATCACCATGAGAACACACCCAAGCTAGCTTGATGGTAGAAGAGACACAGGAAGCAAAGCCAAGTCACCTACTAGCCCTAGTAGTAGTAGCCAGACAGGATCAGATCACTCATTAGACAACCCTCAGACATAAGAGCAAACCCAGCCATAATCAGCAAAGTGCTTAGCTCACCTCTTGTTAATCCTAGTCCTATAGAATTCTGTGGTTGACATTATACAGCAAAAGCTAACTAGTATTCTGGATGAAGTTTATCTCTCAAACTTAGAATAATCACCGGCTTTAGTGAGCTGAGCAGTTTCAGGCCTTCCTGTGCAAGGAAACTTCCTTGATTTCTCCTTGGCTTGGAAAGCAGCATAGGAGACGGGTTAAAGTCGTAATGTTGCCATCAATCCTTGCCTTATCACCAGACAGCTGTGGACATGGATTCTAATTCTGCCGTATGGAAGCTCTATGGTTTTGTGAAAGTGTTTCCTTTCTCTAGGACTCAGTTCCCCTGTCTATAAAATGTGGACAAAACACTTGTTTTATGGAATTATTGTGAGTGTTAAATAAAATACGTGTATGTAGGGCATTTCACATAAAGCCTGATAACTGACAATTCCTTTTGCTATTTATATTGTTGTTGTTGTTATTGTTGTTATTCTCACAGAGAGAATGTATCTCAGGGGAAGATGCCCTAGGTCCATCTTACAAAAATAGCCTAGTGGAATTTCCAAAGACTAAGACCTCAATATAGATATGTCATAAAAGGGCAACCAAGCAGTGCCAAACATTGGGGGGAAAGGATAACAAAAGAAGATACAGTTTCAGTAACCAAGTAAAAAGACACAACCAATATGAGGATTGCCCCTTTAAGATGCTTCTTCATCAAAGTGAAAACCACATTCTCTGGGATTATGGTCCCACAGGACCATTAGCTTTGACCACCATCCCTAATGCTCCTCCTCAAGGGTGCAATGAAATAGAAAGGGGGAAAAGTACCACGAAAGATAATTTAACAGATAAATCTCTGGAGAAAGTTTCATTCAAAAACTGAAGAATTAGAGACAAAAGTATTTTTTTCAAACACTACTTCATGTTATTTGTATTAAAGCTCAGAGTAAAGTTTTTGGACCCCTGAGTAAGGCTGACCCCCTAAAGGGAAGCACAATGACTGACACCAGAAAGGCTTCCGATAAATGGTTATTGACTTGAATTTCTGCCTAGTTTGAGGAAAAGAGGATGCAGACAAAGAGGAGTCCCTGGACTGGTGCAAGACCACTTTGGAAAACAGTTTGAAACTTTCTTTTATATATATATATATATATTATATATATATAAATAATATAAATATATATTATGTATTTATATTTTATAAATAAAATATTTATATAATATTTTATAAAATATATTATATTATATATTTTATAAACTATTATATAAATTTATATAATAAATTTATATAAAATATATAAATATATATTATTTTTATATAATATATAAATATATTTATTTATATATTTATTATATATTATATATAATATATATTATTTATTATATATTATATATAATATATTACATATATTATAGATATTATATATATTTTATATATAATATATATTTTATTATATATTTTATATATAATATATATTTTATTATATATTAAATATATTTATTTATATATTTATTAAATATATAAATATACATATAATAAATATATAAATATAAATATAGAAAATATATATTATATATATTATATATTACATATATAAATATATAAATAATATATATTTTATATATATTTTAATAGAAACCCCGTCTCTACTAAAAATACAAGTATATGTAATATATACAAAAATATATAAATATATATAATATATATATTTATATATATTATATATACTTGTATTTTTAGTAGAGACGGATTTCTACTAAGATATATATATTATATATATATATATAATATATATATATTTATTTTTGAGATGGAGTCTCACTCTGTTGCCCGGGCTGGAGTGCAGTGGCATGATCTCAGCTCACTGAAACCTCCGCTTCCCGGGTTCAAGCGATTCTCCTGCCTCAGCCTCCCGGGTAGCTGGAACTACAGGCGTGTGCCACCAAGCCCAGCTAATTTTTGTATTTTTAGTAGAGACAGGGTTTCACCATGTTGGCCAGGATAGTCTCGATATCTTGACCTCGTGATCTACCACCTCGGTCCCCCAAAGTGCTGGGATTACAGGCGTGAGTCACTGCACCCAGCTGAAAATTTCTTATATCTTTAAGATACATTTGCCATATGATCCAGTCCTTGCGCTCTTAGGTATTTACTTAAGAGAAATAAAAACTTTTTTTTTCATGCAAAAGACTGTATACAAAAGTTTATAATGGCTTTATTTGTAGTTCCCCAGATTGGAAACAACCCAAATGTCCATCCACTGATGAGTGGATACATAAGCTGTGGTACCTCTATGCAATGGAATATACTACTCCACAATAAAAAAGAATGAAGTACTGATACATGCAGTAACATCAAAGAATTTCAACTTTGTTCTGATAAGTGGAAGAATCCAGATTCAAAACACTGAATACTGTATGACTCCATTCAGATGGTATCCTGGAAAAGGTGAAGCTATTTGAGTAGTAATTAGATCAGTGGTTGCCAGGACCTAAAAGTAGGAAATACGTTAATGACATTTTACACTATGTGAAAAGAAAGTGCAGGATCAGAGGAAATGGTGGGGCCATGTGATTCTCCAATGTTCACATGATATGCAGATAATTCTTGTCATTAAAGTTACCAGACTTTAAGAAGATCTTTGGTAAACCCAAAGAGTCTGAAAAGGAAATACAGCAGTCTGAAGATAATAACCTCTTATTAGTAGCAAAATGTACTAATTTTGTTTAAATTATAAAAGAATTTTTTTTGAGTCACGTCTCTCTCTGTTGCCTAAGCTGGAGTGCAGTGGCATGATCACAGCTCACTGTAACCTTGAATTCCTGTCTCAAGCCATTCTCCCACCTCAGCCTCTTGAGTAGCTGTGACCACAGGTGTGCACCACCATGCCCAGCTAGATTTTTTTTTACTTTTTGTAGAGACAGGCCCTCACTATATTGCCTAGGCTGGTCTTGTACTCCTGGGTTCAAGCAATCCTCCCACATAGCCCTCCCAAAATGCTGGGATTACAGGTGTGAGCCACCATGCCCAATCAGAAAAGAAAAATTTAAGGCAAGAAAACATAAACTCTCAGGTAACTGAGGGAGCCCCACAAATAAGAGGGCACAGTAACCAATGGTCAGATACTGCAGCAATCATACTACTTGCCTAGGAGGTAATTAGGAAGCTGGCAGGCCATCTGAAGGAGCTGTTATAGAATGGCTTGCTCTATGAGGCAGAGAGAATACTAACTGACCCTTGAGATCTCTTTTTTGTTGAGACAGGATCTCACTTTGTTGCTCAGGCTACAGTGCAGTGGTGCAATCTCAGCTCGCTGCAACCTCTACTTCCCGGGCCCAAGCAATCCTCCCACCTAGCTTCCTGAATAGCTGGGACCACAGGTGCGCACCACCACATCTGGCTAATTTTTATATTTTTTGTAGAGGCAGGGTTTCCCTATGTTGCCGAGGCTGGTCTCGAACTCCTGAGCTCAAGCGATCCTCCACCTAGGCCTCCCAAAGTGCTGGGATTACAGGCGTGAGCCACTGTGCCCAGCCTAAGATCTATTTCAAATATTATTATTCTATAATTTTGTTTCTTTTCTCAAACAGTTTCAAAATTCCAGAGACTATACAGGTTCTGTTTTAACAATTAAGTGATGTCATATATTAAGAAGAAATTAAGATCTAAAATAAAAATGTAAGGCAAATTGTCCTTGAAAATTCTATAGGAAGGAGCCATGATGAAGACCAGCATGGGGTCTTGTTAAGCCCAACATGGCCAGTTTCCTCCTCCGTGAATGGAACAGATTGCTCTTTCTTCAGCAGAGCTCCATTTGCAACAAAAGCCATGATATATACAATTTTGTACCTTTAAACATTATGTTCACACTCATGCTCACATGGGAGGGAATTGCAAAGCCACATTTCTCTCCTCACATTCTCTCCAGAATATACTTTTTGGATGAAATGTGGGTGGAATCACGCCTACCACCAAAAGAGTAGTTTCTTCTTCTCTTTTTTTGATGTGCATACATAATTGGGTTTGCAAAAGTTAGAGTCAACAATGTGGCACCTCCATAGTAAAGAAGGAAGTTTGAAAAAACTCCTCAGAGGATGATTACTAATTGACAATTCATAGGGCAATAATAAAAAGGAGGGCATTTCTTCCACTATTCATTGTCTGGAGGCAAGCCCTGAGATGTATTAGGTGGTTAACGTTAATAAGTCTAGTTCTAAGTATATCAAACCCTCTTTCCACCTTCCTCTTCTTTTCCCTCATGGGTCTTTTCTCTGTCTTCACTCCCCCTTCTTTGCCTTCATTTCCACTGCTTTGCCTTCTTTCCTCTTCCTGAAACCTTTCCCCCCATCTCTTTTCTTTTACTGCTCTTATGTAAAATATAGATCCATATTTATAATTATTTGTAGCATTCTGACTCTAGTTTTTAAAGTCATAAAGCCTTGTTTGAAGAAAGCCATTTGTTGAAAATTCCAAGTTATTCTGTAAAGACAATAATTAAAGTTAGTTTCTTCAGGGTAAGTGATAAAAAGCATTGACACTACTTCATTGAGCCAATTCTTCTCTTGACACAATTCAATTATCTAGTGCAACAAACCAGGTATCTTTCATGCCTGGCCACTTTAATGGAGCTTAGACACCAGGGATTTAATTAAGGTAGCAGATCCAGAAACAAACTTAGAAGTCAGACAATTTCTTTCTGGAGCATTAAGCATAAAAATTCATCACTTAAGAGTGACATTATTAAATGAGGTTTATTACTTTATTTCTAAATGAACCAAACCATATGTCTGATGCAGAATTTTAGTTATTTTACCTAGTTATGCTATTATTATTATTATTCAGGATATTAAAACTTACCAGGAAGAACATTTAAGGATTAAAACAAACAAATCAAAAAATATAATTATGTACTCACACATAGAAAGTAGACTTTAAAACCTGGAAACAATCTTACACACCATTTACTTGGAGATTTTCATTACATACACATATATGCACACACACACATATACACACACACAAATTTATATTATATGCATATATATAATGTAAATTTTCTAACTACATACATGGGAGATTGAATTGTTTGCTCGGAATCACACAACTAGTCAGAGACACTAATGGTATTAGAACCCAAGTTTTCTATCTAAAAATATATTTTTATGATTATCCTAAGTCAGTCTTGAGGTTATCTTTAAAGATGTCTTTAAGGAAGAGGAGGTTTCTGATGAGTGAGAGGACATGTGAAAGCTCCTAGGGGCTGGCATTGTTCTATTTCTTGATCTTGGTGGTGTACTGAAAACATGGATTTCACTTTATGATAATAATCTTAGTCCTTTTGGGCTGATATAACAAAATGCCATATACTAAATGGCTTATAAACAACATACATTTATTTCTCAGTTCTGAAGGCTGGGAAGTCCAAGATCAAGGAGCTGTCAAATTTGACGTCTGGTGATGGCTCATTTCTGGTGCATAGCAACTGTCTTTTGAACGTAATCTTTCATGCAGAGGCATGAGGGACCTCTCTGGAGCCTCTTTTATGAGGGCATTAATCCCATTCACGAAGGCTCTGCCTTCATGACCTAATCACCTCCCAAAAGCACCACATCTAAATATCCTCTCATTGGGGATTAGGTTTCAACATGTGAATTTAGGAGTGAAGATGAGACATAAACCTTCAGACCATATCAGATAATTCATTAAACTATACATTTGTGTTTTATGTACTTTTGCATGTTTTACATACTTAACAATCTTAAAAAGTTATATATAGATAGCTACATAGATATCAATATAAATATATAATATATATAGTATTTATATTATATACTTATTTAAAAAAGATATACATAAATATGGACATTATGTATAAAACATGCATACATAGTGTTCATTCTTCAACAACAGAGTCTAGTCCTTCTATCTTGTTTCCTAATACATGATTGATAAGCAATATCCATGATAAAGATGGACACTGAGGTGAACTATGGATTGATCAATTCTTATGAGATCAATTTTCAAGATTCAGACCATGGATCCCTAATTTCTCAGGGAATCAGGCTTACAGGATTTTGTGGTCAAGTGAGTGTATACACAAGGTTTTCTGTGCCAGAGCCTTGTAGCTGGTTTCCAGGGTTGGTTTTCCTCCCTTTCCCACAGCAATAGAATTTCTAGAGAAGCGGCTGGGCGCGGTGGCTCACGCCTGTAATCCCAGCACTTTGGGAGGCCGAGTCGGGCAGATCACGAGGTCAGGAGATCGAGACCATCCTGGCTAACGCGGTGAAACCCTGTCTCTACTAAAAATACAAAAAATTAGCTGGGCGTGGTGGCAGGTGCCTGTAGTCCCAGCTACTCGGGAGGCTGAGGCAGGAGAATGGCGTGAACCCGGGAGGCGGAGCTTCCAGTGACCCGAGATCACGCCTCTGCACTCCAGCCTGGGCGACAGAGCAAGACTTCGTCTCAAAAAAAAAAAAAAAAAGATTTTCTAGAGAAGCAAACGACTGTCCAGAATAGAGTATATTTCCCCGCTTACCTTGATGCCAGATATGTTTATGTGGCCAAATTCTGGCCATGGAATAAAACTTGAAGTATCCAACAGAAGTTTCTGAGAGCCTTCTTTAGGAGCTAAGTACATAGTTTTGTCTTTTTGCTCTATCCATCTGTTGCCTGGAGTATACATGGTGTTTTGGACTATGATGAGGCCACACTCGAGGAGTGGATGAGTGGGGAATAGAAAGACGCCCGGGTAGCTGACAACTTCGTGAAACGGAGCTTCCATGCCATGCCTGGGCCTTTGTGTGAAGGAGAACAAAATTTCTGTCTTGTTTAAAACACTCTTGTGTTGAGTTTAGATGTTACAGTCATCTCTAATCCTAAATAATGCATGTGTCCTTCCATTTGGGGTTGGGGGAGGTTTATAATGTTGATATGTATTTGAAAGGTTTTGGTACATGCTTACATTTGTATAGGCTAAAAGATTGCACTTATGATTTTATGGAGTAGAAATTTATTAGCAGAGACAGTATTAATTAGGAAAGCATAAAACCAAGGCTATTATATAGTTTTACATAATAGCACTCTAAAGGGATTAAATGGATGAATTTTATTCTCCTTCAAGAAAGTTACTTAAGATAAGTTTCTTAGATTGTGCAAATTATTAGAGGTTTGGCCATCTGTACCAAGGAAGCTAAGATGTGCAATAACCCATTCTTATACAGTGGGTTTAGGATCAAAAGTCAAATGTCTAAGGCACAGGCCCTTGCTTCAGAATATGGTCTCTGCATCCAGGCAGATTTGGATTTAGATACTGTCTCCATCACTGCATAACTTTAAATAAATCATTTAATTTTTCTAAGCTGTAGTTTCCCTCTCTATAAAATAGAAATAATAATAACAACACTTATTTTATGAGTTTTTATAAAAATTAAATGAGCTAAAGAATGCAATCTGGCACAATGGCATGTCCTCAGATGATCAACTCTCTGGTCTCCATCAGCAGGTCTCTAGAGACATCCTTGTTCCTGGCCTTCACCTCTGGTGGCTTTCGCTGGTGTCTCTGTGCCACTTGGCTAGGAGCAGGAGTCATTCTGATACCCAGGCACATGCTGGGGGAAAGAACCCTTTTTCTTAGCCTATATGCCATAAGGCTGTCTTAGGTACACCATGCAGTCATTCATCTCTGGGATCCAGATGCCTCCCTATAGCTCTACCCCTCTGTTCTCACATCCCACAAATCTATTTGATATTTTACTGCCTCCTTCAAGCTTGGACAACTTTCATTGGGACTTCCCAACTGCCCTTGTAACTGGGGGCTCCTAGTTTCCTTCCTTCATGTCTTACCCTTACAAACCAAAGCATCATTTTCCAATCTGAAGGAAAAAAGAATAGAGAAGACTATGAGGTTTTCTGCTAAATATGTCATGTTCATCAAAAATATTTTCTATTTCTTTAGGAACATATATGTTTCGAAACCCTAACACTGTGAGAAGACTCTTGTTTATTGACTTGCTTCTCTCATATTCCTTCTTTGAGAATAAGCACATAATGATATATTTGCTTGAAAGTGGGAAGGAACAAATGAGGGAAGTACTAGGGCTGATATCTCCCAACTTTTAAAAATGTTACTCTGCTGAAGTTACAGATATGGTCAGTATAGCAGAAAAGTGAAATAACTTATCCAAAGTAATGGGTGGAACTGAAATTGCAACCATGTATTCTGTTTGTAAGTGTGTGCTAAGGGCCACTGATCCCTGCCCAATGCAGTAAAAAATCTGAATATAATTTTTCAATAACCAAAGACTTAATTACTAGTAGCCTACAGTTGACTAGAAGCGTTACTGATAACACAGTCAATTAACTCACTAATTTCAAGAATTGAGAGGATTTCAGGTTGTGGTGACATCCTTGGAAGACTTATTTATTTCTGGCTAATGACTCCTCTAAGGATAAAGCCAATTGGCATCCTAAACAAATTAAAGAGTTTCACCAGGGCACCCCATCTTAGCAGCTTTACAACTCTCACTCTAATATTTGTCCCCCAAGGCCCACAAGGCTGTTAAAAAGACTGCTCAGTAATTTAGCCTCTCCACTGCCTCCTTGGGAATCAACAAAGCCCTCAGGTAAGAAGTGATTCCAAATGTCAAGCTCATCCTACTTTACTCCTGGCTCAATCATTCTTTATTCTCGTTTCATCTCTCTATCAACTTCCAGTAGCATTTTCTCTCGTTTTGTCCAGCTTTTCTAGTTGTTCATAAAAGGATTGGTTCCAATATGACTTCTAGTAAAAGTCTACAACTGTTTCTCAATCTCACAGGCACATCTATTTTTTGAATTTTCCAGCTTCCTCCTAAATATTTACCATTTGTATTTTCATGTCCCTTCAGTTTATATTCTGCAATCTATCACTTCAACCACTCAATCAGTATCTTAAGGTTTTTATCACCCTTATATCTTAAACTAAATATACCAAACTTGATGCTTTTCACTAACCAGGACTCCTTTCTGATTTCTAGTCATTACCACGGATTGCTATAAACCTTGGTCACATTCTTCACTTCTCCTACTCGCATCTATATCAATCAACGAATCACAAAGTTCTTTAGTTTCTATTTCACCAAGAGTAGCAAGGTAATGTTTTAAGATATTAGTTAAGTATTTTCCATGCTGTTTTCCTCACTATCCAGGACACAAGATTGGCTTTTGGTATCCTCTGTCTTCGACAGGAGGGCTAATCAAAGTTGAGAATAGAAAATCAGGTGCTTGCCTTTGAAATATCTTTTTGACATTCATAAAGTATCATAAAGTCTGAGACAGTCTTTAAAGTGAATGATCTTTATTCCAAAATCCAGGCTTTTCTGGAGGGAAACTTTGAGTACCGACGAATAAGGCCCTGAATGGAGTACCCATAGCATGAAGTGTATACAGCTGACCCTTGAACAACGTGGGTTTAAGCTGTGTGGGTCCACTTACATGCAGATTTTCTTCTGCTTCTGCCACCCCTTAGGCAGCAAGACCAACCCCTCCTCTTCCTCCTCCTTCTCAGCCTACTCAATATGTAGATCATGAGGATGAAAATCTTTATGATAATCCACTTCCTCCTTTTTTTCTTTTTCTTTTCTTTTTTTTTTTTTTTTGGAGATGGAGTCTCACTCTGTCACCCAGGCTGGAGTGGAGTGGCACAGTCTCAGCTCATTGCAACCTCCGCCTCCTGGGTTCAAGCAATTCTCCTGCCTCAGCCTCCTGAGTAGCTGGGACTACAGGCACATGCCACCACATCCTGCTAATTTTTTGTATTTTTTGTAGAGATGGGGTTTCACTGTGTTAGCCAGGATGGTCTCGATCTCCTAACCTTGTGATCTGCCTGCCTCAGCCTCCCAAAGTGCTGGGATTACAGGCGTGAGCCATAGTGCCTGGCCAATCCACTTCCACTTAATGAATAGTAAACATATTTCCTTTCCTTTTTAATTTTCTTAATAACATTTTTTCTCTGTCTTACTTTATTGTAAGAATACAGTGTATAAAAATATAACATACAAAATGCACATTGATTGTGTTATCAATAAGGCTTCCATTCAACCATAGGCTATTAGTAATTAAGCATTTGGGAATTCAAAACTTATATTCAGATTTTCAACTGCATGGGGCAGGGATCAGTGCCCCTAATCCCTTTGTTGTTCAAGGGTCAGCTGTACTATAAAAATAGAGAAGGAAAAAAACCACAATGACATGTCTAGTGTTTCCTATCAAAGAGATGAAGTTTAGCCAGCTAATGTGAATAGAAATGCAAAGAACATGACTATATTGTAAATTCTCATTGGTCTCTATGCTATACATGCTGTTCCTTTATGCTCTAGGTTCTGAGAGCAATAGACAATGGGTCGGCTGAATTTACAAAATAGAACGTGCTTCAGTTTCAATGGTGCAGCCCAAGGAGGCAGCAAATTGAAAGAAAAGTGTCTTTAGGTCTGAAAAAACAATAATGGAATATAAAATGGTACAGTCACTGTAGAAAGTAGTATGAAGGTTCAGTAAAATTTAAACACAAAAGGTGGGGAGTGTTGGCTCACACCTGTAATCCCAGCACTCTGGGAAGCCAAGGCAGGTGGATCATTTGAGGTCTGGGGTTCAAGATTAACCTGGGCAACATGGTGAAACCCCATCGCTACTAAAAACACAAACATTAGCCAGGTATGGTGGTGGGCACCTGTAGTCCCAGCAACTCAGGAGGCTGAGGTAGAAGAATGACTTGAACCTGGGAGGCAGAGGTTGCAGTGAGCCAAGATCATGCCACTGCACTCCAGCCTGGGCAACAGCATGAGACTTTGTCTCAAAAAAAATAAAATGTTCAACAGAATTACCACATAACCCAGCAATTCTGCTCCTGAATACATAGCCAAAAAAATGGAAAACTTGCTCAAATTTCTGTACATACATGTCCATAGCAGCACTGTTCACAGTAGCCCAAAGTGGAAACAACCTAAATATAAAACAAAATATCCATACAATTGAATATTATTCAGCCATGAAGAGGAATAAATTACTGACATGTGGTATAACATGGACCGACTTCTAAAATCTTGCAGAGTGAATGAAGCCAGACACTGAAGTTTACATATATTACCCCATTTATACGAAATGTCCAGAATAAGTAAATCCACAGAGACGGAACACAGATCACTGGTTGCAAGGAGCTGGGAGAGGAAGGAAATGGGGAGTGACTGCTTCTTCGGTATAGGGTTTCCTTTTGAGGTAATGAAATGCCTTGGAACTATGTAAGAGGTGATGGCTGCATAACACTGTGAATGCACTAAATTCACTGAACTGCATAAACAGGTTGTTAATTTTATGTTGTATAAATTTTACCTCGATTTTTTAAGAAAGCAAGAATGATCAGATGTCTTTGGACAGAATGAGTCTGAAACTTTTCTACGAGACACGGGAGAACCCTGAATATTTTTTGTATATCCTAAGCGTAGCTCGGAACTGGCTGAGAGCTAGTGTTTGTGGTCAGGGAGTGACTTCAAGAGCTACAGATCAGAGTGGAGTGGAGAATGTGGATGTTTCTGCTACAGGAATAGGTAGCAATGACTAAAGATTACTAAAGCGGAGGCCAGCAGGTGAGTGTTGATGAACATAAGCCTGTCTCCTTGAAAGAGAAATCTCAGTTAACCTAGTTGAAGCCCAGATTGACCAAGGTTCATTCATTAAATGACCTCACGTAATCCCAAAAGTGACTTAGTTTCCTTTGAAATGCCTACAATAAATTGGCAGACTGGACTGGAGCCACATCTCCAGCTGAATTATTGAAAATAAAGATACATTTTCTTGACAGCCTAAGTCAGTCACTATGGCATGTAAATTTGCTGCAAGTCTTCCAAATATATTCACCTTCTACTATTTCCACCAATATCTCCTAAGTCTAAGCCTCATGTGGCTGATGACAAACAAAGTAATAGGGAGTATCTTTGTCCAGAAAAGAGGGTTTTATCAGATCTTTGTGTTTTAGGGATTTAAAAAAGAGAAGCAGCTCAGTCTCCTTGAGGAAGCTGAAGAAAGAGAGGATAATGAGGTTTTGAGTTTGGGAGGTAGAGGGAAAAAAACTCACATGACTCAGGGATTTGGCAGCCTTGTGGTCTGGGTAGTGGACTAATATGAATGGAGAAAAACTGCTGCAAGCTGACGAGGCCAGTGCCTGTCACAGGCTGAAGGACACACTGTGCCTACCTAAATCTACAGGCCCACTTTTCTAAGTCAACCATTTTGCTGGCTTCAGTACTCTCCCTTGACATCATGACAAGACACATGTCTTGACTGCTAGCAGATTGTGAGCTGGGGGTTAAGTCCTCAAGGAATAATAAAACCTGGACCTGGAAGAAGAAATGACATCCCAGTTTACCCATCTGAGTTTCTAGCTTTACTGCTTTCAACTCCTCGTTTTTCATTTATGTTTCTGAGACACCCATCAATTCTCTATACCTAGCCCATGCTGTTTCATTTGCTTTGAATATTGTTTCTTCAGGTCCACGTCTTTCTTTATCTATTTTCTACTCATTCTTTAGATCCCAGGTGAGTTGCCACTTCCTCTGAGAAGCCTCTGGGTAAATCATCTCTCTATTGGACCTAATAAACCACACATTCACCCCATTCTAGCCCTTGTCTTTTTGTAATTCACTTCCAATAATCTGACTTTTCTATGGAGCAGAAGTCTGCAGACTTTTTATGTAAAAGTCCAGACAGAAAATCTTTTAAGCTTTGTAAGCCACATATGGTTTTGCATGCTCTTTTACTTTTTAACTTTTGTGTTTTATTTTTCTTTCATTTTTTTTTACAACCCCTTAAAAATGTAAAAAAAAAAAAAATTAGTTCACTGGCAGTATTTTAAAAAAGCCATTTGGCCCCACTGGCCATAGTTTGCTGACATTTGCTTGCTCTCAAGATAAACGTCTTATTTTGCTTTATCATACCTTGTTTTGCATTGCCTCCCCAGTGCCTAGCACCACCCCTGGAAGCATGCTGAAAAGGTTTAACTGAGTTAAATTGAACCTTGTACGTTAAGGCTGACTTCATCTGCTTCCTTCAATCTTTGTCACCTCTAACGATGCTGTTTCTCTCTCTCTCTTTCACACACACACACACACACACACACACACACACACACACACACACACTCTGACATTTTATATGTTTTAGTCCCTTTATGCTAAACTAGTAGTCCTTGTATGCCTGCATGCTTCTCCACCAACATGATGCCTTCAGCTCAAGCACCTGCAACCAAGCCAGTGAGGGTCTTCTCCTTCCCCGCTACCTTCCTTCCTCACTCCCTCTCCCCGCTCCCTCAGTCCCCCCTCCCTCACTTCCCCCCCACTCCTTCCCTCCCTCCCTTCCTTCCTTCTTTCTCTTTCTCTTTGTCTCTTTCTTTCTTTTTCTTTCTTCCTTCCTTCCTTCTTTCTTTCTTTCTTCTTTCTTTCTTTCTCTTTCTTTCTTTCTTTCTTCCTCTCTCTCTCTCTCTCTTTCTTTCTTTCTTTCTTTCTTTCTTTCTTTCTTTCTTTCTGTTACAGGCATATGCACATGGCTGGTCGTTTGCAAGCTGGTCTTTTCCCCTAGCATTCCCATTACTTGTGAATCTAATTTGGTTCTTCAGCCAGGAATTTGGTTCTTAAATGGACTATACATTTCACTTCCTTCGTGGTATTTAAAAGCATATCTGGATAGAAGTTTTTCCGTGGAGATATGCTGAGGTTGCCTAGGGAATCCAATCCTTCCAGGACTCCAACACATCTACAATATTTGGAGTCAAGAGACCACTTTCCATCCTTTGACCATTGCATCACTGAGTATCCTTAGGCACTTTTCTACCACCTGTTACCTTGGTTTGGTAAGAAGAGATAATCAGCAACCCTCTCCAGAAACTGTGGTCTCATTAAGAAATACATATATATATATAAAACTCCTGAATAAAATATAGTCATACAAGGCCGTAAAATCCTTCACACAATTTTTTACAAATACTCTACATCAGGGATTGAAATAAACTAAAAAAGCAACAACAAAATATGCCCCTATAAAACAGGCTCTGGCTGATGAGAGATTTGGCAGTAGGTAAAAACACAGTGCAGCCCAAAACACTTGTTGCCCTTCTTTGTAGGCAGTTTGAGGTTCTTTCTTTCCGGCCCATCTGTACTGTTTTTACTGCAGTCTTGCATACTTATGGAATGAGAGCATGCTTCTTGTTGCTACAAACAGCCCTCATAAATGTTGGAGCCAAGTGTGTCTAAACATTACAGCATATTAAACACCTTTAAGCATGATCCATAACCTTGTAATTGGTACCAAAATAACAAGACCTGTGTTTTAAATGGAAATTTGACTCTGTGTTTGCTGTTGTCAATCTGTTCCATTAGAACATAGCTGGGAAAGCCAGTCACAGAAAAGAATGGATGTGATTGAAGTGTGGAACCCTGAACTCTCAGACCTTAAAGATAATCTGAGCTAATGCTCATCTCTGATTGATGTGGAAACTAAAGACCAAAGCGGCTCTATGATTGACTCAAGGCTTCCAGACTCTTTCTTCCATGGTATAAATAATAATTGCGTTAGCAATGAAATTACACAAGTTCACATGGAAATGTATCTTTCCTGGTATGGAAACAGGACAAAGAGGAGGTGGGTTTTATTTTTGACAGACATCACCAAAAGCTTTCTCCTTTCCAAATAGCTCTTTCTGAATCTGTTCCAGGTCCCCAGATCTTCACTATTAGAATCATTCATTTAGCCATGATTTTTGTAAACCTTGGTTAAGATAAAAATATGTTAAGAGAAATTGTGAAGCAGTGCAATGAATGCAGGCCTTAGAACTAGAAATGAGTGGTCTACATTCTGGCCTGACACTTGCTGGGTAGGTGATCTTGAGAAAGTTTCCAACCCCTCTCATCCACGTGTTCATTCAAACACTTATAGAGAGAGCCTACTCTGTGCCAGTTTCCTCATCTGGAAAATGAAAACCAACCTGAGTGAATAGAACTGTGAGGATTACACGGAATGACATTTAAAGTGATCATCCTGGTGTTTTCCATATGGCAGACATTTAACTATTACGGTAAATATCAGTGTATATAAAATAAAATGTGAGTCATAATATATATATAGTTATCATATGTATAATTTACATCTGCTGCTGATGGAGTTGACTGCTCACTTTTAAAATTCACCACCAAGATCATAGCAAGATAAACACAGAGAGCTTTGGCTTAGATGTTCTAATGATTAAAAGAAGCCAGAACATATGATGTTCCAATGCTGATATTTAAGGTACTGTAAGGTTCTGATTACCAGTGTCTTGTGAATAAGTCTTGGTAATTAAAAGCCTTAAAGATTTTGTTTTGTTTTAATCTCCATCCAGAGTTATGATTGAAAAATGCTTTCGGCACCCTTATTTCTCTGGCCAGCCAAAACTTAAGAAAACGATTATCATATGGGGAACATACAGGAGAAAAATGGATGAGTTTCCTTCAACACCTGTTTTCATTAAGTAAGGGGAAGGAAACGAAAGGCTTTTTTCAATGCTTATCAAGTTAGTGCCAGAAGCATTACATATGTTATCCCATTTAATCTTCAAAGCCAAAGAGGTAGATACTGTAGTCCCTGCTTGAAAAATGTTATGAAACCATCCCTAAAAGTTTGAACTTTATGGAAGTAGAATATATTTCTTAGAATTGAACTTTGAATGAATAAAAACAGAATCCAATGCAAATATTGGTATGGAAAGTTATAAGAAAAGGGTAAAATGGCATCTAGGCCAGAACCATCTTCAATAATGTTAACATTATTAATATTCTTACCGAAGAATAGTGTCATTAGATAAAGTTACAGGACAACCACAAAAGTTCATAAAAAGGAGAGGTACAGAGATAAACAGGTGCCATTGGAAGAAGACAAAGCTCAGCTCGTGAACTTGGAGGAGCCTGGTTCCATTGCTGGGCTACCCATTCTGTGAAGCTCTATACCTGAGGCTTTATTAGCTTGATTATATTAAGCATCCAAACAACTGCCTTTTTTCTGATTTTATGCTCAACAAACAAACTCCTGGTTGTAATTTCACTTCCCATGTAGGCTTGCCTACAGGAAAAGAAAGTTGCCAATGATGCAGCCGTGAGGACTCTGGTCCAATTCTTACTTTTCTTGGGAAATTAATAAAATGGCTTTCTAATTTTATCTGTTAGTCTTGTGATTAGTTAATATTAATAGATCCACCTGATATAATCAGGTTTTGGGGTCTACCAAGGGGAGGCCCAAATTCTGGATATTGGTTTATTCCCCAAGTAGTTCATGCCAGATTTTCTTGGAATTAAATATCTCACCTCCTCTCTTCGTGAACCACTTCATGAGACAACCATCCTACCAACAACAATTATAAACTACTGACCAAATGTCAATATATACTGTTTGATAGTGTTGTAGAACAATCCAAAGATGGCAGAATCATGAAGAAACATGAAATATGAAAAAGGAGAAGAAAATCAGGTAAGCTTTATATTCAAGTAGCTCGTCCTCCTGAGGGCTTCACACTTCTTGTCTGCAGAAGTGAAATAGAATACAAGGAGGATACATGGGGAAAAACAATGGCAGATAGGAGGCAGGACTAACTTGCAGCTCCCACTTGGACAGACAGAACAGCATATGGAGACTCACATCATGAACTTTCGCTCCAAGAACCACCTCAGGAAAGCTGAGAGAATCCACAGACCCTCTGAAGGAAGCGGATTGCTCCTGCAGGCTCTGGGAGGCAGCTGAAAAACTACAAGGGCCCAAAGTGTGAAAGTCCCTGAACACACACTCTCACTGGGGAACCTGAAGGTCCAGATCGCTGGAGAAGGATTTGACCTTACCTGGAACTGAGACTAATTTAGAGAGCCAAGAAAAATACAGGGGTAGAAGAAGCAGCAGAAAGAGTCCTGTGGGCTCTCTCGGTCCTCAGGGAAGCCATTTCTGACTTTGTCCCACAAAGTGAGAAAAAGCCCTTTGGGAAGCACTGTCAGAGGAACTGAAAAAAGACCACAGGAAGAAGAAAACTTCCAGCTGAACTTTGTAACGATTTTGACCAAATGTGAAGTTTCCTGGACAGAACCTGGAGGAGTGGGTGAATCAGGAGTGCAGACATAGCACAGAAACCATGGCAGGTGGGGAGGCCTGAAACCTGAAAGCCTTACTTGCTTTCTCAGCTGGGAGGCTGATAGCCTGGGGCAAGCTCTCAGCCCTGTTCATCCACTGCCTGGAAATAAACTTGGTGTTGTTGGGTGGGGGGGACAGATGGGGTGGGACCAGCCTTTTGGGCTGTGTGGAAGTGGGGTGAGACTTGCGACTGCTGGCTTTCCCCTACTTCCCTGGGAACCTGCATGATGCAGCAGAGGCAGCCATAATTCCCCCAGGAACATAACTCCTTTGGCCTGAGAACCACACCCCCATCCCCCACAGCAGTCTCAGCAAGCCCTAACCAAGAAGAGTCCGAGCTCAGATTCACCTAACCCTGCTCATGCTTGATGGTCTTTCCCTACCTACCCTGGTAGCTGAAGACAAAGAACGTAATCTCTTGGAAACTCTATGGCCCCACCCACCCCCTGATCCTTGTTATACTACAGCAGCTGATGCTCTCTTGAAAGCGCCACCTCCTGGCTAGAGGCCAACCAACCCAAAATTAGCACAATAAACAATACTATAACCAAGGACCCTCACAGAGTCCCCTTCACTCCCCTCCACCTCCATGAGTGTAGTTGCTGGTATCCACAGCTGACACAAAGACTGATCACATCACAGGGCTCTGTGCAGACAACCCCCAGCACCAGCCCAGAGCACAGTAGTTCTGCTGGGTGGCTAGATCCAGAAAAGAAATAACAGTCACTGCAGTTTGGCTCTCAGGAAGCCACATCCCTAGGGGAAGGGGGAGAGCACCACATCAAGGGAGTACCCCATGAGACAAAAGAATATGAACATCAGGCCTTGAGTCCCAGATCTTCCCTCTGATATAGTCTACCCAAATGAGAAGAAACCAGAAAAATAATTCTGGTAATATGATGAAATAAGTTGCTTTACCACCCCCAGAAGATCACACTAGCTCACCAGCAATGGATCCAAATCAAGGAGAAGTCTCTGAATTGCCAGGAAAAGAATTCAGAAGGTTGATTATTAAGCTAATAAAGAAGCCACCAGAGAAAGGTAAAGTCCAATTTAATGAAATAAAAAAAAGATAGAAGATATAAAGGTAAAAATCTTCAGTGAAATAGAGAGCATAAATAAAAAATAATCACAGCTTCTGGGAATGAGGAACATACTTAGAAAAATGCAAACTACACTGGAAAGTTTCAGCAATTGAATCAAACAAGTAGAAGTAAGAACTTCAGAAATTGAAGCCAAGGCTTTCAAATTTACTCAATCCAACAAAGACAAAAAAAAAAGAATTTGAAAAATAAACAAAGTTTCTAAGAAGTTTAGGATTATGTTAAACAACCAAACCTAAGAATAATTGGTGTTCCCAAGAAAGAAGAGGAATCTGAAAGTTTGGAAAACATATTTGAGGGAATAATTGAGGAAAACTTCCCTGGCCTATGCTAGAGATCGAGACATCCAAACACAAGAAGCTCAATGAACACCTGGGAAAATTATCACAAAAATATCATCACCTAGGCACATAGTCATCAGGTTATCTAAAGTCAAGACAAAGGAAAGAATCTTAAGAGCCATGAAACAAAAGCATCAGGTAACCTATAAAGGAAAACTTATCAGATTAACAGCATATTTCTCAGCAGAAACCCTACAAGCTAGAAGGGATTGGGGCCATATCTTTAGCCTCCTTAAACAAAACAATTATCAACCAAGAATTTTGCATCAAGCAAAACTAAGATTTGTAAATGAAGGAAAGAGACAGTCTTTTTCAGATAAACAAAGGCTGAGAGTATTTCCCACTACCAAGCAAGCACTGCAAGAACTGCTAAAATGAGCTCTAATTCTTGAAACAAATCCTTGAAATAGACCACAATAGAGTGTCCTTAAGGCATAAATTTCACAAGACCTATAAAGCAAAAACAAATGGAAAAAAAAGTATTCAGGCAACAAATAGCACAATGAATGGAATAGTACCTCACATCTCAATATTAATGTTGAATGTAAATGACCTAAGTGCTCCACTTAAAAAAAATACAGAATGGCAGAATGGGTAAGAATTCCCTAACCAAGTATCTGCTGTTTTCAAGAGACTCACCTAACACATAAAGACTCACATAAACTTAAGATAAAGGGGTGGAAAAAGATATTTCATGCAAATGGACACCAAGAGCAAGCAGAAGTAGCTATTCTTATATCAGACAAAACAAACTTTAAAGCAAAAACAGTTAAAAAAGACAAAGAGGGACATTATATAATGATAAAAAGACTTGTCTAACAGGAAAATATTGCAATCCTAAATACAAATGCACCCAATACTGGAGATCCCAAATTTATAAAACAATCACTACTAGACCTAAGAAATGAGATGGACAGCAACACAATAATACTGGGGGAATTTAATACTCTACTGACAGCACTAAACAAATCATTAAGACAGAAAGTCAACAAAGAAACAATGGATTTAAACTATACCTTAGAACAAATGGGCTGAACAGATATTTACAGAACATTGTACCCAACAACTGCGAAGTATACATTCTATTCGTCAGCACATGGAACATTCTCCAAGATAGACCATATGATAGGCCACAAAACAAGTCTCAATAAATTTAAGAAAATTGAAATTATATCAAGTCCTCTCTCAGACCACATTGGAATAAAATTGGCAGTCAACTCCAAAAGGAACCTTCAAAACCATGTAAATACATGGAGATTAACCTGCTCCTGAATGATTATATCAATACCATGCTGTTTTGGTGACTATGGCTTTATGGTACAGTTTGAAGTTGGGTAATGTGATTTTTCCAGATTTGTTCTTTTTGCTTAGCCTTGCTTTGCCCATGTGGCCTCTTTTTTGGTTTCATGTGAGTTTTAGGATTATTTTTTTCTAGTTCTGTGAAGAATGATGATGGTATTTTGATGGGAATTGCATTGAATTTGTAGATTGCTTTTGGCAGTATTGTCATTTTCACAATATTGATTCTACCATTCATGAGCATGGGATGTGTTTCCATTTGTTTGTATTGTCTATGATTTCTTTCAGCAGCACTTTGTAGTTTTCCTTGTAGAGGTCTCTCATCTCCTAAGTATTTTATTTTGCAGCTATTATAAAGGAGGTTGAGTTCTTGATTTGACTCTCAGCTTGGTCTCTGTTGGTGGATAGCAAAGCAGAATACAGATAAGTAAAATGAATGACAGCAATGGGACAAAGCAATGGGACAAAAAAAAAATAGGAAACTCTGTAATATGATATTGCACCACTATTTGTACAACAGATTAGTGTTATTTAAAGCAGGGCTTGAATTAGTTTAAAAATGTGGATTGTAATGCCTGTGGTAATCCTTTCACAATGTATATGTATATGAAATTATCATGTTACATGCCTTAAATTTATACAATTTTTATTTATCAATTATACTTAAATAAAGCTGGAAAACTATGTATTATATACTCTAAGCCAACTACAAAAAAGCTTTAAAGATAAGTATAATTTATATACTAAGAGAGAAAATAAAATGGAATCACAAAAAATGTTTGATTAAAACTAGAGAAGGCAGAAGAAGAGTGGGAAAAAAGGAAACAAGCAGGCCGGGTGTGGTGGCTCACTCCTGTAATCCCAGCACTTTGGGAGGCCGAGGCAGGTGGATCACAAGGTCAGGAAATCAAGACCATCCTGGCTAACATGGTGAAACCCCGTCTCTACTAAAAATACAAAAAAATTAGCTGGTGTGGTGGCGGGCGCCTGTAGTCCCAGCTACTTGGGAGGCTGAGGCAGGAGAATGGCATCAAATGGGGAGGTGGAGCTTGCAGTGAGCCGAGATCGCACCACTGCACTCCAGCCTGGGTGACAGAGCGAGATTCCATCTCAAAAAAAAAAAAAAAAAAGAAAAGAAACAAGCAACAAAATCAACAAGTAGAAAACAGATATAAATCTGACAGATTTTAATCCAACTATACCAATAATTACTTTAAATGTGAATTAAAGTTACTTTAAATATGAATGGTCTTAATACACAGCGATTATCAGAATGGAAATAAGCAAAGCCTAACTATATGTTATCTACAATAAATTCACTTTAAATATAAAAAACTTAAGCTAAAAGTAAAGAAATGGAAAAGATATACCATGTTAACAAGAGTCAAAAGAAAGCTGGAGTAGCTATATTAATTTGAAACAAAGCAGACTTTGGAAAAATGAAGATTGTCAGAAATATATAGAGGCATTACATAATAATAAAGGGTTCAACTTGCCAAAAAAAGATCCTGAATGTGAAAGAATGTCAAAATAAATGAATTAAAGCCTGATAGAACTGAAAGGAGAAATAGAAAAATGACTATTAGAGTTGAAGACTTCAACAACCTTCTCTCAGTAATTGGCAGATAAAACAGGCACAATATGAGTAAAAATATGGTTGAACTGAACAGTACTATCAATCAACTTGATCTAGCTGACATTTATAGAATACACCAGCCCTCAACAGCAATATAAACATTTGCCTGCAGCTCATGTAGAACATTTTCTAATATAGACTACATTCCAGCCAGAAAACAAACCTTAAGAAAATTAAAAGAAAAGGAATTATGCAGTGTGTTCTTACACCACAATGAAATTAAACTAGATATTAATAACAGAAAATAGCTAGTTAAGTCCCCAACATGTGGAAATTAAATGACACAGTTCTAAATAACTCATGCATAAAATGACAAACTAAAAAAATTTAATTGCAAATACAATTTATCAAAATTAGAATATAGTAAAGGCAGTGCTTACAGGAAAATTTTTAGCATCAAATGCATGTATTAGAAAACTAGTAAGACCTAAAATTCGTAATCACAATTTCTTCTTTAGGATAGTAGAGAAAGAATAGCAGGTTAAACCTAAAGCTAGCAGAAGAAAGAAATAATAAAAATTAGATTATTTTTACTGGAATCAATGAAATTCAAAATAGAAAACCAACAAACCCAAAAGCTGGTTCTCTGTAAAGATCCATAAATGGATAAACTTCTTGCCAGACTAACAAAGAAAATAAAAAGAAAAGACACAAATTATCAATATCAGAAATGAAGGTTGGGCTCATCACTATTAATTCCGTGGACATCACAAGTATACTAAAGGAATGCCAAGAAAAACTTTATGGCCACAAATCTGATAAATTGAATGTACCAATTTCTTGAGTGATATAAACTATCAATTCAGGCACAGAGAAGTAGATAGACAGAGTAGATCTATATCTATGAAAGAATTTGAACCAATAACTAGTAATCATTCAAAGAAGAAAGCACCAGGCTGATGTTTCAATTCTGCCAAACATTTTTATAAAATGCACCTGCTCTGCAAAAAATGTTGAAAAAATTTATAATACATTTTGAAATTAACTAATTCCATGAAGCCAGCATTACCCCAATAGCAAAACCAAATAAAGATATTACAAAAAAGGAAAACTACAGATCAATATCTCTCATAAAAATAACTACAAAAATTCTCAAAAAAATATTAGAAAGTCAAATCCAGCTATATATAAAATGAATTGTACATCATGGCCAAGTAGACTTTACTGTAGATGTGTGAAGCTGATTCAGTATTCAAAAATCAATCAATACAATCCACCATATTATCAGTTTTAGAAGAAACACATTATATAATCCTATCAATGTGCACAGAAAAAGTGTTTGACAAAAATTTAATACCCATTCATAACAGCTCTATAACCTAGTAACAGAGGGGAACCTCCTCAACTTTATCAAGAGCAATTACAAAAACCTATCACACTTAATGGATGTTTCCCCAATAAAATTGGGAGTGAGGCAAGGATGTTCTCTCTCATTAGTTCTACTCAGCATTGTGCTGGAATTCCTAGATAGTGAAATAAGGCAAGAAAAAGAAATAAAACATATATAGATTAGAAAGAAAAAAATATAGCATGATCATCTAGGTTGAAAATCTCAAAGAATCTATGGAAATATGTCCTGGAATGAATAAGTGATTATAGCAACATTGAAGGATGTGAATTGATAATAGAGTCAAGTCTCATTATTCACAGTAGTTATTTTCTATAAAGTCATTTTGAACATTGAATTAATGAATACAGTGTTATTGCTCTTAGGACAAATGCAGAATTAGGTTCCTACAAACTTCTGGTGACAATACTTACATAAACTGACCAATAACAACCTTGTTTTATGTGTGTTTCTGTTTTAAAATACCTAATTTAATATATAATTCTTATAAATAGTTAATTATATGCAGCATTTCTTTGTACTAAAACACTAGCTGATAAGGTTTTGGCACTTTCCTGACCCTGGGCAATGTCACCATAAATTTATTTGACTTCCAGCCTCACAACAATGCTGTCTACTACACTTTTTAAAAATTAGTCATCATTTCATAAATTCAGAAATGTAGCTGCTTTTCCACCTTTTTCAAAACTTCATCAAACACTATATAGATGTTACTTTAGCAATTTCCAGAGTAGCCTTCCATATAAAATAGGTGAATTTTCTCTTCATTTTTTTTCTGGATGTACCACAGTTTTAAATCACTAACATTGAACCCACAGCCAACTACAGTATAACTTATGCTTGAATGAAATCTAACACAGAATATGCACAGTAGAAAACATTTCAGAACTACACTTGGAAGTGAAATCACCAACATAAAAGCACAAAATTTTTTTTAAGAAGTGACAGTAGACTGCGTAAAGAACATTTATTTACAATATGGGAGCCTAACAGGAAGGCACAACAGCATTGCCTTGTTCAGCCTCAGCTGGAGTATGCATATTGGGTGGCTCAATTTTTTTGTTCTTCTGTGTATGCCCATGAATGACCATGAAAGCATAGCAAATATTTATTTTGAAATTACAAATAAATGTTAGTGAGTAAACAAATTCAAAAGTATGGAATCTGAGAATAATAAGGATTAACTTTACAAAAGGCAATGCTTTCCTACATATACCAGCAATGAACAGCTGGAATTTGAAACTCAAATAAAACAAAACAATACTATTGAAAAAAATCATCCCCCTCCTTCAGTGAAATACTTAGGTATAAATCTAACAAAATATGTACAGGATCTGAATGCAGAAAACTACAAAACACCAATGAAAGAAATCAAAGGAAAAATAACTCAAGAGATATTTCAGGTTTATTGACTGGAAGACTCAATATTGTTAAGGTATCAGTTCTCAATTTGATCTATAAATATGTGCAGTTCCAATGAAAATCCCATTACGTTATTTTATAGATACCAAAAATTTTATTCTAAAGGTAATATAGAAAGATAGAAGACCTGGAATAACCAATGCAATACTGAATAAGATGGACAAATTGGGATAATCTCACTACTCAAGTCAATGCTTGCTAAAGTAACCAAGAAAGCTCAATAATCAAAAGAGCATAAAAGAATAGTCACACAGATCAACAGAGCAGAATAAAGAGTGCAAAATAGACTCAAATACAGACAACTGTTCTTTGACAAAGACACAAAGTCAATTCAATGGAGAAAGAACGCTTTTTAACAAATGGAACTAGAGTAATTGAACATCTATGTGTAAAAAATAATGAATCTAAAAACAGACCTTTCACAAAAGTTATCTCAAAATGGATCATAGACTGAAATGTAAAGTACAAAACTCTAAAACTTCTAGAAGAAAATATTTTTAAAAATCTAGATAAACATGCATTTGATGAAGAGGTTAGGTAGAAAACTAAAAGGATAATACATGAAAGAAAATCTTTGTTAGTTGGACTTTAGTAAAATTAAAATCGTCTGTTCTGCAAAAAACACTGCTAATAGAAGGGAAAGACAAGCCAAAGACTGAGAGAAAATTGTTGCAAAACATATCTGATGAAGGATTTATATCCAAAATATATAAAGAACTCTTAAAGCTCAACGATACGGAGAAAACAATTAAATTTTACAATTGGAAAAGGTTTTTAAGAGACACCTCACCAAAGAAGATAGATAGCAAGTAAGCTTACCAAAAGATGATCAACATTATTTGCCATTAGGAGAATACAAATTAAAACAACAGTGATATAATACTTTAATTAAAATGTCTAATTTTTTTTAAAACATGACAATAACCATTGCTGGTGAGCATTTGGAGGAAACTTCATTTGGAAACTCATTCATTTCTGGTGAGAATGCAAAATGGTACAGCCACTTTGGAAAATGGCTTGGCAGTTTTTTACAAAGCTAAATATAGTATTATCATAATTTACTGATCCTAGGTATTTGCCCAACTGTTTTGAAAATGTATGTTCACCTAGAAAAGTATAGGATTTTTATAGCAGTTTTATTCATAACCACTAAAACCTTAGAAGTGGCTACGATGTCCTCCAACAGGTAAATAATCAATGGTATATCCATACAATGGGATCCTACTTAGCAATAAAAAAGGAGGAGCTATCAACAAGCTATGCAAAGACATGGATGAATCATAAGTGCATATTTCTAAGTGAGTGAAGTCAGTCTGAAGAGGATACATACAGCAAAATTCCATTTATATGACATTCTGGAAAAGTCAAAACTGTAGCAGTCATAAAATTCAGTGTTTGCCAAGGGTTTGGGGATAGAAGAAAGAATTGAATTGGTGAAGCTGGAATTATTTTAGAATGATGAAACTATTCTATATTATATCACAGTAGTAGATACAGGAAACTATGCATTCATCAAATTTCATAGAACTTATAGCACAAAGCATGGAATCATTATTATTATTATGCTTTAAGTTCTGGGATACATGTGCAGAACGTGCAGGTTTGTTACATAGGTACACATGTGCCATGGTGGTTTCCTGCACCCATCAACCCATCATTGACATTAGATATTTCTCCTAATGCTATCCCTCCCCTAACCCCCAACCCCTGGACAGGCCCCAGCATGTGATGCTCCCCTCCCTGTGTCCATGTATTCTCATTGTTCAACTCCCACTTACGAATGAGAACATGCAGTGTTTGGTTTTCTGTTCCTCTTAGTTTGCTGAGAATGATGGTTTCCAGCTTCATCCATGTCCCTGCAAAGGACATGAACTCATCCTTTTTATGGCTGCATAGTATTCCATGGTGCATATGTGCCACATTTTCTTTATCCAGTCTATTATTGATGAGCATTTGGGTTGGTTCCAAGTCTTTGCTATTGTGAACAGTGCTGCAATAAACATACATGTGCACATGTCTTTATAGTAGAATGATTTATAATCCTTTGGGTATATACCCAGTAATGGGATTGCTGGGTCAAATGGTATTTCTGGTTCTAGATCCTTGAGGAATCACCACACTGTCTTCCACAATGGTTGAACTAATTTATACTCCCACCAACAGTGTAAAAGCATTCCTATTCTCCACATCCTCTCCAGCATCTGTTGTTTCCTGACTTTTTAATGATCATCATTCTAACTGGCATGAGATGCTATTTCATTGTGGTTTTGATTTGCATTTCTCTAATGACCAGAGCTTTTTTTCATGTATTTGTTGGCCACATAAATGTCTTCTTTTGAGAAGTGTCTGTTCATATCCTTTGCCCACTTTTTGATGGAGTTGTTTGATTTTTTTCTTGTAAATTTGTTTAAGTTCCTTGTAGATTCTGGATTAGTCCTTTGTCAGATGGATAGATTGCAAAAATTTTCTTTCATTCTGTAGGTTGCCTCTTCACTCTGATGATAGTTTCTTTTGCTGTGCAGAGACTCTATAGTTTAATTAGATCCCATTTATCAATTTTGGCTTCTGTTGCCATTGCTTTTGGTGTTTTAGACATGAAGTCTTTGCCCATGCCCATGACCTGAATGGTATTGCCTAGGTTTTCTTCTAGGGTTTTTATGGTTTTAAGTCTTATGTTTAAGTCTTTAATACATCTTGAGTTAATTATTGTATAAGGTGTAAGGAAGGGGTCCAGTTTTAGTTTTCTGAATATGGCTAGCCAGTTTTCCCAACACCATTTATTAAATAGGGAATCCTTTCCCCATTGCTTGTTTTTGTCAGGTTTGTCAAAGATCAGATGGTTGTAGATGTGAGGCATTGTTTCTGAGGACTCTGTTCTGTTCCATTGGTCTATATATCTGCTTTGGTACCAGTACCATGCTGTTGTGGTTACTGTAGCCTTGTAGTGTAGTTTGAAGTCAGGTAGCATGTCACACTACCTGACAGCATGGAACCTTAAGGTATGCAAATTTTTTAAAAATTTAGGAGGTCAAGGAAATTCCAGAATGAAGTATAGAATGTAACAAAAGAAACTGTATTACAGGTAGGGGGAGGGTCCAAGGTGGACATTTAGGAACAGCGCTGGTCTGCAGCTCCCACTGAGACAAATGCAAAAGGTGAGTGACCTCTGCATTTCCAACTGAGGTAACCATATTTTCTTATCGGGAGAGAAATGAAAAAAGCAGGGTGAGACCACAGTTCAACTAGGAACTGCACAGGGCAAAGGGACCTTCCTCCCACAGCCAAGAGAGTGGTGAGACACTGTGCTACCTGCCCAGGGTTCTACACTCCCCACAGATTTTTGCAATCTGTGGATCAGAAGATTCCCTCGTGTGCCTACACTACCAGGGCCTTGGATCCCTAGCACAAAACTGGGAAGACCCATGGCAGCTGCTCCAGTCAGCAGCTGTTCAGGCAGGCACTGAGCTGCAAGAGTTTTTACATACTCCGGCAGCTCCTGGAATTCCAGATTGATTAAATACTTAAATTAAGACCCAAAACTATAAAAATACTAGAATAAAACCTAGAGCAAATTATTCTGGGCTTCGGTCTAGGCCAACTTTTAATATGTAAAAATGCAGTTTCTGCAAAGTACAATAAAATGAAGTTCAATTAAAAAAAAAGAAGAAGAAGAAAAATTGTATTACAATGGCGAGGCGCAGTGACTCACACCTGTAATTCCAGCATTTTGGGAGGCTGAGGTGGGTGGATCACTTGAAGCCAGGAGTTTGAGACCACCCTGGTCAACATGGTCTACTAAAAATACAAAAAATTAGCTGGGTATGGTGGCATGTGCCTGTAGTCCCAACTGCTTGGGAGGCTGAGGTGGGAGGATTGCCTGTGTCTAGGAGGTCAAGGCTGCAGTGAGCCAAGATTGTGCCATTGCACTCCAGCCTGGGTGACAGAGTGAGACTCTTTCTCAAAAAAACAAACAAACAAAAAACAAAGCTGTATTACAAATATATGAAATAATCTCTCTGAATGGGATGGGAGAATAAGGACTAACTTTTGGCATGAATAGAATCTGTAACACTAAAGGGAAAAGGAACTCTGCAGAAGCAATGCACTCTATTTGATTAAGCTTTTCCAACAATAGTATGGGTTAACAATTTGGAAACCACGATACAATTGACCCTTGAACAATGCAGGGGTTAGGGGCATCAACCACCATGCAGCAAAAATCCATATATAACTTTTGACTGCTACTAGTGGTCTAAAGTTGACTGGAGGTCTTACTGGTGACATTAACAGCCAATTAACATATGTTTTGTATGTTATACGTATTCTATACCATATTATTAAAAAAACTAGAGAAAAGATAATGTTATTAGAAAAATAATAAGAAAGATAAAATATATTTACTATTCATTAAGTGGAAGTGGTTTATCATAAAGATCTTCCTTCTCATTTTCTTCACATTGAGTAGGCTGAGGAAGAGGAAGAAGAGAGGAGCTGATCTTGCTGTTTCAGGGATGGCAGAAATGGAAGAAAATCTGCATATAGGCGGATCCACACAGTTCAAATTCATGTTGTTCAAGGATCAACTGTACATGTATAGTGGAATTTAAAAATTAAGTGGACGGATGATGGATTGTGGGAGACAAATTTCTCACTGTTTGAATAGGAAGTTACATTTAAGCAAGGAGAGGAGATTAGAATGATCAACAGGGTAACATATTAGAATGAGAGACATCAGTAAAACTCATGCTTAGTTTAAATAGATACAAATAGTTACATATAAAAATATTTATAGATATGTTTCACACACATGGCTTAGTATACATCTACATATATCTCCTTGACTTATCAACTAGGCCTAGATGCAATACCACTCCAATTGAATGAGCACATCTAGCATCTAGATTTTGGTTTTCTTTTCTTTCTTTCTTCCTTTTTTTTTTTTAATTTGAGATGGAGTCTCACTCTGTTGCCCAGGCTGGAGTGCAGTGGCACGATCTCAGCTCACTGCAACCTCCACCTCCCAAGCTCAAGTGATCCTCCCACCTCAACCTCCCAAGTAAATGGGATTACAAGCATGTGCCACCATGCCTAGCTAATTTTTATATTTTTAGTAGAGATGAAGTTTCACTGTGTTGGCCAAGCTGCTCTCAAACTCCTGACCTCAAGTGAACCGCCCACCTCGGCCTCCTAAAGTGTTGGGATTACTGGCATGAGCCATCGTGCCTGGCCCAGATTTTGGTTTTCAGTACTATTCTCCAATTAAAAAAAAAAAAAAAAAAAAAAAAAAACAAGTCTTGGAGAAATTGGTGATTCTAGGATTAAGGCAGGAAATATACTAGATGAGCCTAGAGCATCTCATAGTAAAAGTAAAAAAGTGCTGAAAAAGGAAGTAAGTGCTTTCAAACAAACACACACAATTATGGGAATATGTTAAATGGATAAAAGGGCCAAATGAAATAACTTCCAGTGGCCAGAACTAAAACAACCTGGGCAACAAAATATTATAAATAAGGTAGAATTAGATTATAACCCAAGGTATAAAATAAATGTTCATGAGTTTATGCTGATATAGATACATGATTGAACAAAAAGTAAACGGAGGAAAATAGACACATCTCCTATGCAGAATTTCAAATAATCCTCAAAGAGATGGAGCATAACTTCCTATATTGAGAGCTGTACACAGTGACATCCTTCCAAAGAATGGAGTATAAAAAGAGGAAAAAAAAATAGCCTCACAGCAAAGAAATCTGAAAAACATCACTTCAACCAAATGACCAGTTTTGACATCAATATTGATAAGTCATGTTGATAGTATTTAGCCTTGGTATGATGTGATAAGTGGCACTTTACCTCTGTGGTTTTCCTCCCAGATACTCATAACCCTGTCTGATTGTGATATATTTACAAAATAACTAACCAGTATCCCTCAAAACCTTCAAGGACATAAAAAATGAAGAAATTCTTGATAAACTACCAGAGCCACAAGGAACATAAGGCAATACACTAAACACAGTATGGTCTCCTGGATGCCTACATGGAATTATGAAATAGAAAAATAACTTGGATAAAAACTAAGGGAATGCAAATAAATATAAACTTTAGTTAATATGAATGTATTAACATTGGTTCATTAATTATGGCAAATGTACCACACTAATGTAAAATATTAATAATAGGAAAAACTGCTTCTGGGGTATATGGGAACTCTCTGTATTATCCTCATATTATTTGTAAATCTATTACCATACAAAAGGAAAAAGGTTTATTAAATAGATGTCGATTAACACATTTATAGAATTGGCTTATCAGAAGATTAGACATAGCAAAAAATTAATTCAAAAACTTGTACAATGGAAATTATCCCATGTAAAAGGAAGAAAAATAATTTTTTTTTTTTTGAGATGGAGTCTCACTCTGTTATCAGGCTGGAATGAAGAGGCACAATAATGGCTCATAGAAGCTTTGACCTCCTGAGCTCAATGATTCTCCTGCCTCAGCCTCCTGAATGGCTGGGATCACAGGTGTGTGCCACACCATCTGGCTAAATTTTTTGGTTTTTGTAGAGACAGTCTTGCCATGTTATCCAAGATGGTCTTGAATTTCTAGGCTTAAGCAATCCTCCTGCATTAGTATCCCAAAGTGCTAGAATTACAGGCAATAAATTTAAAATAGAATTACATTACTATAAATTATAATGTTTGTGAAGTAATATAAACCAATTTAAGATAGACTGAATTAAGTTAAAGATGCATGTGGTAATCTAACCATAAGAAGGCAATAAAAGAAGAACAGAACAAAAAATAGGTGAGTCAAGTAGAAAACAAATAGCAAAATGGTAGAATTAAACTTAACCATATCTACAAATACATCAAATATAAATTAACTGAAAAGTCTAATTAAAAATTATTAATTGGCAGCCTGAGTTAAAAAAAAGAATGATAATCTAATGGTCTTTACAAAAGGTACAGTTTAAACAGAGATACACTGAAGCTAAAAGATGGAAAAATATATACCCTAAAAACACTAATTACAAAAAAAGCTGTTGTAGCTGCATTAATATCAGACTAAAAAATGAGTAATGCAGGAAATAATGGGGAATATTTTATAATAATAAAAGGATCAATTCATCATGACAACATAACAAACATAAATGTATATGCTGTGACTAACATAGTTTCAAAATATTTGAAGCCAACAGTGATATATCAGAAAAGACAAACAAATTCCTAATCATAAAAGAAGTTTTAGTAGTTTTCTTTCAGTAATAGATCAAAGAGTAGCACAAGGATATAGAATAGTTGAAAATCACTTTTAACCAGCTTGGTCTTATTGATATTTTTGAAATTGTTTCCCCATATTTTTATTATAGAGTCTTTTCAAATGTACTTAGAACATACACCAAGATAGACAATATTTCTAGCTATAAACAATCTCAACACATTTTCAAAATTAAAATCCTACTGAATATGTTCTGAAAACCCAATAGAATTTTTTAAAAACAGAAATAAATTTATAACTAAATTAAAACACACACACATCATTAAAGAAAAAATCAAAATAGAAATTTGAGAATATTTTGAGCTCAGTAAGAAGAACACAAAGTATCAAAATTTGTGTATGGAGGTAAGCAGTACTTAGCAGCAAACTTACAAGTTTAAAGACATATATATGTATACACACATATATGACAAATTTAAAAGGCATATATATAATAAGAATCAATTATTCAGTTTACTAAAACAACTAACATAACAAGAACAAATTAACATGGATAAAAAATAAAGAGCAAAAATCAATGAAAAAAGACAAGGTAAATAATAGAAAACATTAACAAAACTAAAAATTTGTTTGTAAAAATATTAATAAAATTGATAAACTCCTAGAAAAAGCCATCAGAAAAAGAGGAAAAGCATAATTTGCCAGTATCAAGAATAAAAAAGAAGCCATCTCACAGATTTTTTAGCTATTAAAAAGATTGCAATAGGGTATTATTAACAACTTTGTGCCAACAATATTGATTACTTGGAGGAAATAAACAAATCCCTTGACAAACACAGATTTTTTAAATTGGGCACACACACACACACACACACACACACACACACAATAGAAAATTTGAATATCCCTGTGTCTTTTAAATACACTTAAACAAAATATAATCTTTTCCACAAGGAACACTAGGTCTAGATGGCATAAATGTGAATTTTTCTTGAAGGAAGAAATAATTTCCATATTATACAAACTCTTTCAGACAATTAAAAAAAAACAACAACAGAACTCTTGTCTTCTGGTTTGGGGGCAGGATAGCCCTAATACTAATACAAGAGAAAAACAATACAGGAAAAAAAATCACTGAATAGTATCTTTCATGAACATAGAGAGGTTCTTAACAATGAGCAAATAGAATCTAGCTATGTATAAATGGGAAAATAAGGCTACCAATCCAAAAAGCTTAGAAAACTCCAAGGTAGGATGACATTTACTTCTAGACACATCACAGTCATACTGCAGAAAAACAAAGATAAAAAGATGAACTTAAAAGTAGCCAGAGAGGGGGAAAAAAGAAACTGAATATACAGGAAGACAATGATAAGAATGTTACCTGACCCTTCATCAAAAATAATGGAAGCCAGAAGATAATAGAATAATATTTTTAAAGTGTGAAAGAACAATTAACTGTTATATTTGCTAAAAACATCCTTCAAAAACTAATGGTGGCATAGAGATATTTTCAAACAGACAAAAGTTGAAAGAATTAAACTCCAGCAAAACTATCCTACAAGAAATAATAAAATAATTTACATAGGTTTAAAAGCAGTGACATCAGATAAAAACTCAGCTTTATAAGAAAGAATAGAGTGCATTTAAAAATATTTTGAAAATTATTTTTTGTTTTCTACACATAAATTGTTAAATATCCTTAAAGAGTACTGACTATGTAAGGTAAAAAAAAACCCAAAAGAACATAGATTTTATGCAATATGTAGAAGTAAAATAATAAGGCCTCAAAAGGCAGAGGGTAATAATTGGAAATATATTGTCATAAATATCTGAAATTGTGAGGTAATTAAATATTTTTGAGATAGTCATAATTTAAGAGTGTATATGATAATTTTTAAAGCAACTGTTTAAGAAATGTAAACCATGTAACTAAAAAATTATTAGAGGAAAAAATACTAAGATTAAACAGGATAATGCATTATAACCAAGTGGTGGTAGTCTCTAGAATGCAAAGTTGTCTCAATATTCTAAAGTCAATCAATATATTCACCATATTAATATAAAGTTTAAATTACATAATCATCTCAGTGTAATAGATATAGAAAAAACATCTGATAAAAGTCACTGCCCATTTATGAGGGGAAAAAAATCCTTCAGAAAACTGAAAGTAGAAGACTTTCTCAATCTGATAAAGTGTTATGCACATTATACTTTAACACAAAATATTGAACACCCTAACATCAAGGAGAAGGCAACAATCTTTGTTTTTCCCACTTCTGTTTGACATTGTACAGAAAGTACCGTAAGCCAAAAAAACAAAACAACCAAAAAAAAAAAAACAGAAGAAAGCACAAAGAACAGGAACAAGTAGAAATTTTACATTAAGTAAAACTGTCTTTGTTCATACATGACATGATTGTGAATGTAAAAATCCAGGGAAATCTACTTAAAAAAAGCTAGAATGAAAAGTGTAAGTATTTCTATACACAAGAAATAGAAATAAATAGGAAATGAAATTAAGTAAACAACATCATTTATAATAGCTTAATAGTTAAAATCCAAGTACAAATAAATAAATTTAACAAAAGATGTGCATCTATACATAGAGAAATTATAGTTCTAAATAAATGGAGATATATACCATATTCATGGATTTGAAGATTCAATCTTGTAATCTTTATTTTTCTCCCCATCAAAATCTATAGATTCAAACAATCTCAAGCAAAATCCAAGCAGATATTTTTGTAAAAATTGACAAACTAATTCTAAAATGTATACGGAAGTGCAAAGTGCTTAGAATGACCAAGTTTTAAAGATATAAAGTTAGAAGCAGGTTAAAGATATACAGTTAGGAGATTTACATTGCCTGATTTCAACACAGAGTGTAAAACTACAATATATTAGGCAATTAGTTATTGGCATAAGGATAGACAAATAGATTAATTGTACAGAATAGAGAACTTAGAATTGTATTCATATTTGTGAAGTTTATTGATTTATTAAAAAGATGTTAATAAAATTCAGTAGAGGAAAAAGTCTTTTCAGCACGTAACGTTAGAGAAACTGGATATCTCTATAAAAAATTAATCTTCACCCTTTTATTATGTCCTATACAAAAATTAGTCAGATGAAACATATACCTAAATATAAGAGCTAAAAATTAGAAAGCTTCATAATGAAAATATTGGAAGAATATTTTTATATTCTTGAAGTAAGCAAAAAATAAACAAAAACATGGATGAATCTCAGAAATATTATGTTGAATGAAAGAAGCCAAATATGAGTCTATACTATATGATTCCACTATATGAAGTTCCAGAACAGGCAAAAGTAATCTCTGGTTACAGAAATTGGAACAACAATTTCTCTGGAAGAGAGATATTGACTGGAAGTGCCACACGGAATGCTTCAGGGGCAATGGAAATGTTCTGTGTCTTGATTTGAATGATGTTAGAAGGGTATGAACATTTGTCAAAATTTGTTGAACTATACACTTAAAATCAAAGCATTATACTGTATGTAAAAAATACCCCAATTAGCAAATTTATAAGCAGGAATCTCCCTACTTTTGGTCAAAGCACCTCTGTCATTTGAAATATTGAGGTAAACCAAATCAGTGAGGTGAATTATGATTTCTCAATAAAAGCAGAAAGGGCAGATTTCATTTGGGGGACATATAACTACCTCTTCTCAAAATCATTCTCTGTCTGATGGTTAAATCCTAATATTATTTCGACAGAATGTGATTTAAAAAATAATTTCAGAGAGAAAGAGACCAACACAAATGTATTAAACATTGTTATCATAGTAAGGCAGCATTAATCAAGGACTGGATAAAATAGGAGGAAGGAGCTGAAAAGGAGACATCAGAGAAAAGGAAAGAGAGACAAAAAATTTACTTCATTCTTGAAGGAAAAAGATGTCCCTAAACAATCTGAACTCTATATTGTAGTGAATGGACTTAAACAACTCACTAACTTTGGTGACATCTCAGCAATTCTACTCACCGTATGTATGATTTTGGTGTGTCATTTTAACTCTTACCTTCACTTCCCTAAGTCTAGAATAGTAACTGCTACACCAAAGCTTATCATAAATACAACTTAAAGGGAAGTCTAGGCCAACCCTTTCCCCTAATCCTTTGAAATCTGCACCAAATACAGGGAAATAATGAGTCTTTATACTGCTACCCTTGTGTTCGTAGAGATAACTGGAGATGATATTTAGTCCACAAATTTGAAGAAAAAATTTCACAAAGTGAAAAAAGAGGTTGATTTCAAAGCTTCTTCTCGTTTTTTGTCTTTTGTTTTTTTTTTGTTTTTGTTTTGTTTTTACTTGAAGGCAACTATCTGATATAGATGGTTTTGTGGTTTAAGGAAGCAGAAAATGAGCATGATTTTATACACACCCATTTCTTCTGGGAATGTTTAAAGGAAAGATAAAAGATTGCTGACACTGCTGTATATAACATGGAAAGTATTGTGGACTGAAAAACCTATATTGTCCCAGCACTTTGGGAGGCCGAGACAGGCGGATCAGGAGGTCAGGAGATCGAGACCATCCTGGCTAACATGGTGAAACCCTGTCTCTACTAAAAATACAAAAAAATTAGCCGGGCGTGGTGGCGGGCACCTGTAGTCCCAGCTACTCAGGAGGCTGAGGCAGGAGAATGGCGTGAACCCGGGAGGCAGAGCTTGCAGTGAGCCGAGATCGCGCCACTGCACTCCAGCCTGGGCGACTGAGCGAGACTCCGTCTCAAAAAAAAAAAAAAAAAAAAAAAAAAAAAAAAAAAAAAAAAAAAAAATCTATATAGGTTATGCTGCATTTACGGAAAAAAGTTTCTTATTTTCCATGTAGACCATATGTTCTATGAAAACATTGTCTATTGTTGGGAGATATGTGTAAGTGTTTAGCCTTATAGTTAAGAAAATCATACGAAGAATAAAAAAGACATATCTAGACTTCATATGAGAGAGAAGAGACTTTGAATGGGATTGGATTCAAAGGATTAAAACCAACCTTGAAGTTCTCTAATATATTTTGGAGACTCATAACTGAATTTCTCTGCTGAAACAACGTATGATGTATTTCTCAACTTAATGCCTTAGCTTTTAGGAAAACATGTTTCTGTAGGATAGTGTGGCCTATGGTTTGCCCTGGAAGAAAAAGATGATGAAATCCAAGGTGATATCAATCCTCATAAACTGCAGATGTGGATTTTTAAAAGACAAGCAGAGATTTGAAACAATAATTAAAAAATATACCTCTCTGAGCATGAAGGAAGGGAGACTTGGGAGACTGAGAACAGGAGTTTGAACTGGGCCAGGCTTGGGAGACTGAGAACAGGAGTCTGAACTAGGCTGCTTCCCGAAGGCTATGATGAAGAGCTACTTCATTTATTCATCCATTCACCCAACTGTCTTCTATTTATTTATTGCCTTTTCTTTGGGGCTCGATGAAAATCATATTTTACATGCAGTTTTAAGTTATTCTTTCCTCTATTGTATAGAAAGTTCCATCTCTATAATATCTGTTGTAAATAGAGACTGGTATGGTAGGCTTGGAAGAACTGAGAGATACAAGAGCAAGGGAAATTTTCCTGTCCCGTTTCCTCATCTCCTGCTAATATCACAGGAGAAACAGCATCACCTGGAGGGGGAAGTCAGAGTTCCAGAGTTTTAGGCAATGGTGGGCAGCACAGCCAGTATGGTTCAAGAGGGAGCCAAGAGCAACAGAGAGAAACATGCAACCCAAAGCAGCAGCTGCAAGGAGGAGCAAGAAACAGTTTTAACACAAACTCCCCTTTCCCAAAATATGGGGAAAGGCAAGACTAGTCTAATACTTGCATTACATATGGATTATGTCAGATAACATATATTCTGCACATAGTAAGCACTGGATATATGGTAGCTATTAAAATAATAATAATAAATCTAAACGAATCCCACCTGGAACTATTTATCTGTGGAGGAATCTGGAGAGAGAGGTATGGCAGATCAAGAAGCCTCTGGGAATGAAGTAATATTATTTAAAACATCAACAAATACTGACAACATAGAAGCAATGAATGCTACAGCTGGGAAGTCTCAGTTATTTTAGTTTAACACTTTCATTTTACAAATGTATTAACTGAGTCCCCAAGAAATGAAGTGACTGGCTCAAAATCGCCCCGTATTTGTAGCAATGGAGCTGGGATTTTTTTCCAATAAAGTGGAATTTTTTTTTTTTGGATCATTTCCCAAGAAATGCTCAATGTCTGACATCCGCAAATAAATTTAAGAAAACTCTAAATAATACTTATAATAGATTTATCTTAGTGGGGATGTTACTGGCAGACAGTTTTCCAGAAAAATGATGCCATTCAGTGGGTTGGGTTTCAGTGATAAACATCAACTCAAAAGAATGAAAATTCTTCCCTATAAAATATCATAAAGGATGTTCAATTTTGTGAGTAACCTGAAAACCTGGTTTTCAGTTTTCCATGTTTGTATACACTGACAGTCTTGCTGAGACAGTAGAAAGTTATCTAAACCTCTTTTATACTACAAAATTGGAGTTCTTTGGACCAGGACCAAGGAAAGGGACAGAAGCCAGCCTGCTAATACAATGGGGGTTGTGACCATGGGATAAGGAGAGAGCTTGCACCCAGCACAGCCTGTGGTTAACTCAATGCAGAGAAGCTGGACTTGCAATGTTAGCCACAATCCTTTATCTCCATTTGGAATCTTCCAACTATAATTTTTAATTGATATACAATATTTTAGATATTTATTGAGGATATGTGAGTATTTGTCACATACATTCCCCTTTCCCCATATCCACACCAACATCTATTGTTTTTTTGACTTTTTAATAATGGTTTTTCTTGCAGGAGTAAGATGGTATCTTATTGTGGTTTTAATTTGCATTTCCCTGATAATTAATGATATTGAGCATTTTTTCTTAAGTTTGTTGGCCATTTGTGTATCTTATTTTAAGAAATGTCTATTATGTCCTTTGCCTACTTTTTAATAGACTTACTTGTTTTTTCTTGCTGATTTGTTTGGGTTCCTTGATTCTGGTTACTAGTCCTTTGTCAGACGCATAGTTTGCAAATATTTTCTCCCACTCTGTAGGTTGTCTGTTTACTCTTCTGATTATTTCTCTTGCTGTGCAGAACCTTCTCAGTTTAATTAGGTATCATTTATTTATTTTTGTTTTTGTTGTGTTTGCCTTTGGGGTCTTAGACATACATTCCTTGCCCTGGCCGATGTCTAGAAGAGCTTTTCCAACATTGTCTTGTATAATTTTCATAGCTTCAGGCCTTATATTTAAGTCTTTGATCCATCTTGAGTTGATTTTTGTATAAGGTGAGAAGTAGGGATCCAGTTTCATTCTTCCACATGTGGCTTGCCAGTTTTCCCAGCACCATGTATTAAATAGGATGTCCATTTCCCAATATATGTTTTTGTATACTTTGTCAAAAATCAGTTGGTTGTACATATTTGGCTTTATTTCTGGGTTCTCTATTCTGTTACATTGGTCTATATGCCTGCTTTTATACCAGTACCAAGCTGTTTTGGTAACTATAGCCTTGTAGTATGATTTGAAGTCTGGTAATGTGATGCCTCCGGATTTGTTCTTTTTGCTTCGGATTGCTTTAGCTATTTGGGCTCTTTTTTGGTTCCCTGTGAATTTTAGAACTGTTTTTCCTAATTCTGTTAAAAATGGTCTTGGTATTTTGATAGGAATTGCATTGAATCTGCAGATTACTTTGAGCAGTGTGGTCATTTTCGCAATATTGATTCTTCCAATTTGTCAGCATAGGATGCACTTTCATTTGTTTGTGTCGTGTGTAATTTTTTTTCAGCAGTGTTTTGTAGTTCTCCCTGTAGTGATCTTTTATGTCCTTGCTTAAGTATATTCCTAGGTATTTAATATTTTTTGCAGCTGTTGTAAAAGGCATTGGGTTCTTGATGTGAGTCTCAGCTTGGTTACTGGTGGCGTATAGCAGTGCTACTGATTTGTGTACATTGATTTTGTAATCTGAGACTTTACTGAATTCATTTATCAAATCTAAAAATATTTTGAAGGAGTCTTTGGAATTTTCTAGGTATACAATTTATATAATCTGCAGATGGTGATAGTTTGACTTTCTCTTTTCCAATTTGGATGCCCTTTATTTCTTTCTCTTGCCTAATTCCTCTGACTAGGACTTCCAGAACTATATTGAATAGGAGTGGTGAAAGTGGGCATCCTTGTCTTGTTACTTTTCTCAAGGGGAATGCTTTCAACTTTTCTCCATTCAGCATGATGTTGACTATGAGTTTGTCATATATGGCTTTTATTTTTTTTATTTTATTTATTTATTTATTAAAAAAAGACAGGGTCTTGCTACGTTGCTCAGGCTGGTCTCAAACTCAGGGACTCAAGCGATCCTCCCACCTTAGCCTCCCAACATGTTGGGATTACAGGCGTGAGCTGCTGTTCCTGGCCTGGCTTTTATTATTTTGAAATATGTCCATTCTATGCTGAGTTTTTTGACTTTTTATCAAAAAAAGCTACCAATTTTCTTTAATGCTTTTTCTGTATCTATTGAGATGATAATATAGTTTTTGTTTTCAAATTCTGTTTATGGGATGTATCACATTTATTGACTTGCATAGGTTAAATCATCCCTGCATTTCTGGGATGAAACCCACTTGATCATAATGAATTATCTTTTTGATGTGCTGTTGGATTCAGTTAGCTAGTATTTTGTTAAGGATTTTTGCATCTAAGTTCATCAGGGAAATTGTTCTGTCATTTTTGTTGTGGTTGTTGTGTCTTTTCCTGGTTTTGGTATCAGAGTGATACTAGCTTCATAGAATGATTTAGGGAGGATTCCTTCTTTTTCAATCTTTTGGAATAATTTCAGTAGAATTGGCACCAGTTCTTCTATGAATGTCTAGTAGAATTTAGCTGTGAATCCATCTGATCCTGGGCTTTTTTTTTTCTGTTGGCAATTTTTAAATTACTGATTCAATCTCGCTGCTTGTTACTAGTCTGTTTCTATTTCTTCCTAGTTTAATCTAGGAGGGCTGTATGTTTCCAGGAATTTATCCATTTCCTCTAGGTTTTCTAGCTTGTGCACATTAAGGTATTCATAGTAGTCTCGAATGATCTTTTGTATTTCTGTGGTGTCAGTTATAATGTCTCCAGTTTCATTTCTAATTGAGGTTTTTTGGATCTTCTCTCTTCTTTTCTTGGCTAATCTAGCTAATGATCTATTGATTTTGTTTATTTTTTTCAAATAACCAGCTTTTTCTTTCATTGATCTTTTAATTTTTTTGTTTGAATTTCATTTAGTTCTGCTCTTTTCTTTGTTATTTATTTCCTTCTTCTAGCTCTAGGTTCAGTTTGTTCTTGTTTCTCCAGTTACTTGAGGTGTGACATTAGGTTGTCAATGTGTGTTCTTTAAAACTTTTTGATGTAGGCATTTAGTGCTATAAGCTTTCCTCTTAGCTTTTGCTGTATCCCAGAGGTTTTGATAACTTGTGTCATTATTATCATTCAATTCAAATTATTTTTAAATTTCCATCTTGATTTCGTTGTTAACCCAGAGATCATTCAGGAGCAGATTATTTAATTCCATTTGTTTGTATAATTTTAGGGATTGTTTTTGGAGTTGACTTCTAGTTTTATTCTACTGTGGCCTGAGAAGATACTTGATATGATTTTGATTTCTTAAAATTTATTGAGACTTGTTTTGTGGCCACTCACATGGTCTATCTTGGAGAATGTTTCATGTACTGATGGGAAGAATGCATGTTCTTCAGATCTTGAGTAGAATATTCTGTAAATATCTGTTAAGTCCATTTGTTCTTGTGTGTCACTTAAGTCTATTGTTTCTCTGTTGACTTTCTGTCTTGAAGACCTGTCTAGTGCTGCCAGTGGTATACTGAAGTCTTTCACTAATATTGTTTTGCTGTCTATTTTGTTTCTCAGGTCTAGTAGTAATTGTTTTATGAATCTGGGAGCTCCAGTGTTTGGTGCATATAAATTGAGAATTATAATATCTTGTTAAATTAATTCATTTGTTATTATATAGTGACTATCATTGTCTTTTTTTTTTTTTTGAGATGGAGTCTCACTGTCACCCAGGCTGGAGTGCAGTGGTACGATCTCGGCTCACTGCAGGCTCCGCCCCTGGGGTTCACGCCATTCTCCTGCCTCAGCCTCCCAAGTAGCTGGGACTACAGGTGCCTGCCACCACGCCCGGCTAATTTGTCTTTTTTTTACTGTTGTTACTTTGAAGTCTGTTTTGTCTGATATAAAAATAGCTATTTTTGTGCATGCCTGTTAATCCCAGGGAGGTTGAAGTGGGTGAATCACCTGAGGTCAGGAGTTTGTGACCAGCCTGATTCACATGGTGAAACTTCGTCTCTACTAAATACAAAAAAATTTGTATTTTTTTTTGTACACTGGGTGTGGTGGCGCATGCCTGTAATCCGAGCTAATTGGGAGGCTGAGACAGGAGAATCACTTGTACCTGGGATGCGGAGGTTACAGTGAGCCGAAATCACACCATTGCACTCCAGCCTGGGCAACAAGAGTGAAACTCCATCTCAAAAAAAAAAAAAAAAAAAAAAAAAAAAAAGAAAGCTATTTCTGCTCTTTTTTGGTTTCCATTTATATGGAATACCTTTCTACCTTTTTCTATCCTTTTACCTTGAGTTTATATGACTCTTTCCAAGTTAGGTGAGTCTCTTGAAGACAACAGATACTTGGATTGTGATTTTTTATCCATTCGGCCATTCTATATCTTTTAAGTGGAGTGTTTAGGCCATTTACATTCAACATTAATATTGAGATGTGAGGAACTGTTCTCTTCATCGTGTTAATTCTTACCTAGATAGTTTTATTGCATTGTTATTGTTTTATATACCCTATGAGTTTTAAGTTTTCAAGAGGTTCTATTTTGATGCATATTGGGCTCTCATTTTAGGGTTTAGAACTCCTCTTAGTATTTGCTGTAATACTGGTTTAGTAGTGACAAGTTCCTTCAGCATTTGTCTGAAAATGACTTTATTTTTCCTTCATTTATGAAACTTAGTTTTGCAGGATACAAAATTATTGGCTGACAGTTGTGTAAGGAGGTTGAAGATGAGACTCCAGTCCCTCTAGCTTATAAGATTTCTGCTGAGAAGTCTGCTGGTAGTCTGATCAGTTTTCCTTTGTGGGTTACCTGATGCCTTTCTCTTACTGCTGAAGGAATTCTTTCCTTCATATTGCCTTTAGATAACCTAATGACTACATGACTTGCTGAAGATCTTTATGCTATGAATTTCCCAGGAGGATCACTTGTACCTGGGAGGCAGAGGTTACAGTGAGCCAAAATCGTGCCATTGCACTCCAACCTGGGCAAGAAAAGCGAAACTCTGTCTTGCAGTGTCCTGGATTTGGATATCTAGATTTCTATCCAGGCCAGAGAAGTTTTCCTCAATTATTCCCTCAAATAAGTTTTCCGGACTTAACTGTTTTCTCTTCTCCCTCAGGAACACTGATTATTCTTAGGTTTGGCCATTTTACATAATCCCTCATTTCTTGGAGACTTTGTTCATTTCTTTTGATTTCTTCTTTATTTTTGCCTAATTGATTAAATTCAAAAGCCTTGTCTTCAAGCTCTGAAATTTTTATTTTACTTGTTCTAGTCTATCATTAAAACTTTCCCCTGCATTTTGTAATTCTCTCAGTGTTTCTTTAATTTCCAGAACTTCTGATTTGGTTTTTCTTTATGATATTTCTCTCTCTAGAAATTTTTTAATTCATATCCTGAACTGCTTTTTTAATTTCTCTATGATGGTTTCACCTTCCTCTGATATCTCCTTGAGTAGCTTGATAATTGACCTTCTGAGTTCCTTATCTGGTATTTTGAAGATTTCATCTTAGTTTGGGTCCATTGCTGGAGAGCTAGTGTGATATTTTGTGGGTGTTATAGCATCCTGTTTTGTCATATTAACAGAGTTAGTTTTCTGGCTTCTTCTCATTCTTGAATGTACATATGATTTGACTGTGTTTCTTTGAGTTTGTTTGCTTGTTTGTTTTTAAATGCTTTTTTCCCCTTAAGGACAAGACTTTAATGCTTAAAGTTAATTATAGTCTAATTCAGTTATTGGTGCTTTCAGGGGTGATGACTCTATAAGAGTTCCTTGATTACAGAAAGTCTTTGTATGGTGGCTTTCTTATATGCTGGCTGTAGTAGCAATGTGCCAAATGTATGAGCAAGTTCACTATCTTCTAGGGGGTTGGAATGATCAAGGTATTTTAAAGCTTATCTTATCCCCCCCGTGGCATGCACTTTTTTTATTTATTTGTTTTTCCTCAATGTTTTATTTACTGGTTTGATGATTTAGGATTCATTCCTGGGTAGGAACTGGTTGCAGATAAAGCAGGTGGATAAATGAAGTTGCAACCTTGACAGAGGTGGGTGGAGGAGGCCTCAGTCTGTAGCACTAAGGTCTTATCAGGGGAAAGAGTTGGAGCTACTTCAGCTCCCCAGCTGGGTCAGCAGGAAAGGTATCCACCTCTCAGACACACTCCTGTCTCAGTGCTCTGGCTACTCACATCAGATAGGCACCCCTTTTCATCTGTAGGAATGTTGATGTTCCAAGCAGAGAAGAACTGTGACTCTGTCTCTCATGCAAGCCTGAACCTGGAGGGTGCTCCTTTTGTGGGGATGCAGTCACCCTGATAGATCCCAGAAAGGCTGTCTATAGTTGCACTCATGCTGAGATCTTGTGGAAGAAGCACCACTGTGCATACAGTGGTAGACAAGTGAGGAAAGATTTTTTCTTCTCCAAGACCCCTCATGTGCATCAGGGCTGTCTGACTATTGGGATAGAGCTGAAGACTTTTTCTGCTGGGTCCAGCACTGCAACTGTGCCTCTGCTGAAAGAAACTACACCAGCAAAATGATCCAGTGTTCAAGGCCTGCCATCCAGATTATTTTGTCCCACAGGGCGTTTCCTTGGTGTGGTGCACTCTCCCTTCCCCTAGAAGTGGGAGTCCCTGGGAGCCAGACTACTGTGAGCGAGCTGAGTTCCAGTCAGCCTGAAACTACCCTGAGTCATAAGCTTTCCCTGTGAAGACAGAAATTGCGGCTTTCAGGCCACGCCCCTCCCCATCGGCTGCAAAGCTGGACGCCTGGCTCCTCCATTCATGACTCCTACACTTGCAGCCTACTTTTCACTCTCCCGCTCACTCCAGCCCTGACCAAGGGAGTTCATCCCCATCTGAGGTTACATCATCATGATACCCAGCTGGGGACTTCTTTCAACCTGCGACCACTTCCTGAACTTTTTGGCAGTCCTCTGCAGGAACCCCTGTGAAGAACAGTAAGGAATAGCTGTCCCCCAGCTCGCACTGGGATCTGGGAATGCATGCAAGGGTCTTCCCACTGCTGCTCCTACTTTTATATTCCACAACCCTCCCAAAGTTGGTTCCTGTGCTGGGTGGGGTTAGGGCCTTCCCCTATGGCCTGGACTTTCAGGGTCCCTAGTGGGGGTGTATGTCTCAGAGGCAGTCTCTCCTTCTCTCACAATCTGGGGACTTGCAAGCCTTCACCTGACTCACAGTGTGGGCTGCAGCCTCCTGCTTCCTTCAAAGGGTATGTAATTCCTTCAGTTTTACTGTTCAGTTCCTGTGTTGCTTCTTGAAAAAAATTTCACAGTGTGAATCGCTACACGCTATTTCGTCCCTCCAAGTGGGAAAGGTATGCTAGCAATGCCTCTAATCTGCCCCTTTGAACAAAACAAACAAACACACAAAACAACTAGATGCTTTTTATTTTCTGCTTTTGCTTGATTGTTCTGGCGAGGACTTGCAGTGCTATGTTGAATAAGAGTGGTGAAAGTGGGTATCTTGTGTTCCAGTTCTTAAAGAAAAGGTTTTCAGCTTTTCCTTATTCAGAATGATGTTAGCTGTGGGCTTGTCATATGTGGCCTTTATTATGTTGAGGTATGTTCTTTCTATGCCTAGCTTGTTGAGAATTTTTATCATCAAGGGATGTTAAAATTTATGAAATGCTTTTCCTGCATTTATTGAGAAGAATTGTTACATGGTTTTTGTCCTTTATTCTGTCGATGTGATGTTTTATATTTATTGATTTGCATACGTTGAACCATCTTTTCATCCCTGGGATAAATCCCACTTGATCACGGTTTATTATTTATTCGATGTGCTGTAGAATTTGGTTTGTGAGTATTTTTGTTGGGATTTTTTGCATCTGTGTTCACCGGGGGTATTATCCTATAGTTTTCTTTTTTGTTGTTGTTGCATTCTTGTCTGCTTTTGGTAACAATGTAATACTGGTTTTGTAAGAATGAGTTACATTCTTATGAAAGGAGAATTCTCTCCTTTTCATTTTTTGGAATAGTTTGAGGAGAACTGGTGTTATTTATTTTTTGAAAGTTTGGTAGGATTCAGCAGTGAAGCTATTCAGTCCTGGATTTTTGTTGGGAGACGTTTATTATGGTTTCCATCTCATTACTTATTATTGGTCTGTTTAGGTTTTCTATTTCTTCCTGACTCAATGTTGGTAAATTGTATGTGTCCAGGAATTTATCCATTTTGTCTCAGTTCTCCAGTTTGTTCGTGTGTAATTGTTCATAATAGTCTTTAATGACCGTTTGTATTTCTGAGGTATCAGTTATAATGTTTCCTTTTTCATTTCTGATTTTTTTTTTTAGGTCTTCTTTCTTTCTTTTCTTGGCCAGTCTCACAAGTGGTTGATTAATTTTGTTTATATTTTCAAAAATCAGCTTTTTGTTTCATTCACCTTTGTATTTTTTTAAGTCTCTATTTTATTTAGTTCTGCTGTGATCTCTATTATTATTTTCCTTCTGCTAACATTGGGCTTAGTTTGCTGAGTTTTTTTATCCTTTCATTCAGTCTATACTATATTCTTTAAGAGGAAATTTCAATATATTTACATTTAAGGTTAGTATTGATATGTGAGGTCTTATTTCTTTCATTTTATTAATTCATTTCTGGTTGTTTTGTATATACTTTGTTCCTTTTTTTCTCTCTTAATATTCGTCATTGTGGTTTTCAGTAGTAGTAATATTTGAGTCTTTTCTTTTCCTTTTTCATATGTTTGCTCTACCGGGGGTATTTATGTTGTCATGTGTTTTTATGATTGTAGATACTGTTCTTTCACTTCCGGGTGTAAGACTCTTATGCAGTTTTTGTAGGGCCCATCTGGTGGTGATCAATTTCTTCAGGTTTTCCTTGTCTGTGATAGACTTAATTTCTCTTTCATTTATGAAGAAGAATATTACTGAGTCATCCTTGGCTGACAGATTTTTCTGTCAACACTTTGAACGTATCATGCTATTCTCCTCTGGTCTGTTAGGTTTCTGCTGAGAAATCATCTGTTAGGGTTTTGTTTTGTTTTTTTTTATAAGTGGCTAGATGCTTTTGTATTGCTATTTTCCAAATTTTTCCCTTTGACTTTTGACAGTTTGACTATAATGTGCCATAGAGAATACCTTTTTGCACTGTATCTGTTTGGGAATCTCTGAGCTTTCTGTATCTAAATGTCTAAATATCTTGCTAGACTTGGGAAGTCTTCATCTATTTTTTATTAAATTCATTTTTGAACTCTTTTGTTTTCTCTTCACCTTCTGGTATTCAGAGAATTTGAATATTTGGTGGCTTTGTGTTGTCCCATATATCACATAGTGTTTGCTCATTCTTTTAAATTCTGTTTTCTTTATTTTTGCCTAATTGGGTTATTTTTAAAGACCTGTCTTCAAGTTCTGAGATTCTTTTCTCTGCTTAATCCACTGTATTGTTGAAGCTTTTAAATGTACTTTATATTTCATTCAATTTTTTAGTTCTAGAATTTCTGTTTTTTTTTTAAATGATCTTTATCTTTCTGGCAAATTTCTCATTGATATTCTGCATTATTTTTATGATTAATTTGTATTGTGTAGTATTCTCTTGTATCTCACTGAACTTCTTGAAAATCAATATTTTAAATCCTTTCTTTAGGATTTTGTAATTTTTTTACAATTAGGATCTGTTGCTGGAGAATTATTGTGTTCCTTTGGAGATGCCTTATTTTCTTGCTTTTCTCTGTTTCCTATGTCCTTATGTTGATATATGCATATTTGGTGAGACAATTGCTTCCTTTAATTTTTTTGAATTTGCTTTCATAGGAGAGGATTTTTCTTGAAGATATATCTATGGTGTTGGTCGAGTAGGACACTTTGGTTTTGATTCTTGGTGCATGCAGTAGCGTAGTTTCTGTATGAGTTCCTCTGTAAACAAAATCAATGGTGTCTGTGATTTTCTTGGTGGCTTAAGGGGTTATTGTTAGTGAAGGCTGCAGTGAATTTTGCTTGAGACAGGGATGTCAGGTGGGCCAGTCTTCAGAACCCAGTGGTGGCAAGGGTGGCCTGAGTGTGCCTGTCCTTGGGATCTAGGGTGGCATATGCAGGCAGTGGTATTAGCAGGTCAGGTGGGCCAATTCTTGAGTCTCTAGGTAGCTTGCTTGGATTCTTATAATGGAGGAAGTAGGTAAGTTATTGGGCTCCTGAACAGCAAATGTGGCCCAGGTAATGGCAGTTAAGTGGTGGGACAACTCTCCGAGTCTTGAGTGGTGCACACTGCACAGTGGCTGTGTTGGGCTAGGTGGGTCAATTTCCAGGCCCACAGGTAGTACATGCAGATGGATTCTAGCCATGGTGGTAGTAGCAGGGTGGGTGTGTCCAACTGCAGGCACTTGGGAGGAGTGCTCACATGCCCAGATTCCCCTGCCTGCAGCTTCTGACACTCTGGGTTGCTGCCACCAGGGCTGAAGTGGCGAGTGGGAGGGAGGTTGATGCTGCCAGGCCGACAGTGGTGGACTGGCCTGGGTGGTCCCCAGGCCACTTTATTACATGCTCTGGCACTGGGAGCAGGGAGTGAAGCTGGGCCACGGGGGCTTGTCCTCAGTTCCCTGGCAGTGCAGGCACTGGCTGTGGTAGGCAGAGTCAGGGTGGTCCCCAGAATCTGGGTAGAATGTTCAGCTGGGGGGTAGCAACAGCTGCTACTGAAGAGGGCAGTGTTGCTCTCAGTGGCAGCCGCAGGCAGGCAGGTGAGGAGCGTGCACTTTGTTCATATTTCGGCCTTTGTGCTGGCAGCCCTCACTTTGCTTGTTCCTCAGCCCCGGCAGCAGCAACCTCCCTCCCACTCGCCACTTCAGCCCTGCTGGCGGCAACCCAGAGTGTCAGAAGCTGCAGGCAGGGGAATCTGGGCATGTGAAAATGCATGGTGGCTCCACTGCCAGGGGCAACGGAGTCACTGTTGGCGGCCCATGCCTTGGTTCTTTGCAGTCTATTGAGGGATGAGCTCTTAAAATGGCACCTTGCTGTAACTGCATAGGACTCTGGGCTGTGAGGGACGCACTGTGAGCTTCCTTGCTGGAGCGTTGTGTGGTCTCCAGGAAGCTCCCTATATCAGCTTCAGGGCCTGCTATAGTCAAGAGACTCTCCAGTGACTATGTTTGCAGGAGTCTATGGTGGGAATGTGGACCGCTGGGGGGGTCTCTGATTTACTCTTTCCTCACAATGGGGAGACTCTCCAGGTCCCCAGTCAGTCTCAACCCAGCAGGCTGCCTCATTTATCTTTCCTTCCCTGCTTTGGGGCTTCCTGTCACTTCTCTGTTGAATTCCAGTGTTCTCTCTCAGACGATCTATTTGAAGTGTTACTATCTGCTCACTATTTTGGTTCTTTGTGGAGAAGGTGAGTATGAGATGTCTGTAGTGAGCCATCTTGAAGCCTGTTCTATAACTGTCTTTGGTCAGTAAGCTATTATCCTGGGAAACAATATCTATTGTCATGCACAAAAATATCTTTACACATCGTGAAATGCTGTCACAGAGGGGAAGGGATGAACTTCAACTTTCAGAACCAGCACTAGCACCTGTGGTTTTTAATTCTTAGATTTTTCCAGGAGATCAAGACGTCATACCACCATTGTTAATTCCAAGTTGGTAAAGGTGTGTAACAGCCAAGGTAGCTGCTGTGCCTGAGGTCAGATGGTCTGGATCATTAAAAATAGTCTTTCAGCCAGGCGCAATGGCTCATGCCTGTAATCCCAGCACTTTGGGAGTCCGAGGCGGATGGATCACCAGAGGTCAGGAATTCGAGACCAGCCTAGCCAACATGGTGAAACCCCGTCTCTACTAAAAATACAAAAAGTAGCTGGGTGTGGTGGCGCACACCTGTAGTCCCAGCTACTCGGAAGGCTGAGGCAGGAGAATCGCTTGAAGCCGGGAGACAGAGGTTGTGGTAAGCCAAGATTGCACCACTGCACTTCAGCCTAGGCGTCAGAGCAAGAGTCCATCTCTCTCTCTCTCTCTCTCTCTCTCTCTCTATATATATATATACACACACAAGTATTATTTTATTTATTTATTTATTTTTCTACAGTAGGACAGCTGCTTTAACATCTATTTGCTCATGAATCCAAATTCTGGTCAACCTCTTAATAAAGAAGTGACCTCTGCCTGGCCGCCACACCGTCTGGGAAGTGAGGTGCCCCTCTGCCCGGCCACCCCGTCTGGGAAGTGAGGAGCACCTCTGCCCGGCTGCCCAACGTCTGGGAAGTGAGGATTGCCTCTGCCCGGCTGCCACCCAGTCTGGGAAGTGAGGAGCTCCCCTGCCCAGATGCCCACCATCTGGCAGAGGAGCGCCTCTGCCCGGCCACCGCCCTGTCTGGGATGTGAGGAGCACCTCTGCCCGGTCCCCCAACCCTCACCATCTGGGATGTGAGGAGCACCTCTGCCCGGCCCCCGCGTTGTCTGGGATGTGAGGAGCCCTCTGCCCAGCCGCCCCGTCTGGGAAGTGAGGAACATCTCTGCCCGGCCGCTGTGCAACCTTCCAATTGTGAAGTGATAGCCTTGTGTGTGATCTTTCTGCCTTCCCCAAGTTTGCATTTTCGACATTAAAGTTTACTTTTTAATTAAAAGTTAAAAATAGATAAATAATAAAGAAGTGGCCAAATTAACCTATCATCAAAAGCTTATTATGCTGACATACACAGTTTCCTTAGAAACAATGTATGTCTAAGCATATCTAGTCCTCTCTTCTCCAGAGTCTCCCAGAGATTTTCCATATGCAAGTCTTGCCTCCCTTATCTCAGGTTTTCTGTCTGTCAACCGTCTCCCCAGGTCAGGTCTTCTTTATAGGGATCCTCGTTTTAGGTGCTGCCCAGATGCTACTCCCAGCAGTGCAAAGGGTTTTATTCTCAGGATACGGAAAACTCATATTCAAGCTCTAGGTGAAGGAGCTAAAGACAAAAGCTGAGTCTAAAATGGCATGGATGTTGAGGTTGAGATAGTGAGTAAAGACTAGAGAACAGAAGAATAACTGAAAATAATTTCACTCTTTTTACCTACTACTTAGAGAAGACTATAACTTTAGATATACACACACACACACACAAATATATACATATTAGGTTGGTACAAAAGTAATTGCGGTTTCAGACTGTGAATTTTAAATCCATATAGCTAATTTCAGACACATCTTTATTAAGCAAAATAGGAACGATTACAGTCAACACATTCTTGCCAATGAGAAATAAGTTTGTTTATTCCTGTAGGTATAACAAGCCTTCCTTCAGGACTCGACGAACTCTTGGAAAGCATTTTCTGAATTCTGCTGGTTGTGAAAGCATTTTCCCTGCAAAACGTTGTCTAGATGCTTGAAGAAGTGGTAATCGGTTGGCAAGAGGTCATGTGAATATGGCGGATGAAGCAAAACTTCATAGCCCAATTCGTTCAACTTTTGAAGCATTGGTTGTGCGACATGCAGTTGGGAATTGTCATGGAGAAGAATTGGGTCCTTCCTGTTGACCAATGCTGGCTGCAGGCATTGCAGTTTTCCATGCATCTCATTGATTTGCCAAGCATTATTCTCAGATGTAATGGTTTTGCCAGGATTCAGAAAGCTGTAGTGGATCAGACTGGCAGCAGATCACCAAACAGTGACCATGACCTTTTTGTGGTGCAAGTTTGACTTTGGGAAGTGCCTTGGAGCTTCCTCTCAGTCCACCTACTGAGCTGGTCATTGCTGGTTGTCATATAAAATCCACTTTTCATCACATGTCACAATCCGATTGAGAAATGGTTCGTTGATGTTGCGTAGAATAAGAGAAGACAACACTTCAAAAATGACGATTTTTTACATTTTCACCCAGTTCATAAGGCACCCATTTATGGAGCTTTTTCACCTTTCCAATTTGCTTCCAATGCCAAATGACCATAGAATGGTCAACGTTGAGTTCTTCAGCAACTTATCATGTAGTTGTAAGAGGATCAGCTTCAATGATTGTTCTCAATTGGTCGTTGTCAACTTCTGATGGCCAGGCACTATGCTCCTCATATTTTTTTTTTTTGGGGGGACAGAGTCTCGCTTTGTCGCCCAGGCTGGAGTGCAGTGGCGCGATCTCGGCTCAATGCAAGCTCCACCTCCTGGGTTCACGCCATTCTTTTGCCTCAGCCTCCCGAGTAGCTGGGACTACAGGCGGCCACCACCTTGCGTGGCTAATTTTTTTTTGTATTTTTAGTAGAGACAGGGTTTCACCGTGTTAGCCACGATGGTCTCAATCTCCTGACCTCGTGATCCGCCCGCCTCAGCCTCCCAAAGTGCTGGAATTACAGGTGTGAGCCACCGCACCTGGCCTATGCTCCTCATCTTTAAGACTCTTGTCTCCTTTGCAAAACTTCTTGGACCACCGCTGCACTGTATGTTCATTAGCAGTTCCTGGGCCAAATGTGTTGTTTATGTTGCGAGTTGTCTCCACTGCTTTATGACCCATTTTGAAAAGCTCCAATTTACTTTTGGTCTAACATCATTTCCGTAGTCTAAAATAAATATAAAATAAACAGCAAGTAATAAGTCATTAGCAAAAAAAAAAAAACAAGACATGCATGAAAATGTGTAACATAACCACATTTATTTAAGAATGTATTCTAATATCAAATGCCAAATTTAAACAATGCAAAAACTGCAATTACTTTTGCGCCAATCTCATTGTATTTTCTAAAACACATTTTATATGATATATACATTCATATATAAGAGTATTTATATATGTATATTTATACGTAAATTTAAAAATACAACTCAAATAGCTACCAGAGTTAAACCCTTAATTCAGTAATTTACATGGCCCGCAATTCCTGTGAGAGATCAGAGTCACTTGTTCTGATTTCTACAGGAAGGCACTCTGAGAGCTGGACCCCTTTTTACTGGATAAGGAGCTGCGTCAAGCCTGGGCTTTACATCTTTTTGCACTACCCAGACAAAACAATCCCTGAGACCTCCTACTTGCCATGTCATTACCACTACAGAACCAAGGAGGGGCTGTACTTGCTTCCCTCTTAGATGTTCACTGTTTCATTCACACCCAAGATTCTCTAGAATTCAGAGAAATTCCCCAAAACTCTTTGGGCCCCTTTATCTTCCTAAGTCACATCTCAGAAAACTTCTCACTATTTGTGAAATCGACAGCCCACATCACAAGTACACCCCTGTGTCTTTTCCTTCTTCAACTTCCCCAACCAGCTGCTCTCTGTAGCATCAGGATTTGGATTATATCAATTCTTTTGACATTGCCTCTTTTGGATCTTTGTTTTCCTAAGGGGAGCCCAGTTTAATTGAGTGTGGATGTTAGTATCATACAATCAGCAGCCAGATGGTCCAGAGACAGGGATTTTGATACATGTGGTCTCTGTCCTTCAGAAGGAAGTGATTGCTGCTTCTCGCTGTGTCTGAGATGCTGTAGGTATTGGCAGTATTAACAATAGGCCTCTCAGTGCAAAGCAAACGTGACATATAATAGAGCACAATCTCATCCTGAGATGTCTTTCTCCTAGTATGCATCCTCCAGCCAGCAGAGTTCTGGAGAGAATTCTGAGACTGCCACAGGGCATCTGGTTCCAGTTCAAATTCGCAAAGTTTGTAAATGAGTGAACTGAGGCCCAGATAAGACTCCCTCAGAAAGTAAGTTACTGGCAGACACAAAACTAGAGGCCAGATTACTAAACTCTCATTATAGTGCTCAGTTTTACCCACATTCTGGATCTAGATAATTAAAATAGAATGCATAATCATTTACTGTATATCTAGTATATTGTATAGTAGTGTATACATAAATATTAAAAATTAATATAAAAAGTACATGAAAATACAAATAAGTTAACATAAAGAAAAGTCTCAAAGTGGTTATAACTGCATTGACACATGGAAGGAAACTGCTTTTACAAGAGAAACCAGGAGTCAAAAAAGTGATGTGACCTGGGGAGAGAGCTGCTGTGACATCCTCAGAATTTCTATGACTATGATAGTAACCCATGAAATTATTTGACATGTAAGTCTTGTGTATTGAGATATAGTGCAGTTGCCTAGACTTATGGAAATACTGAATGTGGAGGAGAGGATAGCCAATACCCCTCTTCCAAGTTCATTTCAATTGTTTATTCAACTAATATTAAGCTTTTATTATATTGTAGACACTGTGCAAAGCATTGGAAATGAAACAGGTGACCAGATCATCATGGAATTTTGTCCTGATGGTACTTAAGAGTCTTTAAGCCTAGAACTCTAACACCTGGTGTGACTACACTTAATAACTCCATAATATATACTGGAAATTTGTGAAGAGAGTAGATTCCAAGTGCTCTCAGCAAAAAAAAAAAACAAAAAGGGAAAAAAAAGATAGCTACATGAGGAGATGGACATGTTAATTTGTTTCAATGCAGTCATCATTTCAATATGAATATATACATCAAAACACACTGTACATGTTAAATATATACAACTTTTATTTTTAAAAACACTCTATGGAAGAATATGAAGTACGTCACAGAACGTCAGGAAAAACAAAGTAGTTTTATCAGAAAGCGTTGTGGAATTCCAACTTTAACTCATTGGGCATGCTTCCATATTTGCTGAATTGTCTAAAATTTTAGCTTTAATAAAATCATTTCTACTATACAAAAGTATAGTTGTGATGACAGTGTGATATTTCAGTGAGTCTAGATAAATATATCAATGAAAAGAATGTGGCTTCCAGAAGTAAACTCCTACGGACATGGTCATTGATGTTTGACAAGACCAATAAGGCAACTTAATGGGAAAAGTTTTCTCAACATACTGTGCAGGAACTGAATAGTTACGTGGAAGAAAGTAAGCCTTGATTCTCACTTCACCTGATACACAAAAATTTATTCAAGATGGGCAATAGAGCTAAAATAAGAGGTCGAATCATAAACCTGCATGAAGAAAATATAAAGGAATATTTACAACATTGGGGTAAGGAAATATTTAATAGCCAGCAAAGAAAAAGCACTAACAATAAGGGAAAAAATACTGAATTGGATTTTGTAGAAATTTAAAATTTCCGCTTAACAGAAAGGACCATGAAATTATTAAACAATCAAGCCACAAACTGCGAGAAAATATTATCAATACATATATCTCACAAAGAACTGTATCCTGAATGCCTGCAATTTAAAAAGTTTAAAAATAAAAATGAACAAAGACTTAGACACTATAAAAAGAAAGTGTACAATAAACACATGTCTATAAACATGTAAAAAGCTGCTCAACCTATCCAGTCTTCAGGAAGGCAGGCTGTCACCACATTCCCATGCAAATAACGGAAATAAAAATATTTGACAACAGCAAGTGTTGGTGAGAACAAGAAGCAACAGAACTCTCATTTATTGCTTGTAGGAGGTATAAAATGATGTAACTACTTGGGAAATTTACTAAACAAGTTCTTATACAGTTAGTCTTATACCTTCTCTTTGACCCTATTACCCTAGGAAATAACTTTAAGTAATGAATAAATAAATAACTACATCTACAAAAAGATTTGTGTAACAATATTAACAGCATTATTCATAATTGCCAAAATGAAATGAGCCAAATGTACAACAGAAAAATGTACATCAAGTACCCAGCAATAGGAGAAAATGAACTATTGATGCAATCAGCAACATGAATGAATCTAAAGAGTAATTATGTTGAGTGAAAAATGCCAGACACTAAATGATACGTACTGTGTAATTCACTTATATGAAGTCCTACTTCTGGCAAAACTAAGCTATGGTAATAGCAATATAAATCATGGTTACATTTGGTGGTGGTGGAGAGGGAGTGGTGGCTTGAAAGGAAACAAAGGAAAGTCTCAGGTTGATAGAGATGTTCTGTATCTTAATGGGGGTGGTGGTTACTTGGTAGTTACACTTGGATGTAAAGTCATCACATTACACACTTTAGTCTGTGCAATTTGTTTGCAGATAAATTATATCTCAATTTAAAAGGTTACACTGTGAAATATTTTTGATTCAGCCTTAAGTCTAAAAATCAACTAAAAAGCCCTGAAGGATATATATATATTCTTATATATATATTATTATATATATTTGTATATATATATTCTTATATATATTTGTAAATATATATTCTTATATATATATTCTTATACATACATCTATATGTATGTATATATTGAAAAAATGAATATTATTAAGATTTCAGTTCTTTCTCATTAACCTATATATTCAATGTACTTTCTATCAGAATACCAACAGACATTGTGCTGAACTTTAACAAGTTGGTTCTAAAAATTATAAAAACACAAACAGCAAAAGTGAATCTGGATAATATTTACATGAATTTTCACTGAGATGTCCATTTATATTTTGAGCACTTTTCTGGATATATTATAAATCAGTTAGAAAAGTTAAAAAGATTTACACCTTGAAGAATTCCATTCTAAATGTCTAAGAGAAATACATGTGCACAAAGATATATGCAGGAGAATGTTGACTGCTTATCGCTTTAAGAGCAAAGAATTGGAAACTGTCTAAATAGGAATATTTTAAATAAATAGCACTATTATTTCAACTATAAATTACTATCAAGCACTTACAGAATTTTAAATTACTATGTGGAAAATGTGATTACTCAATGATAGTTTGATTCCAATTACAAGTATGTTGTGCACATATTTCATATAGATGAACGGAATATATTTTGTATTATTTCAGTTTTTTCTTCACAGTTACCTTTATTTTATTTTATTTTTTCAATCAGAGTCTCGGTCTGTCACCCAGGCTGGAGTGCAGTGGTATGATCTCGGCTCACTGCCACCTCTGCCTTCCGAGTTCAAGCGATTCTCCTGCCTCAGCCTCCCGAGTAGCTGGGACTACAGGCACCCACCACCATGCCCAGCTAATTTTTGTATTTTTAGTAGAGATGGGGTTTCACCATCTTGGTCAGGCTGGTCTTGAACTCCTGACCTCGTGATCCACCCACCTCGGCCTCCCATAATGCTGGGATTACAGGCGTGAGCCACCGCACCTGGCCCACAGTTACCTTTAGAAAATTGAATTCATATTGCTGATGATGAAATGAGTGTATGGTAAGGGACTTTTTACTTTTTCTTCCAATTTTTTTTTCTTTCTTTTTGTCAGGTTGGATAATTTCTATTGATTTATCCTTAAGTTCATTCAATCTTCTGAATGTCCATTCTAATATTAACCCTATCCAGTAAATTTTAATTTGGATATTAAAATTTTCAATTCTAGAATTTCCATTTGATTTTTTGTATACTTTGTGAGATTTCCTATTTTTTAAATTTATTGTGGGCATATTTTTCTTTCTGTCTTTGAGCATAGGTAAAATTGTGGCTTTAAACTTATTGTCTGATAGCCATGACATCTGAGTCCTCTTAAAGTCAATTTCTGCTGATTCCCTTTTCTTTTGAGAATAGGTGGCATTTTCTTGTTTATTCATATTGTCAGTAATTTTGGATTGTGTGCTGGACATTGTTAATGATGTGTTGTAGGAACTCTGGCTTCTAATAGGTTCCTCGTGTTTTTGTGTTTTTTCCTTTTTTTTTTTTTTTTTTGAGATGGAGTCTTGCTCTGTCCCCCAGGCTGGAGTGCAGTGCAGTGGCACAATCTCGGCTCACTGCAACCTCTGCCACCTGGGTTCACGCCATTCTCCTGCCTCAGCCCCCTGAGTAGCTGGGACTACAGAGGCCACCACCACGCCTGGCTAATTTTTTGTATTTTTAGTAGAGACAGGGTTTCACCGTGTTAGCCAGGCTGGTCTCGATCTCCTGACCTCGTGATCTGCCCGCCTCTGCCTCCCAAAGTGCTGGGATTACAGGCGTGAGCCACCACACCCAGACAATGTTTTTTTCAATTGGGCAATTAACTTGGCTAAATTCAAGCTGAAAATTCTGTCTCCCCTGTGAGAAGCAGCAGCTGAAATGTTAGTCCTTTTAGCCTTAGCTGGGCTTCTTGGAGTCTACACTACATACACATGGTTAAGGGGTAAGACCAAGTTTGGAGTTTATACACATAATCCTGGGTATTCTCTCTAGGACTCTCTCATTTCCAGATGTTCCCCTTATTTTCTAGTGGCTCTAGTTACCCTGAACACTGTTTATGAAATTTCTATCCAGTAATTACTACTATTAATCCATTGCTGTATTTCCTCCTTACTCTCCTGTGTGCCTTGTATCTTTGTATATATAAATACCATGTATTTTGAATTAAAATTGGGTTTATTTTACAAACATATATTTTATATCTTGCTTTTATCAGTTAAAATTGCCTTTTGGGTATTTTCTTATATCATTATATATTATTCATCTTTCAATGTAGATATTTCCATAATTTCTCTTGGGTTGTTTTGAAATTATGCTATCATAAATAAGAGTGAAATCAATTTCTTTCACATAAAAGTTTATTCACCTCTCTGAATATTACCTTACTTCACACTTCTAAAAGCGAAATTACTAAAACTTGGGTTAAATAATTAACCTCACCATCTATCACTTCCTAGGCATTCTGGGTCACTGGATAATATGGAAACTGTTATGTTCATCCTCCTCAAGAAAAGGAAGTATGAACCTAAATGGTCAAATTGTGGGTCATTTATTGGGCTATGTTCACTGGAAGCTAGGTTCCAGAGTGTTAAATATTCCTTATAATGTACAGGTTTTCCTTAGGAGGTTTTGTGTATCCTGAAAGATCTATTCCAAGCTCACCATTTTGCTCAACTTTTCCTCTTATTCACATGCATGCTTCATTTCACTTGTCTTTGCTATGAATTTCTGTATCACCTGGACTGCCAGAGGATCTTAGAATGTCAATATCTGTAAATATAAAACTTAAAAGGCTTAGAGGTTTCTTTTAGGCATTGAGTCTGACCACAAGTTCTAAACCAACTTTTTCAGAGGGTTACATAGGAGGCTCCAGGTTCCCAACTGATTATCAAATGGCACATAACGTATTTGACCGAAGAACATTGAACTTAGGAACTTTCATAAAGACTAGCAAAATCACATTTCAGAGCAAGAGCATGCCAAGAGATGCAGCAAGACCATGCAGAAGAGATGCAGGCAACTTTGGCCATTATTTGGACCTGTGGTTAATGGATGCCAAATAGACAAGTACAGAATCTAAGAAAACACAGTTAGGACACTTGTTTATAATGAAAACAATTAAAATGCAAGCGTTATTTGGGTAAATGTTTAAAAGAATTAAAAAGAAGCCAGAAGATTTTATACAACCTGCCCCTTCCACCTCATATCCTGCTACCCTGCAGTGGGCTCATTCTGCCTCAGCCATTGACCTGTTGGAGATTCCTGGAAAAAAGTAGGCATGGCTCTGCCTCAGGGCCTTTGCACTTGCTGTTTCATCTACCTGGAAAGTACTTCCCCAGATAGCTGCAGGATTTCCTTCCTCAAGTCTTTACTCAAAAGTTACCTTCTCAGTGGGGTCTTCCTAACCACCCCTTCTAAAATGTTAACCCCACTTAACACATCTAGCCTCCTTTCTCACTTTGTTTTTTGCTCTTTAGCACTTATCACTAACATGCTAAATATTTTAATTTTGAATGTCTGTTCCCCACTAAAATGAGGGTAGGGATTTGAAAATGAAGGTAGGGATCCCTTCCCTGAGGGTAGGGATTTGTTCGTTTTACTCACTAATGTACCCTCAGGCCCAGTGTCTTTCAAGCTAGTAGTAAGGGAAAAATGTTGTGAGTTGAGCAAAAATGTTAGTGGAGAATAGAGAAAGAGAAAGCTTCCCCCATGCAAAGAAGTCTGCAGGTTTAACCGTTAAATAAAATAGATATAAGTATATGAATATGTAGAAATAAAATATACATATAAAGAGAGAGTATATAAAACACACAAATATACATATACTTATATACATAGTGAGATGGTAGAACCTTTAGCATGCATTGACTTATACCAGCAGCCTTCATGTTTATTTGAACCACAGGACTCTTTGTCATTGAAAACTATTTTGGAAAAGCTGGTCTCAGTTATGGCTATGGGGAGAGGAAAGAAAACTGGCATCTCTTTCTTTTCTCTTCTTCTCATTTCCTAAGACAATGAGAAACCCAAGGCTTCTAAGGATAGTTTCAGACTACATCTTAATGTTGTCCAGCCCAGGATGCCAATGTTTTATCGCACCTCCCTCTTAGCTCACATCTTTTGTCTGCCTACAGCAACTTATCTCCCTTCCAATTTTCATATGGCTCTTATGCCCAACTCAGGCATTGTCTGACTTCTGCCACCCCTCCCAGACGACCCCCTTCCCTCTGTGTCCCCACCCCCACAGCCCAAGTCTAGGCAAGGCATCCTTTTACATGCCCCTAGGACATATTTCACACACCTTTCTCATAATGTCTATTACCCTGTTTTGGCTGCAAATGGGTGGGTGAGATTGTAATTATTTGCAAAAGGCATAGCACCTCGTTGCTTCATAGATATTCAAACTTGAGCAGTGTATTAAGTCAGTTTCATGTTGCTATAAAGAAATACCTGAAGCTGAGTAATTTATAAAGAAAAGATATTTCATTTTGGCTCGCAGTTCTGCAGCCTGTACAGGAAGCATGGTGCCAGCCTCTGATTCTGGTGAGGCCTCAGGAAGCTTCCAATCATCACAGAAGGTGACAGGGAGCCAGCATGTCACATGGTGAGAGTGGGAGCAAGGGAGGGAGAAGGGGGAGGTCCCAAACTTTTAAACAACTAGATATCACAAACTAATTGAGTGAGAGCTCACTTATCACCATGAGGATGGTGCTAAACCATTCATGAGGGGTTTGCCCCCATGATCCAATCACTTCCCACCAGGCACCCACCTCCAACACTGGGAATCACATTTCAACATCAGACTTGGAGGGGACAAACATCCAAACTCTATCAGGCAGCATTTCTTTCTTCAGGCTTAGTTTCTACCTTAAAGTATCTGGTGTCTTAGAATTCTTAACTATTCTGAGTCTCAGTCATATTTTCCAGCATTGACGTGATTTATTAACCCATATATCCTAATGTCACTAGGAAAACCTGATCACAAACATAATCTGATGGTGTTCTGTTTACAGGCCGTAACAAGAGTTTAAATATTGATTAAATATTTGTGCACTGATGTCCATAGCAGCATGATTCACAATAGCCAAAAGGTAGAAGCAACCCACGTGTTCATCAACAGATGAATGGATATCAAAGTGAGGTAAATCTATACAATGGAATTATTATTCAACCTAAGAAAAGAAGGAAATTCTGACACATGGGTGAACCTTGAGGACATCATGGTAAGTGAAATAAGCCAATCAGAAAAAGACAAATACTATATGATTCCACTTACACAAGGTACCTAGAGTAGTCAGTTTCATAGAGACAGAAAGTAGAAACAAGATCACCAGGGGCTAGGGAGAAGAGAGAATGGAGAGTTATTGTTTGAGGAGTATAAATTTTCAGTTTGGAATGATGAAAAGTTCTCGAGATGGATGGTGGTGATTTTAAGTACACGAGTGTACTTAATGCCACTAAATTGTAGATTTAAAAGGGTAAATAGTAAATCTTAGGTTACACATATTTTCACGAAATACTTTTAAAACATTGATTACATTCAGTGCCTGATTCCTAGATATCTTACCTCTTTGCCTTCTTCTGGCCGTTAGGTAAAATCTGAATGAATTAAAGAGACAAGTTTATTTCCATTGCATGGAATAAGCCTCAAATATTGATGAGAATAAATCCTGCAGTGCAATCTTTATTGTTATGTACACTCACTATCTTCACTGCTTTTCCTTCCTGTTTTACAAAATAAAACTTCTCTGAAGTTGTCTTTTAAAATGTTCTTTGCTAAGAAAATTTTAGTTTATTATATTTCACTAGGGACCATAGAAGCATTTATTGCACAAATTTCTCTGTGTGCTGTGTTTTGAATAACTAAAGTACGACTTGTAAATTCTTAAAATTTGTTTATCAGCTTGGAACAATAAAAGTGATAGTCCACGTATGAAAACATGCTTTAAATAACTCTAAATGCATTCTTTTTTATGTAACTCAGTAAATTTTGTATATTATGTGCATTTGGCCTGCAAATGACATTATCAATTCAATGAAAATATTGTGAGAGTTATTTCATTTATGCAATAGAGATTTAAAGAAAAAACTTTCATTGTTCACATTTTAGACAATGGGATCATGTAAACATAAATCATGGAGAAGAGGTTTCCATGGAATGCCTGTACAGTAGTACTTTAAAAGCTTCTTACATTTTCATAGCTCATTTGTTATTAGATGGCATTTTAATAAATAATAATTTACAATTTAAGGATAGTCAATAGTTAATATAATGATTCAGAAAACTATGCCTGCCTCAGAAAGACCTTAAGTCTAAGTATATTAAGCACTATTTTTAGCACATGTATTATTAACATATACTAATATTTATATATATATTTCTATGTGCATTTTTTCTGAACAGAGCATAAGAAAATAGGTTTTTCACATGCAGAAAATGTGAATTCTTTTTTAGAAATAAGGGATCATTTTAAAAATAAAGTGATCAGGTTTCATAGATTGATCTTGAAATCCTGGTTCTTTTTGGGAAAAATCCTTTCCTTTTTGCAGTTTCTGCATCACTTATCTGGACCAAATCTCTCGAGTGTCATCTTAAGAGCTGTCCAAAACATAAATCATGCCAAATGGGTAGTAAAAAATGATAGAAGGTGATAAGCTGATTTGCACCATTCTTCTTTCTGACAGTTCTCTGTGATCTGCATTGTGATAACTGTAAGTCATGGAGCCCCGGGTCCACTCATCATTGCTCTTTGCACATACCTCCAGGTGTGCCAAGGGGCACAGTGAGGCCCATGGAAAGCTGACAGAGCACAGTACAGAGGAGAACGTGGATGGGGTGCTATGGATGAGGAAGCCTTGGCTCCTCTGCATCTGAGTTCGTCCACAGGACTATTGAGCATCTTCAAGGCACAGCCACTAGTTTGCCACAGAGACAGCCATTTCAAGAGAGCCCGGGTGGAAGCTGCAATGCCCTTTATGATTAATCTTGGAAGTCCCACCGTCCCGGCAGCCCTACCCTATTGGTCACATGGAGCATCTCTGATTTGGTGTGGGAGGGAAATACACAAGAATGTAAATGTCCAAAGCCTGGGTCACTTCTCACAGATCACAAAGCACTCCTGGAGCAGCCCCCACCTGCTTCCTCTCTGAAGTCTCACCTGAGCTGTCCACTACTGCTCTTCTCCTCCTACCCAGGGGAACCCTTTTTTAGGTTATTGCAGGGTGTAGATGGAAGGCCCACATTTTCTACTGTTGTTAACCAAGGTAATTGTCCAGTGTGCATGAATTATTTATCTCACTCATAACTACCCGAAATTCCCCTGAGGCATTGGTTTTCAATGCTGGCTGCGAATTAGAACTACCTGAGAAGAGAGAGAGAGAGGGGGGGACGGGGGTGGGGGAGAGAGAGAGAGAAAGTATGTGTGCGTGTATGTGTGTGTATTCTATTTTATATACAGTCACGTGCTACTTAAGGATGTTTCAGTCAACAATGACTACTTCCGGGATGGGGGGCCGGTGAGATTACAATACTGTATTTTCATGCTACCTTTTCTACGTTTAGACACACAAATACTTACCATTGTGTTACAATTGCCTCCAGTATTCACTGCAGTAACATGCTGTACAGATTTGTAGTCTAGGAGCAAAAATAGGCCTTTCTATATAACCTAGGTGTGCTGTAGACTGTGCCATCTGGGTTTGTGTAAATGCACTCTATAAGGTACACACAATGACCTAACAACGCATTTCTCAGAACGCATCCCCATCATTAAGAGACGCATAACTGTATTATCCTTTTTATATTCTATTCTATTTCAACAGTAATTCTCCCGCATCACAAACGTGAGCTTCCCCAGTCTTTCTCTGATTTACTTGATCTGGAACAAGTTCCAACAAACTAATTTTTTTTTTTTTTTTTTTTTTTGAGACGGAGTCTTTTTCTGTCTCCCAGGCTGGAGTGCGGTGGTGCGATCTCGGCTCACTGCAAGCTCCGCCTCCCAGGTTCACACCATTCTCCTGCCGCAGCCTCCCGAGTAGCTGGGACTACAGGCGCCCGCCACCACGCCTGGCTAATTTTTTTGTATTTTTAGTAGAGACGGGGTTTCACCGTGTTAGCCAGGATAGCCTCGATTTCCTGACCTCGAGATCCATCTGCCTTGGCCTCCCAAAGTGCTGGGATTACAGGCATGAGCCACCGCGCCTGTCCAACAAACAGTAATTTTTAAAAATTGTCCTTGAAAAATCCCAATGTGTGTTACAAACCACTGCATACGTGTTTCAAAAACAAAAGCTAGAGAGCCTGGCTAGATAAAGCGCACAAATGTTAACTGTATCACTCAATACATTTTTAGCAACTATGCCAAGCATATCCAAACTGTGGTCCCTGGGCTGCATGCAGCCCAGGATGGCTTTGAATGAGGCCTAACACAAATTCATAAACTTTCTTAAAACATTATAAGATTTATGCATGTACCTTTTTGTTTTTAAGCTCATCAGTTATTGTTAGTGTTAGTGTGTGTTTTTTTGTTGTCATTGTTGTTTTTGTATTTTTTTTGAGACGGAGTCTCCCTTTGTCACCCAGGCTGGAGTGCAGTGGCACAATCTTGGCTCACTGCAACTTCCACCTCCTGAGTTCAAGCAATTCTCCTGCCTCAGCCCCCCGAGTAGCTGGGACTACAGGCAAGCGCCATCATGCCCAGCTAATTTTTGTATTTTTTTTTTTTTTTTCGGTAGAGACAGGGTTTCACCATGCTGGCCAGGTTGTTCTTGAACTCCTGACCTCGTGATCTGCTCACATAGGCCTCCCATAGTGTTAGTGTATTTTGTGTGTGGCCTAATTCTTCTTCCAATGTGGCCCAGGGAAGCCAAAAGATTGGACACCCCTGGCTACATCATCCAGTTCATTATAGTGCAATTACAGCACACCAGAGAGCTGGCTGGTGGTCCTCCCAGTCAAACCCTCTCAAAGGTAGCCACTATTCTGACTTTTATCACCCTATATTATTTTGCTTATACTTGAACATTATTTATATAGAATGATACAGTATGAACTCTTTTGTGTCTGTTCGCTTTTTTACACTCAATAGTTTGAATGTGAGATGCATTCATTTTGCTGCCATTAGTTGCTTCTTTTTTAGTGCTGTTCAATTTACCATTATTTGAGTAAACTATACGTTATTTATCCGGTGGATTATTTCCAGTTTTTGGCTAACAAAATTGCTATGATCCATTCTGTGGATGTCATTTGGTAGACATAGCCATTCATTTGTGATGAAGTAGAATTCCACAAGCAGCATTTTGGAATCATAGGTTAGGCATCTGCGGAGCTGGAGAAAATATTACCGAACATCTTTCCAGAGTGGTTGTACCAATTTTCCCTTCCATCCCCACGGTATAGGAGTTGTAATTACCATGCACCCTCATCAACACTTTGTATTTTCAGTTTTTTTCAATTTTATACATTCTGGTGTATAATATCACAATGTGGCTTTAATTTGCATTTCCCTGATGATCATGAAGGGCACATTTTTATATATGTATATAAAACATATAATTTGGATATCTTTTGGATACTTTCTTTTGTGAAGTGCATATTCAAATCTCCTGCTCACTGTGCAACTGAATTTTTTTCTTTTTTAAAACTATTTATTTGTAGGAGTTGCTCATGCATTATGGATATAAGTCCTTAGTTGGTTATTTGTATTGCAGATATTTTGTTTCCAGACAATGGCTTGCCTTTACTCTCTTAATAGTATATTTTCATGAATAGAAGTACTTAATTTTCATGAAGTTCAAAATTTATCAGTATATTTTTTATGGCTTTTTTTGGTATCCTGTTTAAGGAATCTCTGCCTTTCCAAGATCATAAAGATGTTTTTATAGATTTTTTCTAGAATATTCTATTAAATCCTTCTTTAGTAGCTGTGAAGGCAGAGCCAGTTATTTACTTCAGCCGGAAGAAGAAAAAAGAGAAAATACAGAAGAAATTGTGAAAATATGAGATAATACCTAAAAATAGTATCTCAGTACAATTTTATCTGCTAGATTATAGGCTCTTTGAGGGCAATAACTGTGTCTTACTCATCTACACATTTAGTTCAATGGCAAGCTCAGTGCCTCACACACAGCAGACATATATAAAAATAAAGCTGAATTTGCTTACTACCCAAGTTCAACCTCTGTGCTCATCCAAACAAAGAGCCCTCACTAAAAACCAACAAGAACAGTCAATATGCAAGATGATGAGAACTTGGAAAAGCCTTAGACATGGCCCAACCAAAGTCACATCACGGCAAAGGAAGCAGACGGGACTTCCCGGGTCACACACCAACTTAATGACAGGGCCACAATGTGACCCCAGGACTCCTGCCTTCCGGTTCACAGACCTTTCCCACATTTCAAATCCTCCTAGAAAACCCCAGGTCTATTTTTAGAGAACCCACATGAGTGTCAGCTGTTAGATTTCTTCACTGTTGATTCAACATATAAACAAAAGAGTTCTGCAGTTCTTACTATGTCTCTCTGTTGAATTACCAAGAGGCAATCAGCAGGAAACTAAAAACATCATAAACTTGAAGGGGAGCTGTGGAAAAGGGAGAGTAATAAAAAAATATTGGTTTTGGGTAACATTGTCTTCACGTAAGGGCTTGTATGGTTACGACCAATTTTGAAGAGGGCTTTGATTCCTTCCAGGCAATCCATGTTAGCTCACACTTGTGTATTCTGTTCCCACTTACTTCAGACACAGGTAACTGAAATTCCATGTGTACCAGTAACTGTAAAAGCACTTGCTTCATCCTTCCTTAAGGCAAAAGCATTTATTTAAACTGGATGTTTCACATTGGAAGCCTGTGGGGTGGATAAGGAACACAGATGGGGTCATCCATTTATATGTTTAACAAGCCAAAATTTTGCTAAAGTTTCACATAAAAAATAAGCAGAATGTCTAGATTTTTTTTTGAAAAAGAGAATTGATCTCTTAAAGAGGAGAAGAAGAATCGATCTATGTGATAATAATAGATTTGCATCTCGACAACGATGCACTTGAGTTGGACTGGCTTGCTTTCTTTCATTCATTGCTTCATTCATGGACATCACCTCTCTTCCCTCTGTGGGCTTTTGACTTAGGGGCCCTGACTTAAGCAATAGCATAAATTAGGTAATATTATTTTCTGCTTATAGCCAAAATATGCACTGAATTTTTTAAAATTCTAACATATATATACATTCTAAGTTTTATATATATTGTGCTATGGACTGAATTATAAGCCCCAAAATTCATGTGTTGAAGCTTTAACCCCTAAATGTGACCGTATTTGGAGATAGATCCTATAAGAAGGTAAGTAAGGTTCCATGAGGTCTGATAGACTGAGCATGGTGACTTATGCCTACAATCCCAACAATTTGGGAGGCCAAGGCGGGTGAATCACTTGAACTCAGGAGTTTGAGACCAGCCTGAGCAACATAGTGAAACCCTGTCCCTACCCAGAATTAAAAAATAAGCTGAGCATGGTGGCACACACCTGTGGTCTCAGCTACTGGGGAGGCTGAGGTGGAAGGATCACTTGAGCCCGGGAGTTAGAGGTTGCAGTTAGCTGAGATCATGCCACTGCACTCCAGCCTGGGTGACAGAGTGAGACTCTGTCTCAAAAAAAAAAAAAAAAAATGAGTAATTAGGTCTGATAGGATTAGTGCCCCTGTGACAGGAGATGTCTGAGAAGTCACTTTCTGTGTGCATGCCCTGGTGAAAGGCCACGTGAGCACAAAGCAAGAAGGCAGCCATCTGCAAGCCAGAGAGCCCTCACTGAAAACCAACCACACTGACACCTTGATCTTGGACTTCCTAACCTCCAGAACTGTGAAAAAATAAATTTCTGTTGTTTAAGCCCCTCAGTCTATGATATTTTGTTATGGCAGCCTGAGCTAACTAATACACACATGCATACTGCAAGTTAGATCTTTTCAGCTCCTCCATAAACTGCACATTGACTTCACTGATCCTGGAGCATTCTGGCTTCTATTTGGCTGCCAGTCAGGCATTAAAAACCTCATTGACATCTTCCTGCTACTCATTCTGTACGTTAAATGGCCTCAAAGGGATTTAAAATTATTTTGGCATAATTCTTCCTCTAAGGGAGGCAGTGGCTTCATGGATGTAACTCTCAGCATCTACTTGAATCTATGTCTTATCCATAACTGTCTCTAATGATTTTCTGAAGCGACTGGAAGTCTCTTACATAGGGACTGTGTAACGGCACTGTCTCAGCTTTGATTGTCCCCAGTTCCCTGTCCTAGAGTTATGACATTCACCAAGAAAGTGATACAACGCAGGTACAACTTCAACAAAAACAAATACCAGAATCAGACTCTTCTTACTACAATTTAAAACACAACACATGCTCTTATAGCATTTTATTTGAAAGTTTCTGAAATCCCATCATTTGAAAACAAACGCATGCATTTTTGTTTTAAGAGACACTAATAGTGACCTAATATGTATATTCATTCTCACCCTGGGGAAACTATATTATTTGAAAGTTTTCGCTTTTTTGAGCTCATTCTAGGGTTGCGATGAACAAGGCTAGATTCTGCAGCTATATTTCATGAAGTATCATTATCCTTCTGCCAAAGAAAACTAATGGATGGCTGGAAGGAAAGATACAATTTGGAGGCAATTAATTCTGCTTCAAATCCCAGTTCACCCATGCTAAATAGCACTTGAATCCCGATTCAAGATTTAGTGTCCAACGGCCTCTGGAAGCCGGTTTGGGCTGCTCTTCATGGCTCCATTCTGCAAAGGGCCTGCCTTTTGTTCCACTTCCTCTTGGCCCTGTGCTTGTGGGCAATGAGATCAGTGATGGGCTGCTTCTTGTTCAGTTTACCGGGGCCTCAAGCTGCTTTATGCCCTGATTTACAGCACGAAGGGAGTCTCTGATGAGCTGGTGCTTGATACGTTCAATTTGTCCCAACTACAGCAGGGCTCATGCTGCCATCTGCTTGTGATGCTGCAACAAAAACACTTGAGGAATGAGCCTGTCTTTGTCTCCCTCCTGACACTGTTTGGTATATTCTGGAATGGAAATGGCATTAGCAAGCCAAAGATACTTCATGCTCATAGAATCATCCTAAACAGGAGGTGCAGCCAGTGGCTCATCAACAAATATCACTGCTAGGATTATTCCAAAAACATCGTCTTCCACTCATGATTTACAAACACAAGGGGATATGGTTGTTAAGCAATTGCTGCTAAGAGATCAGCCCTTAAGCCCATCCCTTCCCTTTTTCCTCTTACAGAATCACACTGGCTGCAGGCAGCCCTTTGGGAGCAGCTGAGTTTGCTGACTAAGAAACAAATTCTCGGACAATTGGCCTCACCTTTCATCACTTATTTTGGTGCCTTCCTAAGATCCGATGCTCTGCAAGCTCCAGCTTGCTTTGCTTTGATGGTCTTACACCAGGCCCTGCCATTTACTAAGCCACCTTAGGCAACTTAGCACTTCTGTGGCTCTGTTTCTCATCTGCACATGAGGGTTGTTGCAATATGATGCAATACTTTTATTATTTATCATTATTATTATTGTTGTTGTTTATTTAAAGATGGAGTCTCTCTCTTTCACCCAGGCTGGAGTGCAGTGGTGCAATCTAGCTCACCGCAGCCTCAAACTCCTGGGCTCAAACGATCCTCTAACCTCAGCCTCCTGAGTAGCTGAGACTACAGACATGAGCCACCACACCCAGTCTGATACTGTGATTTTTGAAGAGTACCTGGCACACAGTAAATGCTCAGCAAATGTTAATTACCATTACCATTATGGTGTTTCAGCTTACACCACTCTGAGTGAGCCAGGCTAGAAGTGGGGAATCAAATAAACACAGGGAACAGAACCCTGAACTGAGGCTTAAGTCCAGAGACCCTGGTTTGCTTTCAACTGTATCTTTTAAAGTTCAAAGCACAGAACTCAACTCTTTCATTTTGCAGAGAGGGAAACAGATGGGTAAAACGGTTTGAATGTGGACATTAGGGAATTACAGAGACTTTGCTCAGAGTCCTAATTGTGCCACATACCAGCTAAGTGACACGCAGCAGTTCATTCAATCTTTCTGAGTCACATCTTAGTGTGATCCCACATCTTAGTATCCAACTTTTCCTCCTGCCTCACAAGGCTGTGGTGAGGACCACCTGGGCTTCCTGAATGGTAGCAGTGGTGGCTATTCTTGTTCTTGCCCAATTCATGCAACTTGAAGTGGTAGAGTTCCACCTACCTTGCAACTCCAATGGCTGACTCCAACTCCAGGATTCCTTCCTCTGCTGCCTGAAGAACAGCAGACATACACACACAAAAATCAGAGGTCTGGTGAAGCCCAACACTGATCCCATTCTACACGTAGGACAGCAGCCTCCATCCAGAGCCCTCACAGATGTGGGGTGAGTAACAGCAGGACGAAGCATGGAGGTGGGAAGAGTGTTCACTCAGAAACAGAGTCTTGAGCCCAAACTCCGCTCCCCTCACCCCCGTCTGCCTAGACTTTGTGATCAGAGAATTTCGTGAACATCTTAAGTGTTTATAGACCTGCCTTTCCCAGATCCCAGTCTCTGAGGTTAAATTGATTTTGGTCATCATAATAACCAGATATTATGGGAAGGCTCAGTTCATCTCAGAGTTCATTGCCATACAGAGGCTGTGTTAGAAACACACAAAGGCAAACTAGAGAGAAGTGAGGAAGCCAGCATGTGCACAGTAATGGTACATGGCAGAGGGTGGTGGAAATTCAAATGCATCCATGAGGGAGTTGAAAGAAGGATGTGGTTAACATGGTTTGGTCAGGGGGAAAACATGTAATAGAATGCTGAGCACTTTATGTATGTAATCTAATTTAGTCCTTAAAGCATTCTCCCACAGACAAATGCAGTTTAAATTTCACAGATGAAGGTTAAATGCTAAAGCCATATACTCAAAAGAGCCAGAGCTAGGAGTGGAACCTGAGTCTGTTTTGAAGCAATACTGCAAACCCTTTCTACTGTATCACACTGCTTCTTAACATTTATGGAGCACTTACTGTGTACTGCGTACTCTGCAATGTATGCCGCATATATTACCTTATTTAAACCTCAAATAACTCTTTTGAAATAGATGTTATTATTCCCAATTTCTGGTAAAATGGGGCTAAGTAACTTGCCCAAGATGATACATTAAGTAAAAGGGCAAGATTTGAACCAAACTTTTTAAGCTTCAAAATCTATGCCTTTTTTACTGTACCATAATTTTCTTTCTCATTATTCTATAAATTTTAAACAAAACACTCCCAAATTCAATCAGGCATTTAATAATGCATTCTAAACTATGCAAAATTTAGCATATTCCTCACAGTCACTATCAGACCTTTTCTGCTTATCTTTGGGGCCAAAAACTGCCTCTCTAACTGTGCAGTGCCACCAGATCACATCACTTCTTGCAATATAAAACCTCTAAGCCAAGTAGGGCAGTTATGCTGGGACCTTCAAATACCTTTTTCATAAACACCCCTCCAAACCAGAGGGAGACTAACCCTTCCCTTCACCTGTACCCTAGAACTCATTTGCCAATAGATCCTGACTTTCAAAGGCAACTGTTCCCTTTTTGAATACTTTCTGAAATTTGGAGAACTCCTCAAGCTATATATATGCTCAAGTCTCTCCTTTGGCCTAGGGATCCACTTTTATAATTTGGGAAGCTGAGGAGATCAATTTGAGCAAAATAGTGCTGTGTCAAAAGTGAAATACGTAGAACGCACAGTGGTAGTATGAGGAATTAAATGATCTAATGACTTTCTGCTGATAAGATTACAGAGAGGTGAGAAAATAATCTATTCTCTCATCAGAAGTCCAGGAAGAAGTTTCTGGATCTTTTCTCTAAAGGCAGAAATCACTAATTTATCACAAGAGACTTTCTTTCTTTCTTTCTTTCTTTTTTTTGAGACTGAGTCTCGTTCTGTTGCTCAGGCTGGAGTGCAGTGGCGCGATCTCGACTCACTGCAACCTCCACCTCCCGGGTTCAAGTGATTCTCCTGCCTCAGCCTCCCGAGTAGCTGGGACTACAGGTGCATGTCACCATGCCTAGCTAATTTTTGTATTTTTTTTTAGTAGAGACAGGATTTCACCATGTTGGCCAGGATGGTCTCAATCTCCCGACCTCATGATCTGCCCAGGCATAAGCCACCGCGCCTGGCTCAGGAGACTTTCTTTATACAAAATCCACTTGTTTTCATTTGATCTATTTTTGTTTCGTTTTGAGGCTTTTGATACATTCACATTGATTGCATTATTAAAATGATCTCTGGCTGATGTTTGTCTCTTTGATCTCTCTTTCTTGATCTTCCTTGACCCCACTAGAATAGTGAGGGCAATGACAGTGAGGTAGAAAGGCATGCAGACGGGTTCCGGGTCTAAACTGGCCATGTTTCTCAGTTAGGGTGACCAACTTGTCCCAGTTTGCCCGGAACTTTCTCAATTTTAGAACTGAAAGCCCTGCATCCTGGGATATTCCCAGTCTTGGACAAATCAGAATGTCACCCCATCCTACAAGGATGAGAGTTTAAAAGAGGTATGGCTGAGGCCTGGGTATAAAATTAGTCCAAAAAACCAAGAGGCATTTGGCTAGAGTCTCTTTAGTTTGAAATAAGAAGAACTTCCAGGGGTAGAAACCCCCGGAAGGTATGTGAATAATAGATGCTGAGCTCACCCTAGAGTTTCTGACCCAGCAGGTCAGGGTGGGGCAGAGAATCTACATTCCTGACAAGTTCCCCAGTGAGGCTGATGCTGCTGGTCCAGGGACCATACCTTTAGAACCACCACCCCACAGCTGATAAACCTTCTCTGTGAAAAGTGCAGGATTCCTCCAACTATGATTGCGCCAGACCCATCTTGCCACTAAGCCTGACCTTGTACATGCCCATTGAGCTATTTTATTCTTGCTAAAGTCTTTATTGTTCAGAGAGAGAGAGAGTGAGTGACAGACCAGCAACACGGCCACCATTGATTAATGAGCCCCCGCTGCCCCGGTGCCTTCAGGATCCTCTGGCATGCAGCTTTTGCCCTCATTGCCTGGATTTGAGGGAAAGAAATAAGAGGTCTCTTTAGAAAGCCTTGAAGGGCTAAGGCTAGAGAGGTTGAGCAAGGCTACAGATCATTGGAGAAGTACCAACCTGACCCTCTCCAACCCACAACAAAACCTTTTCTTGAGTGATTAGCCTCAGAGAAAGGTGATTTGTTAAAACTCTGGGTTCACGCTTTTGTGCCCTGGGCCTAGGACATCTGGCAGGAGCCAGAGAGCTCTCTGATACCAGGCTTGAGCCCCCATTCTCATTCACTGGACTGTGCATCATTGAAACACTGGCTACTCATTCTCATGCTAATCCGTGAACTCAGAGAGCAGATGTGAAACATTTGGTTCTGTTCTTGCTCACTTGTAAAGAACTAATGCAACTTTTTTTTAAAGGGAAGGGCAGAGTTGGGCTGAGAGAGGGGTTAAGGTGAAGGGGGAGGGAGAAAAGGAAGAAAATGGGGTGAATTCCAGGAAGAAAGAAAAGTTTACGTGAATGACTTTCTGTCTTGGTGGGCCAAAGCACTGCAGTTTATGTGAACTTCAGCCAAACCAATATAAGGCAGGAAATACAAATTAATACTAGAGGAATGAAATACTTCCAACTTGCAATGTACATATTTTCTATAATGCAAGGATGGTAAGATATAGAGGTTCTCTCCAGTGAGATTCCATGAGCCTTTTTCTCTCTGCCCTGTGTAAAAACACTGTCTTTAGGGGCAAGAACACTTTATTCCAACCCCCAGGCATTTTACACTGTAATTACTTTATATTTAGAATGCCATTCAAAAGTTGACAGTAGTTTAAGTGGAAGCTGGAAGTTATTCCAAAAAAAAGTGTCTATTTTACTATAGGTATTTCTTTTTTTATCAATAGAAAAATACATATAAATTCATTGGAGAGATGAACAGATAAATAACTTCTAACGCTGTCAGAGATTTAATACCCTTATTCCTACGTGGTTCATTTGACTAAAGTGCCTATACCATTGATGAAATTGTAAATCTGTTAATGACAACATTGATTCAGTGGAATATCTAGATTTGTTTCCTCCACTGTCATCAGGAAAATTCTTGGGGAAAAAGACTTATGATACATTTGCTGATGGCATACTGTACCTCTTGCCCAGGATTTGTGGTCTGTTTAATGCATGCCACAGATACAGGCTGACATCTGCAAAGCATGCCAACTCGAAATTGTTTACAACTGTCACCCAAATGTCCTCTACATTCCACCAGCCAGCATCACTCACTTTAACAGTTCTGCTGCGTCAGTAGCCTCTGCATGTTAAGTGGACAGATTGCCACCTTCCACCCCTGCTCCTTTCTAGAAGTCTCTTAAATGACTGCTGCCCAAGCTTCCCTAGTGATAAGAATGACCTGGAGTGCTTATTAAACATAGAACTTCCTGGACTCTCCCCTAGAGATTCTAATTCGATAGATATAGGAGGCAGGGGTTCCACCATCCCTATCAAGTATTGAGGATGAGTTTGATCAACAAAAAACTCTAGATCGCATTGCCCAAAAGAGTATTTTTGGAAGTCATCTATGTGGCAAATAAGGTCTAATATACTGAGCCACGTACTCTCTGCTCCAGCCATTTCTTCTTCTCTAGAGCTGCTATCTGCCTAGGTTTGCAGGTCAGGTGTTTGGGGGACCACGTTTGACCTTTGATACCTTAGGTTGCCTATTCTTACTTTACTACCATTACCTAGAATTTTGGGCGACTTGTCTCCTGATATTTAGCACACAGTTCTCTCTCTTGTAAGTGATTCCTTCTCATCCCCATTCCACGTTTAGGAAGAGAGGCTTGGGGACATTGAATAATTAAGGTCTTCAGATTCGTTTTACCCCTGAGTCCTCTGGGGGAAAATGTTCCCTAAACATTTGGCCTTCTGGGAAAATTGTTATTTTTAAGTTTGCCACTAGAGAGACCCTGAGGAGAGCCTTCTTCAATCCTAATGTGGCACTGTCCTGGGAGCCACCATTCCATGGCTGCCCTGTCCTGAATTGAGCCCACACTTGGGTGCTTTTTTCTTCATAGTGATTTTCTCTCAGTAGCCTCTCTCCTGTACATACCTGTAATCTAGATACACACACACACACACACACACACACAAACATGGGCCCACACAAGCAAATTTAAAAGCATGAACACAGGCACATGCATGCCCACACCCACATATTCACGCACAAAATTCATACATAATTGCATATATGCACATCTCAAAATCCTCAGACATATTTTTAAATGTCTAGACTTATCTTTGGGCAAGGTTCTTGTTTATTCTCATAGAGCTTTTTAGCTTATCCAAATCATAGCATGTACAAAGGCACCTGCTCTGGTGACCCTGATCATCCACATATAGATAAAGAGGCCTTCTCTCTATCCTGAACTCAAGGAAGATCTTGAACAAAGGTATCAGCCAACGTCACAGGCTGGTGTAGGCAACTCAACCAAGACACCTGTTTCCACACCTTTTGAAGAAGTTGTTACTTCATCCTAGTATAGAGACAGAGGGAAAGTTTCCTCTTTGCCCACTGAAGGTTCACTGAAAATGAACTGATAAAAGGCAGATTAATAAGAGAAAAAGAACTACAACATTTATTTAACATGCATAAGCACAGAAGTCATACAGAAAGTATGAGGCTTGAAGAGGGACCAGATGGTTGAGGCTTAAATACTCTCTTCGTAGGGAAGATATGTATGGACCTGGGAGGCTGACATCATTTTGTAAATGATTCTCTTTGGAAGCTGGATGGAAAAATGAGGGTGGCACAGTGCTGGAACAAAGCTTGTCTTATGCAGATCAAGCCCTCCAGGTAATCCCTCAGAGCTGGCCTTGGGAGAATAGATGAAAAGTCTGTCTGGGCATGGCAATTACTGCCAGTCTTTTCTCTGTGGCTGATCTTTCCCGGTTGTTTGATGAGATCCCTAGGGAGAGGGTCTTAAGACAATTGCATTTCTTTTGGGAAGAAGCTTTCTTAGTCAGACAAGAACTTTCTCTACGTCCCTTCCAGTGTTTCAGGAAAGAGAATCAGAGAGACAGGGAGGCAGGGGAAGGTCAGAGGGAAAAAGTTTGATACTGAAGCTTACTTTTGTGGCCTTTCAATTTTCAAAGCACTCAGCATGCCAAAGCACCATATTTTGGGGAATTGTCTTCAGTGTCCCAAAATTAGAACCATTCAATCAGTTCTACGCATTTTTGATTTCTACTTCAGTGCTGCTACTGATGTCTCTCTTTTTTTGTTGTCGTTTTAATAGTTGTTTGTTTGTTTGTTTTGAATCTTTACCTATCCAAATCCTCAGTATTAAAAAAAGAATCCTCCATTCAGCCTTCTGATTCTTCCAGGCATCACTAAGCTCCTTCCCTTTGGAATATCTAATCTTCTATAATTTCCATTACATAATTTTATATTTAATTACATATTATAGGTATCATTAAATATCATTTCAAGTACAAATTTCCATTCGGTCTATGAACACTATGAATTCCATTCTGAGATTCCTTTAGCCAAATTCTGTTTCTTCTATGGTATTTATTTTCTTCCTTTTATAGTTAATATGTTTTTCAAGTGTCAACCTGATGTCCCTAACTAGATTGTAAATTAGTACATCAGTCAGCAAAGACCTACTGATTACTAACCATGAGCTGGGGAAAACTCATTAGCAAGGTAGACTTATTTTTACTCTGATTGTGCTCGCAGTTTTCCAATTTCCTCCAATTAGAAACTAAATTTATGTCCTCAAAGACAATTGCATATCCTAAAATCTTATATTATTATTGCTAAGACAATTGCATATGCTAAAATCTTATATTATTATTGCTAAGACACCTTCGAAACAAGATAAAGGGTTTAATCGGTACAAGATATAAAATACACATCTCTTAAGTTTGGCTATGTGCCCATAGTCAGGTTTAAAGAGTTAGTAACGTGAGATAATAACAATAATATTTACTATTTATTGGGCACTCTCTATGAGTCGGGCACTCTATTAAGCCCTTCATGTGTGTTACCAGAAGGGGTCCTGATCCAGACCCCAAAAGAGGTTTCTTGGATCTTGCACAAGAAAGAATTCAAGACAAATCCTTAAAGTGAAAGCAAGTTTATTAAGAAAATAAAGGAATAAAAGAATGGCTACTACTCCATGGGCAGAACAGCCCTGAGGGCTGCTGGCTGGCTATTTTTATGTTTACTTCTTGATTATATGCTAAACTAGGGGTGGATTACTCATGAGTTTTCTGGGAAAGGGCTGGGCAATTCCCAGAACTGCAGGTTCCTTCCCCTTTTATACCATATAGGGTAACTTCCTTTCATTGCCATGGCATCTGTAAACTGTCATGGAGCTGGTGGAACTGTCCTTTAGCATGCTAATGGATTATAATTAGCATGTAATGAGAAGTGAGCTTGACCAGAGGTGACTTTCCTTGCCATTTTGGTTTTGGTGGGATTTGGCCAGCTTCTTTGCCACCTGCTGTTTTATCAGCAAGGTCTTTGTGACCTGTGTCTTGCACAGACCTCCTATCTCATGTTATGACTAAGAATGCCTTAACCTCCTGGGAATGCAGCCCAGTAGGTCTCAGCCTTATTTTACCCAGCCCCTATTCAAGATGGTGTCGCTTTGGTTTGAATGCCTCTGATGTATGTATCAAGTCATATATTGCTCATAACTCACTTTTAATGGTGTATTATCATGCTAATACTACTATTATCCCTGTGTTTCAGATAAGGAAAAACTGAAGCTAGGAGAGACAAGTAACTTGTCCAAGGCAACTGACAGGTGGTGGACTCAGATTCAAACCCTGGTCATTCAGCTACAGAGCTTGTGCTCTTCACTGCTATGACCTCGGCTTACACCCTAACTCTCAGGTTTACTGTGTAGCCTCTGTAATACTGGGGAGAGTACCTGGCCATAGTAACTGTTCAAAAAAGTGCTAGCAATCAATAGCGAATTGTGCAGTTTGGCTTTATCTTTGTCCAAGTATTCATTAGGCAAATAATACTTTAGTTTCTTACTACTATGATTTTGCCATGTTTTTTAATTATAGTTTTCTTGTCTTGTTGCATTGTGGTCAGAAATTACGATTGATGAAATTTATGCTATTTAAATGTTTTTAACTTAAATATATGTATATATAATATTCTCTAATTTATGTTTTGAACCAATTTAAAATATTTTGCTTTCAGTAAATTAGTATGACTTTTATTCTAAGATGGAACAGGTATATTTGGTTTAATTTCAATGATTTTAATATATGGCTTTTGTTTCTTATGCTTCCCTTCTATTTTCATTGTTTTCTATGCCACTATATTTTCTGGAAATTTTACACATGCATGTGTTAGTTTGGAAGACATTCTGTCTGCTAGAAGTTCTGCTTATAGTTGTATAATGTCTTTCATAACTGATAAGCATTCTTTTAAACTTATATTTGTTAATTTTGAAATGATAAAAATGAAATTATAATTGGTGAGTTCCCTCAATGAAACATGAATTCAGTTATACTTTTGAAATGTTTTTTCAGTATTTTAAAATTAATTTATGATTTTTTAACCTGTCACATTTGTCTCAAAAATTATAAGATGTAATATATAATATTTATTACACTGCTTGTATTTATGGTTTTAGATGGAGTTTTAACTTGCTACTTACAGTGTTTTTACTTTTGATTTTTTTTTTTTTTTTGAGATGGAGTTTCGCTCTTGTTGCCCAGACAGGAGTGCAATGGCGTGATCTCGGCTCACTGCAACCTCCACCTCCCGAGTTCAAGTGATTCTCCTGCCTCAGCCTCCCAAGTACCTGGGAGGCACCACCCACACCCAGCTAATTTTTATATGTTTAGTAGAGATGGGGTTTTGCCATGTTGGTCAGGCTGGTCTCGAACTCCCAACCTCAGGTGATCTGCCTGCCTTGGCCTCCAAAAGTGTTGGGATTACAGGCATGAGCCACTGTGCCTGGTACTTTTGAAATTTTAGTTGGTTAAATTGTGCCTTCAATGAGTTTTTCTGAAAGAATACACTGGTAACATTGTTATTGAGTCCTTTTACTATCTCTGAAAGTCATCCTATCATCTTTATTTGAGAATGACAAGTTGTCTGGATAGAGAATTCTACTGTTTTTTTGCTAAAGTGTCTGAGGAGATATTTGAGGTTGATGCTTTAGATGTCAATGATAGTGATACAGGAGTTAAGAAGACATTATTTAGGCAGATAGTGAGAGGGAGGAAGTCCTTGGTAATGTTTTCCTTTTAATAAAAAAGCAGCCCCAAATCATTTTCTTTTCTAACAAAGAGCAGCCTGTAAAATCAAGCTGCAGGCATAGACAAGCAAGTTGGAAGCTTGCACGGGTGAGGACGCCGTGCCAATAGGAAAAGGCTACCTGCAGGGAAGCCTTGTCCAACATGGCGGCTCCATCTTCCCCTTACCTTGTCAACCACGTGCCGAGTAAGGAGCAGGCAACATGGCCCAGCCAAGTACAGACTGCATTTGCATAATAAAAGGTTAGGGTGGGGTAGCCAGCTTCCTCGTGGGCTATGTAAATGTTATACCTGGTCCAAGCAAACTCTGGGCCTTATGTAAATCCTCAAGCCTGTCTATAAAACTCTGTGCACTCCAAGGTGGGCCAGAAATCCAGCGGTTCTCCTTTCTCTCTTTTGCTTATTAAATCTCTGCTCTTAACCTCACTCCACCTGTGTCCACGTTCTTGATTTCCTTGGCATGAGGAAACAAACCTTGGGTATTTACCCCAGACAACAATGCCGCTTCAGTAGCCCTAAAAAATTTGTTAAAAATGGTTTGGCCTTTCCTCGGTTTCAGCTTTTTCTTTTCTTTCTTTCTTTCTTTTTTTTTCTTTTGTTTTTGTCTTTGTCGTATTTGTTTCTTTCTATTTATTTCAGATGGTGCTATATATGGAAGTTCCACCTTTCCTCAATTTCTTAAAATTTTAAATTAAACATATATGAAGCTTCTCAATACCTGTTATCAAGGTTACTTACAGAATTTATTGACATTATATTTCATATTTTATTTTCTATTTTCAACTTATTATATTGTCATATCTGATCTCCTCATGTAAATTTAACCCTCTAACTATATATAAAAATTTTAATATTTAAAAAAATTCAATATTCCGTATCAGCCATTTAAAAACCATTTCTGTTTCTTTTCCACTTCTACTTCAAATACATTTTTTTCAATAAATATTATGAAACTAAATAATTCAAACTTAAAACTGTTGGAAGTTTAAATTATTTTTCGAGCCTTGAGATGAATGAGGCTATTTGGCCTGAGCCACCTAACATGCAGCTGTAACTCCTGCTTTTTCCTGAAAATCATTAGGAAAGGCTTTGTAGCATAAGAGATAAGACCTCCTCAGATCGTCACTCCTCCTCACAGAATGTTAAAGCAATCATTCTTGAAATGTAGCAAGCTGTAATCAAATTGCTACAGCGTAGGTACTGACTTTGTTTGGAAAACGTTGCAACCCCTGTTAACTGCCTATATAAGTGAAACTGTAACTTCCCCACTTTGGAATGCTGACCCATTGTTTTGGAGTCTGTATTTCCCAAGCGCTTATTCTCAAGCTTTCCACTTGAATAAACTCGATATATTAGTCATATTTTCTGAATCTAATTATTTAAGGCTGACAATATGAATATATAATACTTTCTGGATATCTGAATATATACATACATATATATGTACGTATAATCATTATATTACTTTTCTGTGAGGAAAAGACCTTTAATAGGTATATAATACTTTACTTAAAATAGTTTTCCTTGAAAACTTTACACACATTGCTCCATTGTCTTAAGAGCATTTAAAGTTGTAGGAAGCTCTGAGGCTAGTTGATTTTTCATCATCTTTAGATAGCCTTTCCTTTCTACCTGATTTTTTCAAGTACTCTCTTTTTGTTATTTTTTTTAACTCCTTTTTATCTGAGGATTTGCTTTGTTTTGCTTTGTTCTGCTCAAGAAAGTTCTCGTGTGTGTGTGTGTGTGTGTGTGTGTGTGTGTGTGTGTGTGTGTGTTTTGAGATGGAGTCTCGCTCTGTCGCCCAGTCTGGAGTGCAGTGGCGCAATCTCAGCTCACTGCAACTTCTTCCTCCTGGGTTCAAGTGATTCTCCTGCCTCAGCCTCCCGAGTAGCTGGGACTACAGACACATGCCACCATGCCCAAATATTTTTGTATTTTTAGTAGAGACGGGTTTCACCATGTTGGCCACGATGGTCTCAATCTCTTGACCTCATGATCTGCCCGCGTTGGTATATTAAAGTGCCAAGATTACAAGCGTGAGCCACCACGCCCAGCCTCTCCCATGTTTTAAATTCTTGTTTTGGTTGCATTTGTTCTGGAGAACCCCTCAATAACACTAAAGATTTACATATTCAATCTTTGTTCTTTGTTCTCCACTTCTATCATCTTTCTCATGTTTTTAATTATCTTTCTTTTTTCTGCCATCCTGGGATAACTTCTCCAATTTACTCTCCATTTTCGAATTCTATCTTCTTGAGGATAAATTTTGTTTTCACTGCTTCTGTTTTCACTTCTTTTGTTTTTATCACCTTTTTAGTATATTAATATTATCAAGCTTCTTATTTATTTCTGTTTTGTCCTACAGAGTCTCCCTTTTAATCTCAGTTTATCTAGTCATCTCATTCTTTTTTTTTTTTTTTGAGATGAAGTTTCACTCTTGTTGCCCAGGCTGGAGTGCAATGGCATAGTCTCAGCTCACCACAACCTCTGCCTCCCAGGTTTAAGCAATTCTCCTGTCTCAGCCTCCCGAGTAGCCGGAATTACAGGCTTCAGCCACCAGGCCTGGCTAATTTTGTGTTTTTAGTAGAGAAGGATTTTCTCCATGTTGGTCAGGCTGGTCTCGAAATCCAGACCTCAGGTGATCTGCCCGCCTCAGCCCCACAAAGTGCTGGGATTAGAGGCGTGAGCCACTGCACCCTGCCTCATCTCATTCTTATCTCTTGTTTCAGTGAGCCAATATGTTATTTTATTTTATTGAGAGCCAAGCGAATGTACTCTAAAATATACCAGAGAAATATACCATAAAATGTCATTTGGAAAATTTTATTTTTCTCTGTTTATAGTGTCCTTAAACATATATTTCCTTTTACTCATGCATGCATGATGAGACTTCTATCTAGGAATTATATTTGATTTCTAGTGGATTGAGTAAGTTCTTCTTGAATTCCTTTGAACTTTACCTATATGCGTGATTGCAGTCTCTGACACATCATCCTCATAATCAATAAATATGGAGACTATAAAAAGATTCTCTAACATAAAGAGAAACAAGGCAAACAAAACAAATTTAAACTTAGCTTTCTTATCTACTTAAAGGAGATAATAACACTTAGGTCACAGGAAATATTGCAAGATTAAATGCCTAAGATGTTTGACATACTCCCTGAGAAATACTTAACAGATATAGCTCTTATTATTACATCAGTGGAGAATCTAGTTATTATCCAGAATATTAAATTGGCATGGAAAAAGCATCTGGTTATTGAAACTTTGGATATGTAAAAATAGCATTCATGGATAGTACTCATTTCTTACCACATCATTGCAAAATTACAAACAGCCTGGGAGTCCTTCATTTTTATTCTTCACCTTGAGAAGCGTGTGGACAATCTAACTACCAATATCATCCTTTACGTAACTCCTTAACTCCCTTTAAACATTATACTTCGGGCTGGGCGCGGGGGCTCATGCCTGTAATCCCAGGACTTTGGAAGGCTGAGGCGGGCAGATCACGAGGCCAGGAGATTGAGACCGTCCTGGCTAACACGGTGAAGCCCCGTCTCTACTAAAAATGCAAAAAATTAGCTGGGCGTGGTGGCAGGTGCCTGTAGTCCCAGCTACTCGGGAGGCTGAGGCAGGAGGATGGCATGAGCCCGGGAGGCGGAGGTTGCAGTGAGCCGAGATTGCGCCACTGCACTCCAGCCTGGGTGACAGAGCAAGACTCTGTCTCAAAAAAAAAAAAAAAATTATACTTTTGGGCAGGAATTGTGTTGATTCAACCAAATGTAGGCAAGTCTAGCAAGTCTGTGGTTACAACCAGGTTAAGTAAAAACATCTAGGTTGTTTGAGGATACCAGGTGACCATCTCTGCCTTTCTCTAGGTAGACTAGTCTCATCAGCTATTTTCATCATTTGCCCTGTCTGAACCCCAGTTATGTGCAAATCATTTTACTTTAAAAAGACTATATTTTATTGCTTTCTGAGTTTTCAACATTTCAAAAATGCTTTTTTAAAGTCCTATTTCATGCCGGGCACGGTGGCTCACTTTGGGAGGCCAAGGCGGGAGGATCACGAGTTCAAGAGATCAAGACCATCCTGGCCAACATGGTGAAACCCCGTCTCTACTAAAAATACAAAAAGGTGTGGTGGCAGGCGCCTGTGGTCTCAGCTACTCGTTCGGGAGGCTGAGGCAGGAGAATCACTTGAACCCAGGAGGTGGAGGTTGCAGTGAGCGGAGATCCTGCCACTGCACTCCAGCCTGGTGACAGAATGAGACTTTGTCTCAAAAAAAGCAAAAACAATAACAACAACAAAAACAAAAAAAAAGTCCTGTTTCAAAAAATTGTACATATAGACACATCAGTACTTTTTCCTCTCACTCTTTCTCTCTTAACTAATATTTTAGAACTTCATAGCTTTGATAGGCTTCCTGAATATAACTTCCTCTTCATATTTTCCTCACCATAAGAATTTGCTCCTACTCTTTTTTTTTTAATGGGTCCAGTGTATTGATTTAGAAATATATTTTTCCCTTCAAATAAATATAGAAAATGTCATTGCAAAGGACAGAAAGATGTCTAAATTTCAGAGGCTATTTAAATAGCTTTTTCAGTTTAGCAATATTATAATTACTTCTTATTTTTTCCCTTCCTTGTTTGAAGAGTGACACAAACAAGGTAGTCTAAAGTGAATGTCAGGAAAGAGAAGAAAAAGGAAGATAGAGTAAAAAGCTAACCAAGCTGAACTATTCTAACATTAATGCTTACTTCCACATTGCAGGCTTGTACAAAGTGATATAGAATTTTGTAGTTCTTAGGGATATTCAGGGTTCAAATCCTGACCACCCACCACATCACTTAATCTCCTTGTGCCTTAGTCCCTCATTTTTTTTTTTTTTTTTTTGATGGAGTCTCACTCTGTCGCCAGGCTGGAGTGCAGTGGTGCAATCTCCACTCACTGCAACCTCCGCCTCCCAGGTTCAAGTGATTCTCCTGCCTCAGCCTCTCAAGTAACTGAGACTACAGACTCATGCCACTACACCCAGTTAATTTTTGTATTTTTAGTAGAGACGGGGTTTCACCATTTTGGCCAGGATGGTCTCCATCTCTTGACCTTGTGATCCGCCCACCTCGACCTCCCAAAGTGTTGGGATTATAGGCGTGAGCCACCGCGCCCAGCCAGTCTTTCACCTTAAAATGAGACTGATTATCACGTTGTAAGGTTGTTAATGAAGATCAAAAAAGTTGATATGTGAAAAGAAACTAAAATCGCACTATATAAATGTTGGGTTCTCTTTTATTTATGTTAGATTAAATCTGATATATCCAAGTTTGTTTCTCCAATGGCATGTGATCAGAATTTCATCTGTGTAAAAGTTGCAAGGATTTTTTTAATTGATAACTTCACTGAATTAAGAGTTCTACCCTAAGTGATTCAATATTAGATTATGACTCAACCATGATTCAAATGTACATGAAGATATCATTTATACTGATTTCCTTCTGTCTGTGATCCTCATTATGTCAGTTTGGTGAAGTAAATTTAAAGAGTTAAATTTCAGCAGCTGTATGAGTAATGATATTGCACTTCATTTAAAATTGCTACTTGATCCAAGCATTCTGATGGGACACCTGGCAAGGTTAGTTATGCAATAGAAGCTGTGGGCTGGTGGCAAATGCTGGCTGTGAAGTCATGTGTAGTAACCAAATTGATAAAGGACATTTGCTTAAAAATGTTTTGGGGCACGCCTTCGGCCTTTGAACAACTGCAAGCACAGTGGAGTGGAAAGAGTGCAGACATGGGTTTGAGAGTTCTGAACCTGGTCCAGCAGTTCTAAGATCATAGAGTGGAGCAGTAAGGTTCAGACTTGATACAGAGAAAGCATCCAGCACACAGCTAATACCTATGACATTAAGTGGTAGTAGTGTGGGTTAAAATGAATGTCTGATAGTGAATACTAATGAGTAGCCACACAAAGCAGGAATCAGAGACACTTGGTCTTTCCAGTTATTTAATCTTAGATAGAGATTCAGCACTACCCTTTTCTAGGTGGGTGACTTTGAAAAAGTTAATTTAAATATCTAACCTTCAGTTTTATCTCCGGCAAATTGGGAATAATGCTTGGAGAGGTTGTGGTAGAAAAAAATGTTAGAAATATTATGTGTAGTGTGACTAGCTGAATGTGTAACGTAATAAATGCTCAATAAAGAAGCTGGCTTTCCCCGGCAATAGATTTTATATCACTTCTTTCCCTCTATCCCTGCATATTATGTGGGGTGTGCTGAATTCCTACTAACCCTAATAGGAGAGGCATCAGTTTCAAGAGGCCAAAGAAGAAACCCAGAGCCAGCAAATGAGACGTGGGGTACTATTATTATTTTATTATTATTATACTTTAAGTTCTAGGGTACATGTGCACAATGTGCAACTTTGTTACCTATGTATACATGTGCCATGTTGGTGTGCTGCACCCGCTAACTCATCATTTACATTAGGTATATCTCCTAATGCTATCCCTCCCCCATCCCCCCACCCCACAACAGGCCCAGGTGTGTGATGTTCCCCTTCCTGTGTCCAAGTGTTCTCATTGTTCAATTCCTACCTATGAGTGAGAACATGAGGTGTTTGCTTTTCTGTCCTTGCAATAGTTTGCTCAGAATAATGGTTTCTAGCTTCATCCATGTCCCTACAAAGGACATGAACTTATACTTGGGGTATTATCAGGGGTTTACATACAGGGTACAGAATCCAGTGGCGATGAGTTGAACAAGATACCTGCCTTACCTACAGTCTAGTGGTGGCGAGCTAGGCAGCAACACTGCAACCCCCTGCAAAGAGCATGCAGTTTATATGACATTTTCACCTAATACCCTCCCCTTAATTACCTCCTCCTGGTAAGTTTCATTTAACCCAAAACTCAGGAGCTCAATCCCCTGTATGGCCCATGGGTGCTCGGATGTTCCTCATAGACAAGGAATGGATCTCCCGATTGGCCATGCCCAGTTTCCCAAGCACGGAACACACATTCAGATGCCTGTGCCATACAGGGTGAATCTAAGGGTATGCCTAAGTTATTGCTATGGGGTGTGTTTGCCCTACAAGTCCATTTACTTTCATCATAGGAGTCATCATTCAATATCCAAACTTAAATGTATTTGCTTTTGTTTTATATATTTCTTCAGGCCACCTTTTTGGTGACAGCGAGAATTATCCCTATTGTTCTTTTTTTTTTTTTTTTTGAGACGGAGTCGCTCTCTGTTGCCCAGGCTGGAGTGCAGTGGCATGATCTTGGCTCACTGCAACCTCCGCCTCCTGGGTTCAAGCAATTCTTCTGCCTCAACCTCCCAAGTAGCTGGGACTACAGCCGAGTGCCACCACGCCCGGCTAATTTTTATATTTTTTTATTAGAGACGGGGTTTCACCATATTGGCCAGGATGGTCTCAAACTCCTGACCTGGTGATCCACCTGCCTTGGCCTCCCAAAGTGCTGGGATTACAGGCGTGAGCCACTGCACCCAGGCCCTTCTTGTTCTTAACTCTATCCTTAGTATGCTGCACATATAAGTCACATAATAAATGTTGGATAAATGAACAAAATAAATTGTTATTATTACTATTATTATTATTGATTTGGATACCTGAGAGTAAATAAGTCTTTTCAAGCTTTTCATATATGTTTTAATTGTTTTTAGTATTCTACTAGGTGTTGTTTTTTTTTTTTTTTGAGATGGAGTCTCACTCTGTTGCCCAAGCTGAAGTGTAGTAGTGTGGTCTTGGCTCACTGCAACCTCCACCTACAGGGTTCAAGTGATTCTCCTGCCTCAGCCTCCCAAGTAGGTGGGATTACATGCGCCTGCCACCATGCATGTAATTTTTGTATTTTGTTTTTTTTTAAGTAGAGACAGGGTTTCACCATGTTGGCCAGGCTGACCTCAAACTCCTGACCTCAAGTGATCCGCCCGCCTCAGTCTCCCAAAGTGCTGGGATTACAAACACGAGCCATGGGGCCCGGCCTCCACTAGGATTCTTGTCCTGAGTATATTACACTCTAGCAAAATGTTTACAAGCCTTTTTTGCCCTTAGTTTAATAATTCATAATTCATATATTATGCCGTATGGGTCTTATTAATATTAATAGGTCTTGACCTTTCTATACATCTGCACTTGAGTAAGAACTAGCTGCATTTAATGACTGGATTGATGAGACAGGGATTTGTGCCAGTGGAGTTAATTATGGTGACAGGTAGATTTTGGATCAAATAGAAAAAGCTACCATTGTTTTCAAGAGATTATTGGCCCAATCATCACAGGTGCCAAGAAATTTAATTGAAAGGCTTCCTAAAAATCTTCTGACCTCTCCTGACCTCATTACACCTGCCAGGAGGCAACAAGGGCTATTGGAAGGAGAAAGTGAAGATGGGAAAGAAATGGAAGAGATTCCAATTTCGAATTTGTTTCCTGAGAAACAAAACAAAATAAAACTGTTCATTGACAGTTTGGTCTTTTTGTCTCTTGTTTGTTATATCATGCTCTAGGTTTTTATAATATCACATTAAATTCGGTGATTTATGTTACCATATATTTTAAGTTTATAATTAAAGTATCAGCTAACAGATTCTGCTTAAAGTGTGTTATGTAAATTATCTTACCCTGCCACAAAATCTTCTATGATATATGTGTGTGTGTGTATATATATATATATATATATATATATATATATATTTTTTTTTTTTTTTTTTTTTTTTGAGACAGAGTCTCACTCTGTCACCAGGGTGGAATGCAGTGGCATGATCTCAGCTCACTGCAACCTCTGCGTCCTGGATTCAAGTGATTCTCCTGCCTCAGCTTCCTGAGTAGCTGGGAATACAGGTGCACTCCACCATGCCCAGCTAATTTTTGTATTTTTAGTAGAGACGGGGTTCCACCATGTTGGCCAGGATGGTCTCGATCTCTTGACCTTGTGATCCACCCGCCTCAGCCTCCCAAAGTGCTGGGATTACAGGCGTGAGCCACCGCGCCTGGCCTCTTCTATGGCATTATTAACATCATGTCCATTTTAGAGATGACGAGGCTTAGAGTAATATGCCCAAGGTGTCACAGGTGCTAGATAATTGTGTGGCGATTTGAACACAGGTGAGCCCACAGGTGTAATCACACTACAGGGGTTCACAAGCTGTGATCCAGCAACCCTAGCTTAAACTTGCTAGGAATGCATATTTTCTGCCTCACCTTAGACTTACTGAGCTAGAAACTCTGAGTGGGAGCCAGAAATCTGTATTCTATGTGACTCTAAGGCAAACTGATATTTGGGAACCACTTCTATATTGTCTTCTCCTCTGCATGGATGTAATTAAAATGTATATTTGCTAATCATTCACCAATAACTTGAATTACTTTACTATCTTCTCAAATCAGTGTCCTTATTTGAATTAAACTCAGCCCAGTATATGTAAATTACTGAGTTAATATCTTTGTCATGTTAAAAAATAAAGCATTCAAGTGTCAATTACAAACATACATAAAGAAAAGTAGTATATCCCCTCATTAAAGGCAATTAGCCTCTCTTAATAGAATTCCTAGAAAGATATTGGAGTTGGAATTGTACGGATTTAAATTACAGATCTCAGGCAAATGTTTAACTATGATATTGGAAAGTGGGAGATTAAATGTTCATTTATGTATGCAAACAGGCAGAGATGCAATTACACAGATTCCAATGCTGGTTTACACAGTCTAGGCAAAAGACCAGTTTATTTGTGTATCAATTTTTCTTCGGAGGCCATAGCATGTCGGTCTCTGTCTGAAATAGAAAATATATGAGTTAAAAAGAAACCATGATCCAGCAATTACTGCTAGGTATTTACCAAGAGACATGAAAGCGTATGTCCCCACAAAGTCTTATACAGCAATGCTTACAGCAACATATTTGCCCCAAACTGGGAACAACCCAAATGTTCAGAGCAGGTGAATGAATAAACTGTGGAATATCCTAAAATAGTCTACAACTCAGCAATAAAAAGAAAGTAATCGATGCTCACAACAACATAGATGAATCTCAAGCTAATTATGCTGAAAAAGTCAGACTGTAGAGATCACATAATGTATTATTCTTTTCATATAAAATTCTAGATAATGCAAAGTAATGTATAGAGACAGAAAACAGATCAGATTTTCTGGGAAGTAGGTTGATGATGGAGCAGGTAGGTGTAGAAAGGGGCTAATGATATGTTGAGTATCTTGATTGTGAATATGGATGCATAAACTGTGTATACTTATATATGTCAAAAGCTATTGCTTGTACAGCTTTAACATGTATGGTTCATTGTATATCAGTTACACCTCAATACAACTTTTAAACATTTCAATTTAAATAGTTACATGTGGATAATGGCTACAGTCTATGTAGAAAAAATATAATGACTCACCATCAGTTGTGGTGACTTCAACATCCACATAAATGACTCACCCCAATCCTGGTGCTCCTGTTGTTTGACCTCCTTATTTCCACCAACTCTTTCCCTCACTCCATTTCTGCTACCTACTGCTATAGTCATACCTAAGACCAGCACTTTACAAACTGCAAGCCATAACCCAACAATACGTCTAAAATATAGTAGGTTGCAACCTGCAATTTTTAATGAAATAGAATAGATGGGAAATACCAGAGTATTTCTGGCATTATCTTAGTGTGTCTCAGTGGTAATGATCAGTAGTGTTTTGTGAAACTTAATTATACACGTAGGGATGTAAGCATGTGTATGTATATTGAATTGCATGTAAGATTTTTTACTGTAGGTTGCCGGGCGCGGTGGCTCACGCCTGTAATCCCAGCACTTTGGGAGGCCGAGGCAGGTGGATCATTTGAGGTCAGGAGTTCGAGACCAGCCTGACCAACATGGTGAAAACCCATCTCTACTAAAAATACAAAAATTAGCCAGGCGTGTTGGTACACGCCTGTAATCCCAGCTACTCAGGAGGCTGAGGCAGGAGAATTGCTTGAACTGGGGAGGTGGAGCTTGCAGTGAGCCGAGATGGAGCCACTGCACTCCAGCCTGGGTGACAGAGCAAGACTCCATCTCAAAAAAAAAAAAAGAAAAGAAAAGAAAAGAAAAAAGATTTTTTACCATAAGTTAAAGTCAAAAAAATTCCAACATTACTGCCTTGTCATCATTACCCATAACTGTACTATCTCCAAAAGCCCTCAAATCATTGCATCCTATTTTTATTCATTCCTCACATGTGTATGTTGATTCTTCTGTTTCCACTGTTTGATATTTCCTTGTTTTTTTTTTTTGGTTTGTTTTGTTTGTTTTTTTGAGATGGAGCTGCGCTCTTTGTTGCCCAGGCTGGAGTGCAGTGGCACAATCTCGGCTCACCGCAACCCCTGCCTCCCAGGTTCAAGCGATTCTCCTGTTTCAGCCTCCCAAGTAGCTGGGATTATAGGCGCCTGCCACCACGCCAGGCTAATTTTTGTATTTTTAGTAAAGATGGGATTTCACCATGTTGGCCAGGCTGGTCTCAAACTCCTGGCTTCAGGTGATCCAAATCCACCCTCCTCAGCCTCCCAAAGTGCTGGGATTACAGGCGTGAGCCACAGCGCCTGGCCTCTGGTGTCTTTTCCTTTCTCCCAATCAGCTCAGATTCCACAGTTTTTCTTACAATCTCTTCCATCTCTCCCATGTTTCCTCCTTAAATTCCCTTTCTTCTTTTACTTCATAGTTATTTGTTTAAAAAATTACACCTTGGTTGGTCCCAAATCTTGATCTATTTCAACCTACACTCAGGCATCTGAACACAGCTCAAGAAAATGCAAATGAAACTGGGCTGATGAGTTGTATTAAAAAGTTTGTGAGCACAAATGCCAGGTGGGCTGTCTTTTCTGAAGTTCCCAGAAAATTCACTTTCCCCCTTAATTTCACGTCTTCTGTCCCTACCTCAAGAACACACCTTCTGTCCCTACCTCAAGCCTCCTCCAGCAGCAACCCTATAAGCCTGCCTTGAAAAAACAGAAATGAACAGTGAAACACCAGTATGAGAAAAGCGCATTCGAGGTCTTGGTGAGATAAAATAAATACTGAAATAGGATTTCCTGAGTAAGTTAGCATGAACAATAGAAGGTGATGGAATGGTTAAAATGAAAGTTACGTAAGAGAATTCCATGCCTCATCTTCCTCTACCACCAAATGTCAGATTCACCTGTACCTGTACCCATATACTTTGCCTTAATCTACCTGTGCCCCGGGCCATTTTCTCTTCTTGGGTATGAGATCTTTTTACTTCTCACCTACCCCAGTATGAAAACTGAATCAGCTTTATCTTGGATGCTAATCACCATGTTGACTTCTGATGAACCCCTGTTCCTGGAAGATCTCTAAGGTTTCCAGTTTATCTATTCCTCCTTATATAAGAATGCCTCCTTACTGTAAATCCTGCCCTTAGATCAAACAACACTGATATTGTCATACTTCAGTTGTCCTACATATCCCTTCTGAATTACCCTTTTCCAGTGGTATATAAGCCCTGGCTCTGGGGAGTAATGGCACCAGGATCCACCATTTTGCCTTGACATTACCTGGGACACAGACTTGGCTTCTGTGTGTAAGTCCCTATGAACTGTTTCTTTCTAAGAAGCTGGATTTGTCAGCCTCTTTTTTTAAGGCTATCAGCTTCCTTGGACTTTGGGGTAGGTTTGCCCACTGTGAAACACCAAGGCCTTAGTTCCTGTAATTGTGTCCTTCCCTTATGGACTGAGTCATTCTTGTCAACATGAAATATAACATATAACATACAACATACAACAGATCTCATCTTTCAAAAAATCTCCTCAACCTTCCCTTCCAGTTTCCAGCCTATTTCTCTGCCCTCCCTTGTTTGCCAAACTTTTCTCTAGCTTACCTAGAATGCTCTTCCTCTCAATTGGAGCATTGCCATCAAGAAACACACATGCTACACGTGTTCCTTTTCCATCTGAAAAAGATGAAGCCCTCTCTAGATCTCACTATAATAATTTAATGAAACCATTATTGCCAAGCTAAGGAATAAATTACATCTTGCTAAACTCTATTTCTTATGTCTAATTCTACTTGGTTAATAACACCACTGGACCCAGTAGACACAGCTGATCTTTCTTGAAACTAGTTTTTCCTCCACCTCATTATGCTAGACTTATTTTCCTCTAACCCCACGGACTGCTTCTTCTTGTGTTTCTTTTCTGGCTTCATAATATGGTTTGAGTGCGTCCCCTCTAAAATTCAGGTATTGCCAATGTGATAGTGTTAAAAGGTGAGGCCTTTAAGAGGTGGTTAGGTCATGAGGGTGCCTGCCTTGTAAATGGGATTAAGGCCCTTATAAAAGAGGCTTCTCGATTGAAACCATCCTGGCCAATATGGTGAAGCCCCGTCTCTACTAAAATACAAAAAATTAGCTGGATATGGTGGCACGTGCCTGTATTCCCAGCTACTCACGAGGCTGAGGCAGGGGAATCACTTGAACCTGGGAGGCAGAAGTTGCAGTGAGAGGAGGTTGCAGTGAGCCGAGATCTTGCTGCTGCACTCCAGCCTGGCAACAGAGCAAGACTCCGTCAAAAAAAAAAAAAATTCCTCCACACAGAAAGTGGCCTTTGCTTTTGCTTCTCTCACTTTTTGCCATGTAAGGACACAGTGCTCCTCCCCTCTGGAGGCTGCAGCATTTAAGCTGCTGTCTTGGAAACAGACCAGACTCTGCAGCGCCTTGTTCTTGGACTTTCCAGCCTCCAGAACTGTGAGAAAATAAAGTTCTCTCCATCATAAAATAGTCAGTCTTGAGTATTTTCTTATAGCAGCATGAATAGACTAAGATACTCTTCTTTCTTTTCCTAATTTTATGTGGGAATATTCCAGGTCTCAGACCTTGGTCTTCTTCACTTTTCTACTTATACTGTTTTATGCTCTCTTCTCAGGACAAAATTAAATTTATTTCCATGGTGTTAAATGCAATCAGGGCCAGGTGTGGTGGCTCACACCTGTAATCCTAGCACTTTGGGAAGCCAGGGTGGGAGGATCACTTGAGGTCAGGAGTTTGAGATCAGCCTGGCCAACATAGTGAAACCCCATCTCAGCTAAGAATACCAAAATTAGCTGAGCGTGGTGGCACATGCCCGTAGTCCCAGCTCTTCGAAAGGCCAAGGCAGGTAAATCACTTGAACCTGGGAGGCAGAGGTTGCAGTGAACTGAGATCACACCATTGCACTCTAGCCTGGGCGACAGAGGGAGACTCCATCTCAAAATAAATAAAAATAAATAAATGCAATTAGTAAGTTGGTGGATCCCACATTTACATCTCTAATCTGAGTTTATATTCTGATCTTCAGATTTATATTTATTTGACATCTCCGCCTAGATATCTAACAAGCACCTCAAACTTAGTATGACCAAATCTCTATATTTGATTTTTGCTTCTGAACCATTCTACCCGGAACCATTCAGTAGCCATTTTGCACTATCTCTGTTTCTCTAAATATTTACTTAAATGGCATAATCATTCTCTGAGTTGCTCAGGCCAAAGACCTAGAAGCCATCTTTGATTTTTCCCTTTTTTCTTATACACCACATTGCATCCATCAGCAGATTCATTTGCTCTCCCTCCAAAATATATTTCAAATATCCTCTCTTATCAGTGTCTTCATCAATAACACTCTAGTTTCTCTCCCAGAAAACAAGTCTCTACACTGATATTCTTGCTCCTTCTCTTGTTCCTATAAAGTTCCTTCCATATGCATTGCTACAGTAATCTTTTCAATAAGTAAATTGTAATATATTACTCTTATTCAAAATCCCTCAATATTTAACCATAACAACTAGAAAGATCTCTATACTGCTTCCCCTGTTTTAAAAGAAGTAAATGATCAAGCCCATATTTATCTAATTTCGTATGTGTTTAATGAATAAATGAATGAGTGAACACATACATAAACGGAAAAATAAACAAAATGAGTAAATAAAGACAACAGAGTTTCATGCTTATGAGCATGGGCTCTGGTATTAGATTACTTGCGGTCATATTTTGGATTCAAAAAATAATTATGGGATCGAGAGGATTTAACTCTGTCTGCAAGGACTGTTTTGATTCTAAGTGATAGAAAATCATCTCAACTAGCCTAAACAAACAAAAAAGAGAGAATTTATTGACTTCTATCACCAGAAAATTCAAGGGCTGATTCTGGCTTCAGGCACATTTTGCTGTAAGTGCTCAGATGATATTATTAGGAATATGTCTCATTTTCTCCATAAATCACCAATGGTATCCTTGTATTGTCTTCAATCTTAGGCTAACCTTATCCAAAATGAGGAAAGAGTTATCTGTTTTCATTTTGTTTTATAGCTAGAGAGTCCATGAAAAAGAGTATTTTTCTTTCTTTTTGTTTGGAGAGTTCCAGCAGAAGTTTTAGGGAAGACTCCAATGGACTGAATTTGGGCAACTTGCCTCATCCTGATCCTATCACTGTGGCCAAGAAAGAGTTAGCCCTGCCTCATGTGTCCACTCACCCTTCTGGTCAGGCAGGATCCACGTTTCCCAAAACACACGGACTAAGAATGGCGGTGTGTTGGCTACCCAAAGACATGCTTCACTTCCCTCACATGTAAAATGGGACAAGAGAGTTCCCACTTCTTAGAATTGTTATGATGATTAAATGGGATGTTATATATAAGTTTTATTGCACTGTGCCTGGCAAAAGACAAGTCATCTGTTAGTGTCAGTTAGATACAAACAGCACATAGAAAACCTTTGGGATGTGGACAATGTTCCATTCAGAAAAAAACTTAAAATCCTAAACACTTCCATCACCAAAAAAGAAAAAAGAAAAATAAATAAAATATGATCTTTGTTCTTGCTCAAAATTCTAAAACAGCACAAGATGCATCTAAGAAAAGAAGAAAGAAAATAACAAAGTTACAAGCAAAAAAAAAAATCAATGAATTGGAAAATAGGAAATGATAGATATAGTTCTCAGTTGCTTTTGTGAACAAAATAAATAAATATGTATAACTCTGGCAAGCTTAATAATAAAGCTGAAAGCAAGTTACTAAATGAGAATTAAAATAATGACATAAATAGATACAATATTTTTAAAAATTAGAATGGGGTGCATACACTATTTGGTAAATATAATAATTTTAGCTTTTTTTAATGTTTATTAAGTAATTATGCTAATAAAACATTGTTATTATGGAAAGAAAACAATTAAGTATAGCAAAACAAGAATGCCTTTTTTTCCACATTCTTTCCCTCTTACTCTCCTTCTTAAAGACTGAACCCGGGAGGCGGAGGTTGCAGTGAGCTGAGATTGTGCCATTGCACTCCAGCCTGGACAACAAGAGCTAAACTCTGTCTCAAAACAAACAAAAAAACAAACAAGCAAACACACCACTGTCAAGGGTTGGGTGTTCATTCTTTTTCCCCACTGAAGCATTTACATGTTTTCCATGTCAGATGGGAAAAATCTACATCTGAGGTTATTCTGTCTGTACTCCTCTGGAACTTGCTTTTTCACTTAAACAAATGTGTTGATGAAAAACTCAGTTAATGACATATGGATCTAACTCACCCAATTTTACACCCTCAGAGTGTTTCCCAGGAAGGTTGCCTTTTAATTTATTCAATCACCCCTCTATTGATGGATATTTAGGATGTCATCAATTTTGCTGTTACAAACAACAAGGAAATTGAGCATCTCTGCATAAACATCTTTGAATACAAGTGCAAGTATTTCTTTAGCATAAATTTCTGGAGGGATTTATCATTTCTATTTCTATAGAGGGTGGCAAATTGCCTTCCTAGAAGTCAACACAAATGTACTTTTCCTGTAACTCTTTCAGATTTTCTATTTCCTGTTTGTCTTTGAAAACATTTTCTATAACCCATGTTTTTATTCGGCCAGTATGTGGGGCCACCTAATAACTAACTCCTTTCACACATTTCACCACTCCCCAGAAGCAATTTCTACCTCTCATCGGTCAGAAGAATAAAAAACAAAGATGGTCTCTCTGTTTTATCTCACCAGACTTGAGAATATTTGTAAAAATCATCAGGATTATGCCAATTTTCCAGAAGGCATAGAAGCAGAATTAAGCTTGACTCCCCAGCTCTGTTCTAGTTAAATGAGATTTCCTCTCTTTTCCTTTTATTTTAATTGATGGATTTTAAAATGGGAGAGAGGTAAATTATTTCTTCATGTTCATCAATTCCTTTAATGGGAAAGAGATTTACTGTGTAGAAATTTCAGTCATAAGGTGGATGCCTACCTCTTTTCTAGGAGTGTAATAACCTCTTGATCCTCTCTGATATTAATTTTACTTATTGAAAGTGTTTTTGCTGTTGTTGTTTCCTCTGTTAGCTATTTTATCTCCAGGTGTTTCTTCTTTTAATCCAATTAAGTATTGACCTTTCCCGTTGGTTCAAATTAGGTGGAACTCAATGCCGTTACTGATGTCTAACTGTTTTGTAACCCATAAAAATGGCTATTTCACTTGTTCAGCCTAACATTTGGCAAGTCTTGTAAGAGTCCTTGTTTTCATGCCTCTTTTTCTCTATGTAGTTTGGTCACTGTGATAAGGGATTGGAGCTCTGGCCAGCTTGGCCCGTGAGGACCAGAATGTCTGAGGGTTTTTCCACTTCCGGGCCACACGAGGGCACACTGTGGGTGAGAGGGTAGGGGAAAGGGTTGCATCACCCTGAAGAATGGCCCCTCTGTGTTTGGAACCCACCCCTTGACTGTGGCATTGTAATCACATGAGACCACTCTCATCTCTGTAATGGTTTTCTCCGACATTATTTGGACAGACAGTTGGCTCCACATACCTTATCTATGCTCCATCTTGCTTTCATCCATTCTGCAACATTTCTAGTCTACTTGTTACTATTTTTCCTCCCCCTCCACCTAAACTAATAGATTCACTTTGAGTGGGTAGGAACATGGAGGAGTGTGTTCAGTTTACCATCTTGTTCTGACTTCTCATGAATGATTTTAAGGAATAATTACTGATTCAAGAAATGGTAGAAAATTTTAATAAAACAACCATGAACAAATATTTAATTGCCAATTAAGGCTCCAGACCTGAATTGATTTATGAATAATTTTTATATTACCCGCAAGAAATATATAATCCACAAGTAATTTATATTTCTTGGAAAAACAGAAAAAAAGTAAACAACTACAACAACAAAAATTTAAAGTTTATATGTCATTTTAGAAATTTGCCTTAATCATTAAAATATACCTGGCAAAAATTGGATACAACAAAACCTGGTCTTTTGAATAAATATAGCTGCAAATGTCCCAAATAATATCCTAGCAAAACACATACAATAGCAAAATGATAATAATAATATCACATTACCAAGTATGGGGATATGTGTACACTTCAACATTAAAACAAATTGATGTAATATAAAATGCTACTAGATCACAGAAAGCAAAAAAGCGAGTATCCCAATAGTTGTAAAAGGCATTAAACAAAATCCAACTATTTGTAAAATGTGTATTTTTAATATTAGCAATAAAGTTAGCTAATTCCTTAATTGGATGAAGAATGTGTAGGAGAAAAAGAACAAATGTCATTCCTAAAGATCCAACTATAGAAACATCCTCATTATTAACATAAAACATAAGAAGGATACCTGCTATTTTACTATTATTTTATACTCTTCTTATACTTGTAACCAATGCAACATGACCAAAAAAATGAATGAGTTAGACTTTTTGGAAAGAAGATTTAAAATTTTCATCATCTATAGATTAGAAAATTGTCTACTGGAAACCATTGAAACAAATAGAAGGGCCTGGTAAAGACGAAAATTATTGAATGTATATGTGGAAAAGTTAATAGCTTATTTATATATCAGTGAAACATTGTGAAAAATATTATAGGGAAAAGATTTATTCACAAAACAATTGTATACCTAAATGACTTAGGAATCACCATAACAAATGATGCAGGAATTTTATGAAGATACAGAAAAATTTTTCCTCTGTGATGAACTAGGTTAATTGAATGAGGCAAAAAAGGTATACCATGTTCGTGGAAGGAATTATATTATATTATAAATATGTGAATCCCCTCAAGCAATATATAAATGTAATAACAGTTCAATAAAAATGTAAGTATTGGGGGGGTACTTGATCTTATAAACCTAAAATTTCTAGGAAAATAAATACATAAAGATAGCTGAGACATTTTGAAATGCCAGTGTCTCAGTTGGAGCTTAAACAATAAACATTTGTTTCTCACAGTTTCAGAGGCTGGAAGCCAGCATGGTTGGGTTCTGGTAAGGGCTCTCTTCCTTGTTTATAGGTGGCTGCCTTCTTGCTGTGTCCTCTCATGGTAGAGGCAAAGATCATCTTCCTTACGTCTCTTCTAATAAGGGCATTAATCTCATTCATGAGGGCCCCACCCTCATGGCCTCACAAGGGTCCCATCTCTAAATACCAACATATTAGAGATTAGAGCTTTAACATAGGAATTTGAGGGAGAGACATTTAGTCCATAGAAGGTGGTTTAGGGTTTGGAGTCATAAGATGAATTGTATAATACTAGGATAATATGTGGTTCTGATTAAAATGACAGATTAATGGAACAAAATAAAATGGCTCAGGATTCAGACATGTGACAAACATAAGATAAATGTATCATTTCAAGTCAGTAAGGAAAGACTAGGTATCAGGAAAACTACTTCATTATTTGGGGGAAAAAAAAGGTTAGACTGTTACCTTACAACAAATAGAGAAATTGATTAGGTAAAAAATTTTACTCAGAATTGCTTTCTCAGTAACTCTCCCTAATCTTACCTTTTTCTTTGGGATGTTTAATACATCAGTTTGAATTTCTCTGCCTATTCACAAAGAGATCTAATCATATACAAGCAAAATAGGGTCTATCTTTTGTCTCGACATGACTATGTCTAAAAATGCTATTTTTTCCTTTGTAAATGGGGTTTCGTGATTTTTTTTTTTTTTTTTTTTTTTTTTCAGAAAGGGTCTTGCTTTGTCATCCAGCCTAGGGTGCAGTGGCACAATTATAGCTCATTGGAATCTCAACATCCCACACCCAAGCATTCCTCCCACCTCAGTCTCTGGGGTAGTTGGGACCATAGGGTCATGCCACCTTGCCTGCCTAATTAAAACAAAAAAAAAGAAAAGAAAAATTGGTAGAATCAGGGTCTCACTATGTTGCCCAAACTGTTTTCAAACTCCTGGGTCCAAGTGATCCTCCTGTCTTGGCTTCCCAAAGTACTGGAATTATAAGCACAAGGCATAGCACTTGGCCCTAAATGAGTCTTAAAAAGTTGTGTTCTTAGATAGTCTGGGATTTTAGTCATTCTAAGTCCTTTAAAAGAATATGGTCTGTGTCGGAGGTCAAGCTGTAAAAAGCTTAGAGGTGAGTTTGAGCTTTTAGTGTTTAATTAGTAAAGTTAAGCATTATCTTCATAGCCCCAGCTAATACAATTCCAGCAGTTAAAGGGCAGGGTGTTAAAGAGATGAGGCTATAAAATGCTCCCTTTTTTGGATAGGAAATAAAAGATACCTTCAGAGTAGTAACACTGGCAAAATCAATCTCTCTCTCACTCCAGGAATTATGAGAAGGGGTTAAGTTTGCAGGAAAATCAACTATAGGCCTTTTCTAGGAAATGACAAAAGTTAGAATGAGCAGAAGCTCTGGGAGAAGAAAACTTTGGGGGGTTTTAACATTTTGAGGATGTTTCTATTAGTCCTAAAAGTGTGAAAGAAACAGAACAAGGAACTGCAGATTGAGTTGAAAAAGTGTGTTTTAGTCTGAGATAAAATAAGAGTATCTTTTATGAGTAAGTTGTGTTAAGTAGGACAATGCCCAGCCTAAGGATTAATATTGGCTTTGGAGTTAGGCAGAGGTGTGAGAGAGCTTGATCATGTCACCTCCCAGCTGTGCAACTTCTGGCATGTTTGCTCATCCTCTTTGGACCTCAATATCCCCAGCTGTCAAATGGGGCTAATACAACTTACACACAAGGAGGCCCTGGGAGGACTCAGTGAGATAATGGTTGCAAGGCACTTAACACAGTGCTTGACAGATAGTAAAAGCTAAAAATAATTAGCTATTATTATTAATTGTATTGACTAATTATTGCATCATTATTATTATTATTATTATTATTATTTTGAGGTGGAATTTCACTCTTGTTGCCCAAGCTGGAGTGAAATGGCGCAATCTCGACTCAACACAACCTCCACCTCCCGGGTTCAAGCGATTCTCCCTGCCTCAGCCTTCCCGAGTAGCTGGGATTACAGGCATATGCCACCACACATGGCTAATTTTGTACTTTTAGTAGAGACAGGGTTTCTCCATGTTGGTCAGGCTGGTCTCGAACTCCCGACCTCAGGTGATCTGCCTGCCTCGGCCTCCCAAAGTGCTGGGATTACAGGTGTGAGCCACCGTGCCCAGCCTATTGCATTATTAATTAGCTATTATTATTAATTGCATAGTCACGTGTGCTGTGGCTTGAATTCGGTCCTCCCAAAAGATACCTTTAAGTCCCAGCCCTCAGTACCTACGAATGTGACTTTATTTGGAAAGAATCTTTGCAAATTAAGATTTAAATTAAGATGAGGTCATACTGGATTAGGGCGGGCCCTAAATCCAATCACCTGTATCCTTAATAGAAGGGACACAGGCACACAGACAGGGAAGATGATCATATGCAGAAATTGAAGTAACACATCTACAGGCAGAAACATCAAGGGATGCTAGCAGGCACTAGAAGCTGGGAAGTAAGGAACAGGTAAGGAAACATCCTTCCCTAGAGCTTTCAGAGGGAGCATGCCCTGTCAACACCTTGATTTTGACTTTTAGTCTGCAGAGCTAAGAGAAAATAAATTTCAATTGTTTTAACACACCTAGTTTTTGGTAATTCGTTACAGCAGTTCTAGGAAATGAATATAGTACTTAATCTTTCACTTTAATTGCTTAACAATATGCCTGGAAAAGCTATATTACTGTACAGAAAATAATAACTAAAAATGTACATTTATTTAACTGTTGTTCTATATGTGTTTTCATTTAAAAAAAAATTGATGCAATCATTCTGTCCCAGAAGTTTCAGTACAATTTGAAAAGAAATATTAGACAAGGCAAGAGAGGAGATGGACATTAGTGCTTTGGGGTTGACATCATTTAGATTTTTGTCTCCAATGGCAAAAATGCAATGGAGGATGAAGCAGTGAAGGGAAGAGTGTTGCAAATAGTACTGTAAGAGTCTGAGCCCATATCTGACCTGGAATAAAAACCGCATGGGACACAGAAAATAAAACTTCTCTTCTTGGTAGCCACTGTCTACTTCGTTTTCAGTTACCCAACTGTGCACCAAGCCTTCTGTGATTTTGCAGATAATGCAATATTTTCCATCATCTCTAAAATATCATTTATTTTCTACCATCTCCAGGGGGTTTATGTGCTTTATGAACTAACCTGCTCAAGGTAAAATTTGCTTAAGTGGAATATTAAATAACCTGAGGGGCACCTGCAATGATTATTCTAATTACAGTTAATATTCAGGCTCAGCTGTATTCGTCATTTTTTTTTCTACTTAAAAAAAAATCAATTACTAGCAGGAGAAATGAGATGGGTCCTAAGAGAACAATCATTTCAAACTTCTTGCAGGAAATATAAAGCTATTCATATTAATGTGTGTCTATATACTTGTGTATGATGTGTCCCTGTCTCCACTAGGTATTCCAGAAATAAAGAGGAAATTATTTTGGCAATGAGTGTAGAAGAGAGCCCTGACTTGAAAGTATAGCAATTCTTAAAAGCTCTGTAAATATTTATTAACTTAATTAAATAAGAGCTGTTTAGACTGCAGGAGATTGAACCATCCATACTTTAAAAATGTATTTAATTCTGATTAAGTATATATGCATAAAACTACCAGTAATTAATCTTTCACTCTGAATGTTTAATCATATAACTCAAAAATCTATAGTGTGTAGAAAATAATTAGAACTAAAAAGAAAAAAATCATTTGTTGAAAAAGGTGGCATGGATGGATGTTTTAAGGTATGCCTTGTAGGTTCCCATTAGTAAATTCATTTAGTAAACTCCTTCAGTGACTGTTGCAGACACAAAATATTGGGTAGGACAATCAGGTATGTAAAAATTAACTTTCTCGTGCTTTTTGAAAATTGAACTGAATTTCCATTTTCAGGGCCCGTTTTTCTTGGTCCATTCCGGGTAATCTCAGGGTCTCTCCCCTACCCCCACCTCACAGCCTTTATCATTTCCTCTGATCTTGCCCCCAGGTCTCCTGAGTGGTCTTAGAGAATGCCAAGACATCACAGGGAATCTGGCTTTGGCTGCCATTATTCATACATGGGCCATCTGGCCCTTGGTCACCACTCCATAGTGATCACAGCTGTATCAGTTACAGAGACCCTGGCTTCTCCAGACCTGGCTACTTTTTAGTTGTTTCTGTGCCTTTTCCATTTTGGAGCTTTGAGGGGCCCCTGGAGAGTGGTTGGAAGTGCTACATCACATGTGTTCTTTTTTTCTGCAATCATGACTCTCTGGGGCTCTTTGAGACTCACCCCTTCCCTTGGCCCTCCTACAGGCCTCCTTTGCTTTCACATTCCCTCAGGCTATCTCAGGACCCATGTCTTTGCTCCAGCTTCTGCTAGACTTGTGGCTTAGAAATGGTTCCTGCTTAGGAACCAGCAACATTTCACTCTCACTTTCCCCCTAACTTACCTCCCCCTCCTGAAACACAAGGAATGTTTTTAAGCCTCCTCTAGAGATGGGGAACAAAGAAAACTAACTCAAACTCCTCTTACTTTTCAGGTCTAGTATATACACCCACCTCCTTCAAAAGATCACCTAAAGATTAGTTTTTAATCTACTGTGAAAAACATATGGTACCTTTAAAATAAAGGAGTACCAATATTATAATAAAACAAAAAAAGTGTGGTTCTCTACTTTCAGAAAACAAATTGAGAAGAGAACAAAGAAAATAACCACATCACCCTCATTGAATCAACTTTTAGCAATATGCTACTTATTTCAATATGTCTCATTTTCCAACTATGAGTTTTTCTTTCTTCTGATGCTTTGTTTTTTTTGTATCCAATTTTGAAAACCTGGATGCTGTACAGGAGACTCAAACATGTCTCTTGACCTTTTTGCACACTAATTTATTTTTAAATGAAGTATATTTCAAAACCTGCACCCATTTCTTGCATATATCACAGAGTAGGAAAGAATTTACTCAAACATGTCACTTGACCTTTTTGCACTCTAATTTATTTTTAAATGAGGTATATTTCAAAACCTGTACCCATTTCTTGCATATATCACAGAATAGGAAAGAATTTACTCAGGGTACAAGCAAGAAGCATGAGGCAATCTCTATGTAATTATAAACCTTTTCAATTATTTTTGGCCAAATCAATAATTCATGAAAATTGCCATTTGTGAGGACCTTAGTTAAATCCCTATTCCTTGGGGAAAGTGGGCCCTTCGAGAAATAACAGAACAAAGAAAATTCCAGATATTTGGTGAAATATCCCCCCACCTGGTTTCAAAGTAAACCAGGCCCTCACTATATGCAGCTGAGGCCCCAATATGTTCACAAAACATTCATCCTCTGAGGTTCCTGATAATAGCAATCCCTATAAAGCTGAGGATTGTGTTTGCTGATGTGTGTTCCTCAGAACAATGAATGTTACCAGATAGGGCATAGACAAAGAGATCCCGTGGTCCTAAAGCTTGGAAAATGTTGAATTCAACTAGTATCTTTACTGCAACATCATCTCAGAGACTGTAATATGCTAATGTTTATCAGGAATGTTCAAGAGGGGATATGGTCTCCCAAATTTATTTCATCACAGCGTAATTTTTTATGGGACACTTTTCAGGATAAAGATTACACCCGGGGAAATGCTGGCCTCTTTCAATACTGGAAGTGACAGGAAAAAAACCTGAGCATCCACTCAGAGAAAGACCTGCTAGGAAAACCCTGGTGCTGTGTGTAATACCCAGCCTTTAGTAAATATCAGCCTTGTTTCCTCTCCCTTCCTCATCATCCCTCTGGTCCAAACTACAAAGAGTTTTGGTCATAATATTGGTAAAAGCAATTCTTACCATGGGTAATAATTTTCATTTGTTTTGTTTCTCAACCTGGGACACCCACGTTGCTTATATTCATCTGCAAAAATCTTACTTCTACAAGGGCCTATTTAAATTTCACTTATTTAGAAATTCTTGGTGATCTCTCTCTCATTTTATTCGAACTCACACTCAATAATAACTCACAGTTTAGCAATTGATAGATTTTTAATCATCATTTCACCCAAGACTGAGGAAAGAATTTTGCCCCCAACATGAGATTAATAAGAATTGTGTATGGTTTAGACAGCAATTGAAATAGTCACTGTGACTTCATTTCAGGCCTGCTTCGTCCTACAGTGAGAGCTGACTTGTGACCAAAGCTGTAGCTTCGATTCTAAAAGTGACTTGACCCAACCTCTGTCCCTGCTTGCCCTCTTGTCTGCTGCCCACTCAGAGCTACCCCTCCTGGCACATCCCCAAGTCAATTTGGAGCAGGGCATCAGCATGCCTGACTGCAAAGACAGAAGATGAAACCAGCCAGTAAATAAACACAAGGCCAACTGTGAAGGAACCATTCAATGGCAATACTTGGAGTGGCTTTTGATTTCTGCTTTTCTTTCACCTGCTTTATCTACCCCATCACAGAGTTTTCTGCTTCTTTCTTTGGAAGATAGTTTAGATTTTTCTATTTGCACGCTCTGCTGACAGCATAGTTTGGGCTGATATGATTTCATGCCTGGCACCTAACTATAGCATCTCCACTGGGTTATCTACTTCAAGTTTTTCCAATGCATCCAGCATGCAGCCCTCAAAGCAATTTTCTAAAATGCTAACTTCATTATTCCTGGGATTGAGAACAAGAAATCAGACACCTGAATTTGAGCACTGAACATCCTGAGGTCCTATTTTTGTTTGTTTGTTTATTTTTATGTGCTTTGACTCTCAATAAACCCAAGGTTTTGGGACCAGGTAGCTTTCTATCCCAAGCAAGTCCGGATCAGTCCTTTTTTTTCTCCTAATATTGTTGGGATTAAAATAAGTTCAGAGAAGCAAATGGTTTTCATTCATGAACAATAAAGCTTTTGAAAACTATATTGGAATGAGTTGCACATAAAATCCAAAGCAACGGGTATATTTGTTATATAAGAATAATCAATTAGACTTCAAAAGCAAACACTCCTGTTTTATAGTCAATAATTTAGTAATGTGTTAAACTCCTATTAGAGTAAATAAAAATGGCTGTTTAAAGTGTCAGAAATAGTTAACTCCAGTTGAGCAGGCTCTCTAGAGTCAGGCTAGGTGGCCTCAGTTCGGGTCTGGCTGGTGTGCTGGGAGCAGGAAAACAGGTGCAGTCATACAGGTGAGAGCAGGTGCGTCCTGGTAGGTTTCACCTGGTGGGCATGGAGCAGCACACGCTGGGGTCATTAAAAATATCACTGGTGTCCCAGCTACTTGAGAGGCTGAGGCAGGAGAATGGTGTGAACCCAGGAGGCAGAGCTTGCAGTGAGCCAGGACCGTGTCACTGCACTCCTGCCTGGGTGACAGAGCAAGACTCCGTCTCAAAAAAAAGGAAAAAAAGAAATCACCGGTGAAAATGTCTGGTCAGGCAGGCAAGGAATTTTGTAGGTTAGAATAGAAAACCAAATTTAGGCTGGGCATGGTGGCTCATGCCTGTGATCCCAGCACTTTGGGAAGCTAAGGTGGGTGGATTGTTTGAGGCCAGGAGTTTGAGACCAGCCTGGGCAGCATGGTGAAGCACTATCTCTACAAAAAGTACAAAAATTTGCCAGGACTGGTGGTGCATGCCCATAGTCCCAGCTATTCGAGAGGCTGAGGCAGGAGGATTGCTTTAGCTCAGATGGTGGAGGCTGCAGTGAGCTGAGATGACACCACTACACTGCAGCCTGGGTGACAGAGTGAGAACCTGTCTCAAGAAAAAAAAAACAAGGAGAAAACCACATCTGTTGAAATCGAGAGAGACCTGGTATTCTAACATCCCAATGTATCTTGAAAATGACAACAGCAACAACAGAATTTATCAGCGCATGTAACTACAAGCTCCAGGGTAGAGATGAATCCAGGGCCTCAGATTAAGTTTCCTGGAATCTCTCTCTCCCTTACTTGCCTCCGCATTCCTGTGTTGATTCAATCAGAGAGGAAAACATGATAACCAGCAGCTCAGGTTTACACCCTGCCAGTCCAGCAGCCCAGGGAGAAGAGCACTTCTTTTTCAGTAGTTGCAGCAAAGTCCTAGAGTTGAACCTCTGAGCCTGACTCGATTTACTTGCATCTTTTAAACCAAACCCTCTGGACAGGAAGCTGGGCTGCTTAGACAACTAAAGCCAGAGGGTGAGGCTGGCTTTATTAGGATTTTGTGATATGAGTCCAGGGAAGAGTATCTGCCCTGAGGAAAATCTGGGTGCTGTTATTAGAAGAGGGGGAGAGAAAAATTAGAGCTATTCACTTCCATCGCTCCCCAACTCTCATCTGCCTCTCAACACACATAGCAGAAAGCACTCTTCCCCGGGACTCGCACATGTCTGGGGCAAATTTTGTCAGGAGAGTGCTAGAACCTGTGTGAGTCCCCTTGACACCACTGTGCAAATTAGATCAAGTACTGCTTCTTCAAAAACATTTTATTGCCATCTGACAAAACATTAGCATTATAAATTACAAATCTGCAATGACTGCCATGCGAATGACATCCTGGAATGTGATTAAAATAAGTTCAGAGAAGCAAATGGTTTCCGTTTGTCAATAATAAAGCATAACATAAAAAATATAAAAATACAAAAAATATATGTTAAGGTGGGTATAATCTTCACAGCCTAACTGTGGCCCTAAGTTTGGTATTTGTTCACTGCATTCCTTTTCAGGTGAACAGGGACAATTTTGCAAGGTTCCTTACTAATTTATTGATTTCAGTACTTCTTTCTTTTCTTTCTTTTTTTTTTTTTTTTTTTTGGTCTTCAAGGTGGTTTCTGACAGCAAAATCCTGATGCAAGTTTTGAGAGCGAGAATGATGGAAGCGAAAATATTGGGTGACAATGTTATGATAAAAGGAACATGACTTCTCATTTGGTAACTTCGTTCCCAGGAATTGGGCGTAACCTACAGAAAACACGAGGAGTGGGTAGGTCAGAAAACAGAGACTACAACATAATGCAGAAGTCTAAGACAAGCCCCAGAGGCTGCAGAAATCCAACGTCTGCTTCTAGGAAACTTTCTTAAGTTAATGGATAGAAACACTTTCTTTTTTTCCTATCAGTGAGCATACATTGACTGATTTTTTTTAAAAAAAAAACACTGCATAAACCCTGTAGAATAGATTTAACTATCCTCCACTGATAGACATCTAAGCCATCTTTTTTTTTTTTTTTTTTTTTTTTTTTTTTTTTTTTGAGACAGAGTCTCACTCTGTCACCCAGGCTGGAGTGCAGTGGCGCTATCTCAGCTCACTGCAACCTCTGCCTCCAGGGTTCAAGCGATTCTCCTGTCTCAGACTCCCGAGTAGCTGGGATTACAGGTGCCTGCCACTGCGCCTGGCTAATTTTTGTATTTTTAGTAGAGACGGGGTTTCACCATCTTGGTCAGGCTGATCTTGAACTCCTGACTTCATGATCCACCTGCCTCGCAAAGTGTTGGAATTACAGGCGTGAGCCACCGACCCTGGTCCCAAACACTTTCTTAACACTAAAACAGGGATAAGTGAAGATTTGGTTATAGTTAATTGTTCAACAAATATTGATTGACTGCCTCTTGGGTGGTGCTTATCCCTTGTGACTCAATGTCCCCTCCTGCCCCACGTTTCTCAAGACCCAGTTCGAAATCTACCACCTCCATGAAATCTCCCTCTAGTTTCTAGCTAATAATTGATTGTCATTTTTGCTCTCTTCTAATAGGAACTGGTCACCCAACTGGAATCCTGCTACCCTGACTCGACACTGTGTAGGAGAGCTTTCTAGAAATGCAAAGTGACCTTGTCAGTCTCCACTGATGTCCCACAAAAGTGTAGCCTGTCAAGAAAATTGTACAAGATCCTCAAGATCTGCTCTTGATTTCTGCTCTAGTCTTATTTTCCTGCTACTTCTAGCTTCCTTCAGTACCTCCACTAAGCCAATCACATACTTCATTCCCACTGAAACACAAGCTGTTCACAGCACACCATGTCCTCTCTGGTCTCTTGGCTTTTTTTTTTCTTCTTTGAGACAGAGTTTCCCTCTTGTTGCCCAGGCTGGAGTGCAATGGCACGATCTTGGCTCACTGCAACCTCCGCCTACCAGGTTCAAGCGTTTCTCCTGTCTCTGCCCCCTGAGCAACTGGGATTACAGGCGCATGCCACCACACCTGCTAATTTTTATGTTTTTAGTAGAGATGGGGTTTCTCCATGTTGGCCAGGCTGGTCTCAAACTCCTGATCTCAGGTGATCTGCCTCCCCAAGCGCTGGGATTACAGGCATGAGCCACTGCGCCGGCGTCTTGGCTTTTCTATGCAGTGTGCTCAGGCCCTGCCCCACCTCTGGATGCATGAGTCCATTCAACACATCTTTACTGGGCATCTCCTTAAACAGGTAATAAGCTAGATGTTCTAGGTATACTAATGGGCAACGATGTAGGGTCCCTTGGTGTGCTTGTAGTCTAAGGGGGAGGCATAGACACAACCACACATCTATATAGCAAGAAACTCTCATACAGTCTGTAAGGAACAGTGCTGGGCACTATGAGAATCCATACCAGGAGATCTCATCAAACCGGGGGGCAAGAAATGCACCAGGAAAACATCCTTGAAGATGAGTTTCGAGCTGATATCTGAAGGACAGGTTGGGGTAGGGGAGCGGTGCATTCTAGGTAGAAACACCATGTGCCTCAAATCAGAAAGAAACAGGTCAGCTGGGCGCGGTGGCTCACGCCTGTAATCCCAGCACTTTGGGAGGCCTAGGCGGACGGATCACCTAAGGTTGGGAGTTCGAGACCAGTCTGACCAACATGGAGAAACCCCACGTTTACTAAAAACACAAAATTAGCCAGGCGTGGTGGTGCATGCCTGTAATTCCAGCTACTCAGGAGGCTCAGGCAGGAGAATTGCTTGAACCTGAGAGGCGGAGGTTGCGGTGAGCTGAGATCGCGCCATTGCACTCCAGTCTGGGCAACAAGAGCGAAACTCTGCCTCCAAAAAAAAAAAAAAAGAAAGAAAGAAACAGGTGAAATTTGTGAATTGAAAATGAATCTGGTGAGTGTGGAACATGAAGTCTGATAGTTTATTGAATACAATATAATTTTGCATTCTAAGGGGTGTGTTCATGTTTTGGCTCGCTAAGCTTATAAGCTCTTAAATCTGTTTCCCCACTTGTGGGACGTACTCTGTTCTGAATGCCTTTTACCCTTAATCTATATCCTGACCTTGATATAGATCACATCAATGGGCTCCTGAGCTCATTGGCTTCTGTGTTGGTTTGGCTGGTGTGTGGTAGCCTGGCAGGCGATGGAGGCAGGGATGTGACTGAGAGACAGATAGGAAAGGAGCAGGGCTCTGGAGAGCCGTAAGGGTTGTTTCTCAGATATGTGGGTCTTTGGGGAAAGGGGAGGTACAAAATCTTCGGTGAAGCACTCTAAATTCTTGGAGCAGGACTACCCATGAGTTCATGCACATCAATTATGCGCATTATTACAGGTGGCCGAAGGGTGATCTCCACATTCTCCACGCTACTAGAAACTTTTAGTATTTTTCTAAAAAGCATCTGTATTTCTGTCTGTTGATCAATCTGTCAATCTATCTCTCTCATATATCTACATCCACCTCTCTCTCAGAGAGGAAGAGAAAGAGGTGGATGTGCATATGGATGTAATTGTTTTATTTGTTATATATTAATGTATATTAAGTTTTCTAAATGAGTATAAACTATTAATATATGGGTCAGTGGGAGTGAGTCCTCTTTAAAAATATTACTTACTTTACAATGTTAAACCTCTGTGGTAGGGCATGAGAGATGGTAAGCAATGCTTGTACGGTAGAATAACAGGTTTATAAGATCCAGGTCTGGGAAGGGATTGAAGGTGGGAGGCTTCAGAGGACCCTGGGTGGCATTGCAAGAGTAGGCATCACAGTAAGGAAGCCAGAAGGGTACAGAGAGGGAAGCTGAAAGTCACTGAACACAGACCTCACCCATTTCACCACCAAGCATAAGACCAGCTTCTGTGATAGCAAGATAAACCTGGAGCTTTTTCCAAGGCAGAGCCTTATTGCTTTCAAGGGTTTTGAAAGCATGCTTTAACATGATGTGATAATTAATTTTAGGTGTTAACTTGACTGGACTGAGGAATACCTAGGGAAGGCATTATTTTGGGTTCTTTCTGTAAGGATGTTTTCAGAGGAGATTAGCATGTGAGTCTGAGTGGACTAGGTTGGAAAGATCCACCCTCAGTGTGGGCAGGCACTATCCAACTTGCTGGGGGGCCTAGAGAGAACAAAAACGGAGGGAAGGCGAATGTGTCATTTTTTTTTTTTTTTTGAGATGGAGTCTCAATCTGTCACCCAGGCTGGAGTGCAGTGGTGCAATCTTGGCTCACTGCAACCTCCGCCTCCTGGGTTCAAGCGATTCTCCTACCTCAGCCTCCTCAGTAGTTGGGATCACAGACACCCACCACCATGCCTGGCTAATTTTTGTATTTTTAGTAGAGACGGGGTTTCATCATGTTGGCCAGGCTGGTCTTGAACTCCTGACGTCAGGCGATCTGCCTACCTCGGCCTCCCAAAGTGTTGGGATTACGGGCATGAGCCACTGAGCCCGGCCAAAGGTATCTTTATCTACCTCCTGGAGCTGGGATACATTCTCCTTCTCATGTTACTGGGCATCGGAACTCCAGGCTGTCTCGCTTTTGGACTCCAAGGCTTACACCAGTGGACCTCTGGTTCTCAGAACTTACACCATTGGCTTTCTGGGCTCTGAGGCCTTCAGACTTGGACTGAACTACACTACCAGCATTCAGGGTCCGCAGCTTGCAAATGGCTTGTCGTGGGACTTCTCAGCCTCCATAATCACATGAGCCATTTCCCTAGTAAATCACCTCTCATCTCTCTATCTCTATCATCTGTCTCTAATCCATCTATCTATATTGACGTCTATCTATATCCATATATCCTATTACTTCTATCTCTCTGGAGAACCTTGACTAATAAACATGGAATAACAAAGAGAAAGGGAACAACAAGAAGAAGCTGTGCAACAAAGTCTATTGCGCTCTTTGGTATTTTGGTAGGCATTTATTTCCCCATTAAAGAACCATAGTAATCAACAGCTCCAACTTGTTTCTATTCTAGTGTAAGCATCTAAGTGGATGAAAGAAGACATGTTCTAAAAGGCTATGTAGCGTGACTGTACCTAATTTTATGATGAGACTTTAATCACCCTTCTTGATTTTCGTCACGATTAAACATAATGCCACATACCTATCCCCTATTGTCTTATCAAGAACATTTCTTTCCCTGATTCCTTTCCTAAGAGGTGCCTTGGACAGGCTGTGTGTCACCACGAAAGCTTGCTGCCACTCTCAAGGGCCTCTTCTATGGACTTTTTCCCTCCTGGTTTTGGTAGCCCTTCCTTTCCCTCATTCTTTCAGACATAAGGGTAGTGACAGCGCCAGTGCTACTACCCTAGGGTTGTTGTCTTTTCTAGTCCTTTATAAACAGATCTTTTGTAAATAAACCCTCCGTGCATTATCCTAATTTGAATGTGCTGTCTGATTCCTGTTAAGACCCTGACAGATTCACCCCTCCCACCAAAACAACATCCCCATTTGTGCTGTCTTACTAGGGTAACCACCAGCCACCTAGGGGTATTGAGCATTTGAAATGCGGCTAGTCCCAACTGAGATGTGCAGAAGTGTAACATTCACACTGGATTCCAAAGACTTAGTATGAAAAGAAAGAACATACATGACTTCAATCATTTTTATATTGACTACATGTTACAGTCACATTTTTGGATGTATGGGACATATTATGAAAAGATAACTTTCTCTGCTTCTTTTTTAACCTTTTGTAAGGTGCTAATATTTACTAGAAATTAGCCTGGGCAACATGGCAAAACCCCATCTCTACAAAAAACAACAACAAAAAATTAGCTAGGTGTAGTGGCACATGCCTGTAGTCCCAGCTACTCAGGAGGCTAAGGTGGGAAGATCACTTGAGCCCGGGAGGCAGAGGTTGCAGTGAGCCAAGATTGTGCCATTGCACTCCAGCCTGGGTGACAGTAGACCCCATTTCAAAAAACACAGAAAAAAATTACTAGAAATTGAAAATTATCCATGCAGCTTTTATTTGTGGCTCACATTTTGCTTCTAAAGTGCAGAGCTGCCCTACATGTCATGCAAGTGATGGTGAGAACCATGTTTCCTACATCGAGCATCTTTAATACCCACGTAAAGGAAAGACCTGTGCTCAGAAAGTGAAAGACTAAACACATGCTATGATGTCATGTTGGAGCTAGAAGGGAACTTCGAGTCCATCATTTTCCAGTCCAGGAAACTGGGGCATGTTTATAAGCATTCACGGGACTGCATGCCTTCAAAACAACTTAAAAATGGTCTTTGTTTTGTTGTCTTCCTTCTGCAAATCTGACTGAAGTACTTAGGGAAAAAATGTGAAAACACAGGAAAGTTTAAGTTAGCATTAGATCTCAACTGGTTTGTCAATATCCAATTTTAGAACACAAAAGGACATTACAGCTTGGCAGGGCTTGTCCATCCTCGTAAACGCCCAGCGCTTTACGGCATCAGAATCTAAAAAGCTCTTCACTGGTTGTCGAATCAGTTGGGATTGGTAGTTCATAAACATAAAACCATAAACCATATCCAGCAGTGAGTATTTATCTAGCAGGGCACAAATTCATGGATCCATGCAAGCCCAGAGTTAGAACCACTAGGTGCCCCTTGGAAGCTGAAAAAGTGGAAGCTGACTTCCACTTCCGTGGTCAAATAGAGCACAGAAAGGCTGCGAAGTTCCTGCATGGGGACGCAGAAATGCCTGGTAAGTTTCCTGCACCGTGGACCTTGAGCCTGCGGTGGGCCCTTGTTAGCACCCGCAGAGGTCCCAGAAAGCTGCCTCCACAGCTTGCAGGGGCTGGTAAGAAGCTCCCAAGCTACCGCCCACATGGTGAGGCAACCTGTGGAGGCAAGGAAGCCAAAAAATAAGGAACAAATAGGATTAGAACAAAAAACCACCTCATGCAGCTTCCACGGGCCACCTCCCTCCATTAGACAGCAAGGCGGTTTGTATCCCTTCCTGACCTGCTCTCCGGGGAGCGCACGAAGAGGATATAGGGTCAGGGGAGGCAAGGGAAAGAGGAAACCGCAGTTTATGAAAGGACATTTAACCTCTTTGCGAGCGTGCATGCGCGCGCGCGCACACACACACACACACACACACACACACAAAAGTACAAACAACATTAAGGAAATACACACTACATTAAAAATTGGGCATAGGGACTTGGAATCGGAGTTGAATTTTTTTTAAATTTTAATTTTGCCTTTGATTTATGCATTGGTTTTTTTTTTTTTCGTAAGAGGTTGTTCCTTTCTAGGCCCTGGAGGACTGTATCATCTTATACAAATCCAAGGGAAAACAATCAAAATAAGAAAAGAAAAGAAAACAAACAAACAAAAAACAGACTGATACGAGAAAGAGCTTTGCTCCAAGACCCGCAGCAGACAGTTGAGTAGGTAGAAGTCCAAGCTGCTGCAGAGGAATTCGGTTTGCTCCAGACAAACGGGGGCGTGGCGTGCAGCGCAGTACTGGGAACTGCTGCAAACAAAACTTCCAAGGGGACGAGGAGTAGGTTCCAGGCGATGGAAAGCAGTGGGATGGGGAAGGATAGGGCAACAGTGCCAAGAGGGGAGCAGAGCGCGGGGAACCTGGAGAGGGAGGGTCAGGGCTGCGGAGGGCTGAGCTGCGGTGGAGAGCTCTGGGGCCCCTCACCAAGCTAGTGGCGTCTTGGGTGGAAGTCAGGCCCCCAGAGATCCGGCCGGCCTTAGCTGTCACTCAGGCAACCCCGGAGCCGCCGCAGACACCGGATCCACTGGAAGGGGGCGAAGCCGCGGGGAGGAATGGGGGACACTGGGGAAGGGGCGTCGCCCCTGCCGCCCCCGCCCTCTCCAGTGCCATTGGGCGGCTGCTGCGGAGCCCGCGCCACCTTTTCTCCATCCCACCCCGCCCGTCTGGCCCCGCCTGGCCGCTGGTCCGCGCCCCGCTGCGCTCGTCCGGGGGCTGGTCCGGCCCGGGCCTTTGACGTCACCAGCAAGTTTGCTGCCCTCGGCGTCCCACGTGTGGCGGCGGCCAGCGGCGGCCCAGGAGGCAGCCGGTGAGCGCCTGCGAGCAGAGTGGCGGGGGCCGCTGACAGGTCCCGCGCAGCCCAGCCCAGCCCAGCCACGCGGCTCACAGGTGGGGTCCAAGAGCAGTTTGGAGCAACCCGGCGCTACGGAGAGGGGTGGACGGCTCTGCACGGGCCTCCTGTCTCCCGCTCGGGCAGAGGGACTCGGGGGGACCTCGCTCCTTGGCTGAGAGAACCTGAACTCGGGCGGAGAGAACGCGCCCAGGCGGGCAAGGGGACCAGAGAAAGCCGGGGCTGGAAGTCACTGTCGCTCGCCACTGTCTGGAGCGCACGGAGCGCAGAGGCCCGGCAGCCGCGCGTGCCCTCACGGGGACCGAGCCAGTGATGCAGGATCGCTGAGCGGAGATCCGCGCCGAGAAGTCTCTCGGGGCCGGGGCTGAGACGCACGCCTTCGACACCGCTGCCAAGACCCCGATTCCGGCGACTCTTGCGGGGAACCGAGGGGCCAAGGCTGCCCCAAGCTCAGGACTTGGGCGAGTCTAAGACGATGGTTTCTTAAGCACGGACCCGCGTTCCCCTTCCCGCTCCCTCGACTGGAGGCAGGGATCCTGCGCGGGGCCCCCGGGATTCCGTTTCCCCGCGGAGCCCCGGCCGCTGCCTCCCGGGACAGTTCGCACGGCCACAGGGGCGCACGGCGATGTGGCCTCCGTCCAGCGCGCTGGCCCGCCGGGGGGATGCTCTGGCACCTGTCGGGGTCCAGGCCTAGCATGGCCGGCGCGTTGCCCGACGTCGCCTCCGGCTAGGATGGCCCCTCCGGGCCCGGCCAGTGCCCTCTCCACCTCGGCCGAGCCGCTGTCCCGCAGCATCTTCCGGAAGTTCTTGCTGATGCTCTGCTCCCTGCTCACGTCCCTTTACGTCTTCTACTGCCTGGCCGAGCGCTGCCAGACCCTGTCCGGCCCCGTCGTGGGGCTGTCCGGCGGCGGCGAGGAGGCGGGGGCCCCTGGTGGCGGCGTCCTGGCCGGAGGCCCGAGGGAGCTGGCGGTGTGGCCGGCGGCGGCACAGAGAAAGCGCCTCCTGCAACTGCCGCAGTGGCGGAGGCGCCGGCCGCCCGCGCCCCGCGACGACGGCGAGGAGGCGGCCTGGGAAGAAGAGTCCCCTGGCCTGTCAGGGGGTCCGGGCGGCTCCGGGGCCGGAAGCACCGTGGCCGAGGCCCCGCCGGGGACCCTGGCGCTGCTCCTGGACGAAGGCAGCAAGCAGCTGCCGCAGGCCATCATCATCGGAGTGAAGAAGGGCGGCACGCGGGCGCTGCTGGAGTTCCTGCGCGTGCACCCCGACGTGCGCGCCGTGGGCGCCGAGCCCCACTTCTTCGACCGCAGCTACGACAAGGGCCTCGCCTGGTACCGGTGAGCGGGGCGGGCCCGGGCTGGGGCTGAAGGATCCGGGGGTCCTGGGCTGGGAAAGACGTGGAGGAGCCCTCGGTGACCCCCAGTTCGCCCTCCTCCCCACTTCATGCAGAAGGCGAAGGGTCGTCAAGGGTCTTTCTTCCCTCTCCGCCTTCTCCTTCCTGGGAAGTGGATGTTGAAGGAGAGAGTGGGAGGGAAATTCTGGCCTTCATAATTTTCATCCTTGGGAATCCCTTGCCAGCAAATAGCCAGTCTGGTCTCTTTCTCCTGCTCTGCGAAAGTATTCATGTATTTAACTAAAGGAAAAAAAAAAAGTCTCTTCTAAATTAGAAACCTGTTCAACAATTAATAGATTGCCTTCTCCTTCCCAAGGAAGCCCGTTTTCATTCTTTATCTTTTGGAAAGTTCTTTGTGGTTAACACAGTCTTTACCATCAGGTATTTATTTACCTTGACCTTTTGCCAGATAGTTGTCCTAGGTGGGAAGTAATATAGAGACTTAGTAAAAGTGTCAAGAACCAGAGAATCTGGGTAGTTTGGAAAATATATGTCTGTCTGAGCAAGGGAAAGCAACCAGGCACTGTATTTTAAAGGACGCTTGGCAATAACTTTTGTTTGAGGGCAAGGAATGAGTTTTGTAAAGTGCTTTTGATATTTGCAGGGAAAAGTAACTTTTGTCTTTTGACTGACAGAAACTTTTCTAAAGATCTTCAATCCTCTTTACAAATAAGGTAGCCAATTAAAAGAAGAAGACAACAGAGAGAAAAATACATTGGCACAACTTTGCCAATACAGTTTAGGAAATAAGTCTGGCTTAGATCTTAATCTTAAATTTGCCAGTCTCTTCAAATTCAGACCACCTTTAATAATAAAATCAGCCAGATTCTAATAAAGCTAGTGTCGCCTGGATTTTGTTTGCCATAATATATTGGCTTTTTTTTTCTTTCTTCAAAGTACCAGTAAAAATTATGTTGCTAGAATTTTCCATTTTATAAAGTTTATCTTGTTCATAAAAGATGCATTCTCTTTGTTATTTTAACTGAAACAGTTACAAAAATTACAACATAATTTAGGTATTTTCAAAAAGCCCATTAAATTAATCATTCATCCCCAACACAGAAATGGATATGATTTGACAAGTTTATTTACTTGAGGGGCCAATTGCAGTCTCAGATTGATTTCAGGAGCCGAATTTACAGTCAATCCACTCAGAGAGAAAAGATTTGGCCCTAAAAATAGAATTTGAACATTAAACACTTTTAAAACAGTAACTTTCCATTTGTTGGAAAGAAAAAACAAACAACCTTCCCTTAATATAGATGATATATCATTTAAAATCATCAGCCACTTAAAATATCCCCTTGTGTTTCTGTCATTTATGTTGTATCCTCTGGGAAGTTCTTATAAAAATGACCTGTTGAATCTGGAAACAACAGGTCCTTCTTTTTAGCACAAAGGCAGCTCTGTTTTTTCCATCAAGGACACGAGAAAGAAGTGATTAAAGACCCCTAAAACTCTTATCTATAGCAGTTTGCATTGAATTCGGCCTCGTACTGTGCTGTAAGCGAACACATTTCAAGCTGACTGTCTGAAACATCTAACACTATGTTGGGCTCTGAGGTGCTATTAAATATGGTGAAATATTTAGTACTAAAACCCTTTATTTTCCTTTTGCCATATAAACTTTATTTCCACAAAGTAGGATTGTTTCTTCTTATTCCAGAAATGAGTATTTGAGGGCACGGTGTATCTGCAGACCTGGATCTTATTTTCCATGGACCTTTCTGAGCTCCTGTAAGGGGAGGAAGGTTTCAAGGTAACTAGAAACACAAGTAGTTTTTTAAAAAAAAGAAAGAAAGAAAAAAAAAGAGTCATAAACTTGTAGGCCACTCTTTCCTTTGGAAACTGAATGCATGCTATAAAGTAAATCTCTTCTTGGATTGTTTACTGCAGCAGAAGAGTTTTGTAAAGCAATTTATGGTGGTCACAAAAATAACTGCACAGTAGACTTCACGGTTTGCTGAATTTAATTTTCTAAGTGTTGGAGCAATGTCTTTGTTTTCCCATTTGCAGTGGTTTTTTATTGGATGCATAAATTTACGTTTAACTCAATTACATAGGAAACTTATTTTAAAAAAATCCAACCTATGGAGCCTGGATTATGTGATTATTTAATGAAATTTCCCCACAGTTCTCTTTCATCTTGGCTCTGAACTTGGAGTTTGATGTTTGTGAGCAAGACTGAAGGCTCGTCTATGAAAAAAAAATCTCCCACCCAGAATGCCACTTAAATATTAAGTGCATTTTAGCTACTTATATTTAGCTAATAGTTTAGAACAGGGGATTCAGTTAGACCTGCATGAGTCAGCCCAAACTTTGCAATACAGGATTTGTACCACACACTTATGACCACACTATCACAGACACACACACGAACAGAAATAAATTCCAGATATTTGCACCCAGCAGTGAATTATGGAAGAGAAAAACCTATATAATTATTTTTAGGTGTACATTGACACGGGAGAATCCTAAAAGGTCTAGCCTTTTTTTGCCCAGTGAAATCACTCAGTTAGCCATGATAGTTTGTGGTGGCAGTGCCACCTACTGTCCTCACAAAGGGACAAATCTGCTGCAATTAGCAAGTTTGAAGAAAGTGTCTTGGAGAATGAGTTTGTCAGTTAGAAATACCTGTTGCTGAACTTTTTCAGTCAATTACTCTCACTGGGAAGAAAATAAAATACTTTATGAAGTTTTTTCCAAGAGTGAAGTAATAAACACTTCCTTCATTTGAGCACATTTGTAGTAAAGATAAAGAAAATATTTATTATTCAAAATCTCTAGAAAGAAAATTATTCTCACTAATTTAAATGTCCTAATAGACTTTCTCTAAAATAAATAAAACAAAGGCAAATTTTTATATGCTGAGAAACTCGACCCTGGTGGAGTTTAAAAAAAAACACTCCTCATTACTTAATTTAGCAGACATGATATCACTAAAACAAATGTCTGTGGCTTGCATGTCACGGTAAAGCAGTCCCTTGCAATGAATAGTGTCCATTTCTCTTGTATGTATGGTGGCTTCATAAAGGAAAGGAAAAAGTTTCCTTAGCTTCAAAACATTGAGATCTTTGCTGGAAGTCAGGACCGAATACCTCTACTGTAGTTCAAGAGCAGGCGAGCTTAGAATTTAATAAGGAGGCTCTCTTCTGCTTGTTTCTGTCTGTACCAACTAAAAGGTATGTCTCTTTTTTCTTGTAAGCTAAAAGATACTTATTAATAAAGTAGTTAAATATGTGTGTACACATACACATACATATGTATGTATATAAATGTTTAGATTCAATAATATTTCAGTCTATTATTTTGGTACAAGATAGGAAATATTTATTATCCAGTCTCTTACACTAGCATGTCTATTTCTTATATTTCAGTTTCTTTTCTTTAGCCAAATCTGGACAATTTCAGCAGAGAAGGACATCACTAGAATCATTTTATTCTAGAGCATACAGGAAGATCAAAGATTGTCCAGCTCACAGTTTAGGAGCTAGTGCTCCCCTGACTTCATCCAAATTTGAAATTTTCTGGCCTCGAACGATCATGGCCCCGTTTTTCAAGTCCATTAGAGAGGCATACTGAGCAGAGGCCCTTTCGATTCCTAGGAGGAGAAATTGGCATTTCGTAGCAGCTGGGAGCAGCTGCAAAGTCCCTCCATGTGCAGTTTCCCACCCTCCTGTACTGTGCAAGCCCCTTCTGTGTGAAGAGTTTGAAATGAAATCCGAGCCACGAAGCTGCAGTCTGGCCGCCCATGCAAGGTCATGTGGACTGATGGCCAAGGGCGCTCTGTCCTTAGAGCAGAGGAAAGAACATTGGGAATAGATGAGGGCTAGGAAGAGAGTGAGATGTTACTTTGGACTCTGAGTCTAGCGTACTTGTCTATAGAAGTTCTCAGTACCTAGACATTCCCCACCTGGTCACAGGCTGGGGACCCAAAATACTGTCATCTAGTTTGCTAAATGTCTGAACTCTGGGCTCATCCCCAATAGACAACCAGAAGTGCAAGTTGATCAGCCTAGTTCCTCTGTGTGTGTGTGTGTGTGTGTGTGTGTGTGTACGCACGCGCACACCCTCACACATGCGGGAGCAGACACCGAGAAGGCAGGGACAATGATGGAATTTATGAGAGGAAAGTTACCAAGTAGTTGGGGAATTTCTGAGCAATATTGGACATCCTGAGTAGGGAACAGTTTGGGGACACTATTGAGATCATAGTCCGGGCATTAAACAACACCAAAAACACTTGGTAGAGCTTGGACTGGAATGCCTTGTGTGAATGGATATTCCTTTACAGGGATGAGATTTATAATACGCTCTTATACTTTATGTGAAATTCACAGACTTCCATGAAAATCCACCACTACGTTATAATCTCCTGCCTGCTCTTTAAAAAGAAAATACCCTGGCCAAAATATTTGTCTCCTTTAAATAAGTCTGTTGATTGGCCAGGAAAGAATAAGTGCCAAATCTGTATTTTGGCAGGGTCATGGGAATGAAATAAGCCTGTGTAATTAATGACAATAGGGGCTAACCTCACATAGACCAGATGCTTACTTCATGAGAAGAGTGTTGCAGAGCAAACAAAACTCTCTGATATCAACAACAACAACAACAACAACAACAACAACCAAAAAGGCCTCGTATCTCTCCGGGACACAGTTGAACAATTGCAAATTGCAATCACCATCAGTCAAATTGCTGGGCCCAGTCGGGAACTTGATATTCTTAGCTCGTTTCCTTAGGGGGAAATCTTCCTCCACCAAGTGATAGTAACTTGGCTGAAAAAGAGCATCGTTTCTTGGTATGGGTTTCCTAATGATAGTAAACTCCAAGCTTTTAGAAAATTTGTTCTGCTTAAGCGATGAGTTGCAATTGTGAACATAAGGTTTCTTATTAAATATGTGCCTCTAATATGTAATCAGAGGAAATTGTACTCCCTCATCTTTGCATTTTATAAGGATGTCTTAAAAATGCTTGTCAGCACTTTAAAACCTTTGCTAATTTGATACAGTTTAAAAATCTCTCTGGGGGATATTTATATAGTGAATAAATAAACTGTTGTGAAGCCAAAATTTAGAAATTGAATTTATGAGAGGAATGTTATTAAGTAATTGGGGAACTTCTGAGCAGTATTGGACATCCTGAGTAGGGAAGAATTTGGGGGGCACTGTTGAGATCATATTCCAGGCAATGCTGAGTTAGTGAATGGAAGCCTTTCCCCAGTTTCTTGCCTTCGTGATGTAACTCTTGAATTTTTGCCTTACTATGTGGTCATGATTCTTCAGGCCCCTAAAAACTTACATTTATCCTAAGATTGCCCGACTGTATTACAGAAATTCAGAACTGGCCTGTTTCAGTTGTCTGATGACAATAAATGTGAAAAGAGACGGGGAAGTGTTTAATTAACAATGAAGTTTAGTACTTGCCGTCGGGAGTTCGAGAGACATTCTTGCAAAGGTTTCAACACAAACTATTCACCGACTCGAACAGCCCGCTTTGAATGTGATATGTAGCGCCACCTAGTGGGAGGAGGAGTCAGGAAGGAACCCCTAAAGGGAGAACTTTGAAAAACCTCATCATGATAGAGCATATTTGCAGTCTCAATTTAAAAAAGAAACTACAGCAGCAACAAAAGCTTGTGTTTAGGTAGCACTTATAGCAAGATGATCTGTCTAGTAAGGATGAGCTGCACTTTGCCTTTTTTTCAAGCAAGGATAATTCACTTCTTTTAGGCAGGGAATTTATTCTTTGGAGAGAAATAAGAGATTTGGCTTCACAATAAACTGAAAACCAAGATATAAATGATTAGGGGATTTATATTAAAAATGCCTATGACTGAAAGGAATACCATATGCCCCAGATTACTTTTGTTAGTGTGTTTTGCCTCTGTGTCTGAAAGCCAGCTTCAAATGAAAATACTTCCAGATGATTTTATTTCAACATCAGTAATGCAGGCCTGTTCCTTCCCCTGTGTGGCTCTGGAGGAGGATCCTGTCATTCTAAACAGAAGCCTGTTTAACCCTTAAGGTGCCTGAGATGCCCTGTTGAGAATCCTGTCCACCACACACGGGACAGCTTCACAGGAAAGCGCTTTGAGAGTTCCGACAGGACAGGCGTTTCTGCGCCTGCAGTCCAGGGCCTGGGAGAGCAGGCTGGGATGCAGGGTGGTGGTCAGGTTAAAGGAAGGCAGGATGAAAGGGACAAATAGGACAGATTGAGTGGAGAAACTGACAGACACCACCTTAACCAAGTGACCAAGGTTAGCATTCCCTGTTGTGTTGAGATCATGATCCCCGATATAATACAATAGGATGGCACTTCACCTGTGCGGTAATCTTCCCCCAAATCCGTAACCCCAGTATAGCCCTGAGAAAACATTAGACGAACACTGATTGAGGGGCATTTTACAAAATACTTGACCAGTACCCTTCAAAAGTGTCAGGATCATACAAAACAACGCCAAGACCGCTAAGCTATCCCAGATGTGGGGAGACAAAAGTGAGTCATTACTAACAAGTAAACACGAGGGTGCCCTTGGTCGGATCCTGGGTCTGAACTAAGGCATTTATGGGAAAACTGGGGAAATGTGGATAGTGTATGCAGTTTAGTTAATAACATTATACCAACGTCAGTTTCTTGGTTTTGATCGTTGTACTGTTCTAGGGTTATGATATCCCCTAAGATGATCATTTGGGTGAAAGGAGTATGCGAATTCTCTGTGCTATTTTTCACAATTGTAATATCTAAAATGATTCTAAAATCAAAGGTGAAAACAGCAAAGAAGGCAGGAGAAGCCTAACAGGCGTTGAAGGATGAGGGCTCATACTGAAATCCTGTCTGTGCCGATTCTCTTTTATTCCGTGTTTCTTCTTTCCTTTCCTTCAGAAGGGCCCCCAGGATGGGCCCACCAGCTTCCCCTCCCCTGCCCCGCACCTGTTGCTTCCAGACATGCTGATCTTTCCCTCAGCTGATTTCATAATCATATTGGCTCACGGCTCCCTCCTACTCTCTTGTTTCCGAACCAAGCACAGAGACAGTTTTGTATTCCTTTCTTTCTGTCTTCTATGGCAGGCAAATGTAAAGTGAAGAAGGTGTGAAAGGTTCCCCAAAGCTTCCTGTCATAGAGAACAAAAACGTTGATGTAAATGACAGGTCTCTGAGGACACAAAGAGCTAAAAACTAAAATAAGGGTCAGAGGAAAATCAGACTTGGGCGTATGACTTTTTTTTTTTTTTTTTTTTGGCTACAAACATAGAAGGAACAGGTGTCAGTGGTTGAAAGCTGGTTATAGGGAAAATAGATAGGGCCAGAGCTGTGGATGCACCTTATGGCAAAGATGACAACACGGTCCCAATTTTCCAGGCCAGCTTAGTAATTTTATCTGCTTACTTCGCTTGTTTTAACCTTTGTTGTAGACACTTTGGGTTATGAAACTTTCCATAGGAGCAAAACAGACCTGGAACAATTAACGCATTCAAGGAAGAGGCAGGAAGAGAGAAAGTGCAACCTTCAGACCTCTGGAGGATCAGTTTCTTTGCACCTTCTAACTATGCAGGTTTATTCCACTGGAACTGCTCAGCCAGACTCCCAGCTTTATCAGACTCAAAGTTCCTGTCTAGGTGGTGTGCTGTCGTTTTCTGCTTCTGTTTTTAAATACACAGTTATGTTTATCTGGGCTTCTGGTTGACTAGAGTAATGAAAATCTCCCTCAGAACATTTCCTCTGATATTTTTAACAACTGTAAAAATAGTTTTATCCACATTACATTTTTACTTAAGCAAAACAAAACAACACCCACGCCATCAAGAGACTCCAAGAAACTAACAGTATTTTCTTTGAATCGTTCATTCACTTATCTTTATTGGATCCGTTTTATCAACTGCTTTCGTGCAAGGGATAGACTGCAAATGCTTATGTAGTTAAAAATAATTTCTGTGATTTAATACCATTCTCTACTTGTTTGGCATTTTTCCATTTTAGTGGCTATACACTTTTCTTCATGCGTTTTAGCCTTTTTTAAAATAGCAAAATAATTGGACCCCGCGGTATATCTTTGATGAAATCTATCATTTTAGAGGTGAGGTGATATTAACTGTATTTGTTGAGGCTACACTATGTGCTGGATGATGCGGAATGATCTGTTGCTTGTAGTCTGATGTTATTAATAGGATTTATATTTTTATGCAGGTCCTATCATTTTCTACATTTTATAGATCAGAAAAGAGGCTCAGAAAGATGAAATAACTTGTCCAAGATCATAGAACTATGTAGGTCATAGAACTACTGCCAAACCCAGATTCACCCACCTCCAGCATGCCAGAGCCTCACCACTGGGGTGAATGGTCTCTGTGATGGTCTCTGGCAGAACTGCCCAGAGGTAGTTCTTGCTACCTGCCTACATAGCAAGCCATCAATGTCTCAAAGATGCAGGGGATTGAAAGGCTGCCCCATGTGGTAGAGTGACTTGGACATTCTGATCTTGGACCTTTAGTTAGAAAATTGGGCAGCACGTTAGGGCCAGGTGTGGTGGCTTATGCCTGGAATCCCGGCACTTTGGGAGACAGAGGCAGGCAGATCACTTGAGGGCAGGAGTTCGAGACCAGCCTGGCCAACATGGTGAAATCGCATCTCTACTAAAAATACAAAAATTAGCCGGATGTGGTCGTGGACGCCCTGTAATCCCAGCTACTCGGGAAGCTGAGGTACAAGAATTGCTTAAGCCCAGGAGGCAGAGGCTGCATTGAGCTGAGATTGCGCCACTGCACTCCAGCCTGGGCAACAGAGTGAGACTCTGTCCCAAAAAAAAAAAAAAAGAAGAAGAAAAAAGGAAATTTGGGCAATACATTAAAATATGGTCATAAAAGTGAATTTTTAAAAGTATTTAAATACCTCTGTTAGTCAATTGGCCTATTATGGAATAACTAAAACCGCCTTCATTTTTGTCAACTTTTCTCCCTTTTTCTCTAAAGAAGTTGTCTGATCACAGAACTTATCTTGTTGAACATATTAGAAATCTTGTGTCATTCAATTGATTTTTCCCCCATTTATTACAAAATAACAATAACCACTAAAAACACTCTCCAAACTGCTATGTGAGAAAGCCAATATGTTGTCAGAAATGTAATCAGAGCTGGGTGCGGTGGCTCATGCCTGTAATCCCAGCACTTTGGGAGGCTGAGGTGGGCAGATCACTTGAAGTCAGGAATTCGAGACCAGCCTGGGCAACATGGTAAAACCCTGTCTCTACCCAAAATACAAAAGATTAGCCGGGTGTGGTGGCCATGCCTGTAATCCCAGGTACTCCGGAGGCTGAGGTAAGAGGATGGCCAGAGCCCGGGAGGCAGAGGTAGCAGTGAGCCAAGATCTCACCACTGCACTCCAGTCTGGCTGACAGAGTGAGACTCTGTCTCAAAAAAAAAAAAAAAAGAAAAGAAAAAGAAAATAAATGTAATCAGAAGGACGCTTGCTGAATCTGGAATTGGAGCAAGGAGAGCTGAGGCCTGCGTGCCGTGGCTAGTGTCACCGAGCTACCCTGAGGTCCCTTTTGCACTGTAGGGATCCCCCCCCAATCCAGTGCTCTCCCGGAACCTTGCTGAGCCACTCTGCCAGTCTGTCTTTTTCACTGTTCCATATTTTCACCTTTGGATTGATGCTTTTTAAAAATTCTTCAGATATGTTAATACCCCCAATGAGAGCACAGCCTGGTTGTTATCCCAAGTACTATTCTATCTTCATTATTATTGTTATTAATAATGTTTGTCTAATTGATTTCCTGTCATCTGGTCATTACTAACACCAAGCCTTTACTGGAGTGGTCAGACCATTAGTCACATAAGACATGACTGTTGATCTGAACTTCCTTTAGTTCCAATAAGATAGAATCATAAACAGATAGGATGTTGGAGGTAGAAGGTATCTGAAAGATAAAGATTGTCTTCCGAATAGGAAGAAACAGAAGTGCTTTGCCCAGGTTAAGCTGAAAGACAAGAACTCAGGGCTTCTAATTCCAATGGTATAATTCTTAAATGCAATTGGGAAATAATTGCCCATCTCCACAAATGTAAGTTTAGTTTTGGCAGATTTGCAACAATGATAAAAATATTTTTTTGAATGGAACCAGTCGTAGCATAGTTTTTTTTTTTTTTTTTAACCTCACAGAGCTATTAAATTAAAGCCTTGAATTGAATTGAATCAATGGTCAATTCATCTTTAAATTTCTGGTTTTCATCTCAGATGTTTTCCACAATATTTTGATACTTACAGGTATGGTAACCCATCGAGTGTGATTGGTCTTTGGGTCCTTGGAAATAATTTGTGTTTTATGGCCGTTGCCTGCTTGTTAAAGATTAGCAGGAGAAATCTGAGTATGGACAGGAAAAAGTTTGCTTTTTTCTCTCTCGAGTGTTCAGAGTAGGAAGTAATCAATCAAATTATGGGAATAAAATTTCTTTCCCTTTTTTCAGAGTTCTTACTTGGATTAGATCTCTCCTTTCACTAGGAAATATCAAAGTTGCCAGGCTGGTTTGAATGACAAAGTCAAAAATGATGTGTTTGTTATGGTCATAAATCTCTGTGGATTCTCATTAAGTTCAGGTATTTAACAAAAGGGAACTGGATTAAGCTGCAACTAAAGTTACATTCCCGGAGCTAACTGCTCCCCTCGTCACCTTTCTAAACGGAAGCCATGTTTGCCCTAACTCCATGTTTTGAAAAAACGCTGCCACGATGCAGTGATTTCATTTCACAGACAAAGCTTTAAACAAAGTAAACAGAAACTTGCACCTGTGTGTGCGTGTGTGTGTGTGTGTAATTTTCTGGTGAACTCTACTTATTCTTGTAGTTTCCTTTGTCAAATGTTGTGTGTTTGCTTTTTTGTTTTTTCTTGTTTTAAGAAAGAAAGGCCACTTTTTTCTTTCTAATGAGGCCTTACTCTTACTCCTTGGTGTAGGAGGCTTTTGGATTACAACATTATTTGTTCAAAAGGGCTTTCCCCAAAGCCAGAGGGTCTACTAGAATGCCCTGCTAGGGTTTAATGATGGAAAGAAAACAGATTGGATCTGTTTTATATTTATGTGGGGAGAGGTCACAGGGAGCTAAAGCTTGTGATGACAATTCTGGGGATTTTCAGGTGCATTTGCCCTGTTGGCGAAGGGTGGCAAATTGGAGAACAGGCCTTGGAGAAACTGCTCAGCTCCCATGGATTGTTACCAAGTAGGAAGGAGGGCTCCTAGTGCCTTGTCCTCTGACTTTTTAAAGAAACTTGGAATATCGACTTTTTAAAAACAGATTGGAAAAGAATTTACATATTAAAAACCAAAACCCACATGAAAACCAAACAAACGTCTGTGTGGATGAAGCGAATCAATCTCAACTGAAGTGAATGGCTGCAAGTTTACAGCCTGTGACGTGTGGTGAAGGTCAGAGTTAGACAATCCACAGCTGGAGTGGACCAGTGAGTTTTTCAAACATGAATCACAAGACATGAATGTCTGATAAAATCAATCATTCTTTAAAAATGGAACTATATATCATGCCTGTAATCCCAGCACTTTGGGAGGCCGAGACGGTCAAGACCATCCTGGCTAACACGGTGAAACCCCGTCTCTACTAAAAATACAAAAAAATTAGCTGGGCGTGGTGGTGGGCGCCTGTAGTCCCAGCTACTTGGGAGGCTGAGGCAGGAGAATGCCGTGAACCCGGGAGGCAGAGCTTGTAGTGAGCTGAGATTCTGCCACAGCACTCCAGCCTGGGCAACAGAGCGAGACTCCGTCTAAAAAAAAAAAAATGGAACTACATATAAAATGGACTATACTAAGAGAGTGAATCCCATGTAGTAAGAAAGACAAGTATTGTCTTGACAAACTTGGTTCTGTTTGTTATATTTACTTATATAGATGTGTGTGCGCTGAAAGGATTGGGTGTAAAATGTATTTGCTATAGTGGATCCCAATAGAAAAAAACAGTTTGAAAAACGTTGACTAGTGTACATGGAAGTCATGTTTGAAAAGACTAAAATGAATGTGCTTCAGGGCCCCTTGAGAAACTAAGTGTGAACATTGTATGCTATGGATTCTAAACTTCAATTCTTTTAACCCTATATGCCCATGGCTTGGAACTGTACCACGAATAGACTCACTATGAGTTTAATGAAAAAACAACAATTTAATGACCCCTTAGGCCAGGTGTCAGCAATTTTTTTTTTTTTCTGGAAAGGGCCAGATACTAAATACTTTAGGTTTTGTGGGTGGTACAGTGTTTATCACAACCACTCAATTCTGCTTGTATAGCAGGAAGCAGCCACAGACGATATGTAAATGAATACGTGTGGCTGTGTTCCAATAAAACTTTATTGACCCAAACTATAAGACCACTGGCTGTTGTTTGCAGACTTCTGGGCTAAGCCAGAGGCTTCAAATATCTCATATGTGCTTCCTTTATTTATGGGTTACTCTCAGGTGAGCACCCGCAGCTAATATTGATGGCAATGTTAGGGAGGCAGAATGTAGGTGATGAAACTCCAATTCAAGATCCAATTTAGAAATAACAGAGCTCCCTGTGGCTGTGTGGGAATGGGATTAGGTCATGCATTCTGGAACTGCATGCCAGTGACCTGTATTTTTGAAATGCACAAAGTTGTTTGGGAGGATGACATTTTCTAGAATGTGATTATATGCTCAACTACAAATATTCTGTTTTGAAATAGACATAAACACCAATCAAAGTAGTGGTAGGTCTTTTTTTTCAAGCTTAATCATCTGTTTTGATGCTTCCTTGACTTTGTACTTGAGTGTGTTTAGTTTATAAATCATCCCCTGCTCTCTCTTTTTCCTTTAGATGCCTGGGTACCATATGAATCATTTAGGAGTAGTAGGGGTACAGTGAGGTCACTTTCATTGTCACCTGACTTCTGCACTGAAACAGCGTGTTATTCACTCATCTGTCTGTGCAGGTGAGGAGTGAGACATCAAGTTAGGAACAAAGGTTGGGAAAGATTTTTGAAGATTATTATTATTTTTATTTTTGAGACGGAGTCTCACTCAGTCACCAGATTGGAGTGCAGTGGCACGATATCAGCTCATTGCAACCTCTGCCTCTTGGGTTCAAGCGATTCTCCTGCCTCGGCCTCCCGAGTAGCTGGGACTACAGGCGCACGCCACCACACCCAGCTAATTTTTGTATTTTTAGTAGAAGTGGGGTTTCACCATGTTGGCCAGGATGATCTCGATCTCCTGACCTCGTGATCCGCCCACCTCAGCCTCCCAAAGTGCTGGGATTACAGGCGTGAACCACCGTGCCCGGCCTCAAAGATTATTAAGGGGCATGTTTAAGGAGTTGGGACTTTATTCAAAAGGACAGCACAGTCCAATGGAAATGTAATGAGAACCTTATATGTAATTTCAACTTTCTAGTAGTTACCTTAAAAAGGTGAGAGTAAAGAGGTGAAATTAATTTTAATAATATTTTAACTTAAGCTAATATGTCTAAAATATTATATTTTCAATATGAAATCAAAATAAAACATTATTAGTAAGAAATCTTGTAGTTTTTTATATTAAGTCTTCAAAATCTAGTATGCCTTTTTTTTTTTTTTTTTTTTTTTTTTGTGAGACAGAGTCTCTCTCTGTCGCCCAGGCTGGAGTGCAGTGGCTTGATCTCTGCTCACTGCAAGCTCTGCCTCCTGGGTTCATGCCATTCTCCTGCCTCAGCCTCCCCAGTAGCTGGGACTACAGGCGCCCGCCACCACGCTTGGCTAATTTTTTTGTATTTTTTTAGTAGAGACGGGGTTTCACCGTGTTAGCCAGGATGGTTGCAATCTGCTGACCTCGTGATCCGCCCGCCTCGGCGTCCCAAAGTGTTGGGATTACAGGCGTGAGCCACCGCGCCCGGCCTAAAATCCAGTATGCATTTTACACTTGCAGCAGATTTCAGTTTGGGTTAACTACAGTTCAAGAGCTCAGTAGCCTCATGAAGCCAATGGCTATTCTACTGGCTGCTCAAGGCACTGGAGGCAGAGTCAGAGGAGGGGGCATTGAAGGCTTGCAGTGGAGGACTGATTTCACAGACCCCCTCTGGTTCTGCTGTGGAAATCTAGTTCTCGGTGGCATACGGATGCACACTGGGATAGGTGGCCGTTGAGGAATCTAGAGGACCGATGATAGAGGCTTGAACTAGAGCAGTGCGGTATGCATGGGAAGTGAGGGAAATATTTGGTAGATGTTTCAGAAGTAGGACTTATAACACTGTGTGGAATACTAGCCATGCGAAAAGGAGGAGGAAAGGGAGAGTAGTTCAGTTATTAGTAACTGTAACTGTGATAAGGAACACAGAGGCGGGTTGTGGTGGCTCACGCCTGTAATCCCAGCACTTTGGGAGGCTGAGGCGGGCGGATCATGAGGTCAGGAGATTAAGACCATCCTGGTCAACATGGTGAAACCCCGTCTCTACTAAAATACAAAAAATTAGCCGGGCTTGGTAGTCCGCGCCCGTAGTCCCAGCTACTTGGAGGCTGAGGTAGGGGAATTGCTTGAACCTGGGAGGCAGAGGTTGCAGTGAGCCGAGATTGCGCCACTGTACTCCAGCCTGGGCGACAGAGCGAGACTCTGTCAGAAAAAAAAAAAAAAAAAAAAAAAAAAACGCAGAAGGAGGAATAACAGGTCTCAAGGGGAACGAGCAATTTTGTTTCATACACGTAAAGTGGAAAGCGCTCTGGGTTAAGCTGGAGCCCAGGAGTAAGGGTCAGATTTGGGAGCCATGATCACTACGGTTGTGTCAGTGGCCAGCACAGCCAAGATGTGAACGTATGTAGAGGAGCAGACCTAGGTCTTCCGAGTCCTACTGGTGCTTATTTCTATTCTAGACCCAAAGGGAGAATTTCTGTAGTCTATACCATGCATGCAGAAATGTTTAGTGTGAACTGCTGTCCACAATTTACTTTGAAATGCATTTTAAAAAGGAAAAAAAAAAAAGGAGAATAGGGCCAGGTGCACTGGCTCATGCCTGTAACCTCAGCACTTTGGGAGGCTGAGGCGGGTGGATCACCTGAGGTCAGGAGTTTGAGACCAGCCTGGTCAACATGGTGAAACCCCGTCTCCACTAAAAATACAAAAATTAGCCGGGCGTGGTGGTGCATGCCTGCAGTCCCAGCTACTCTGGAGGCTGAAGCAGGAGAATCGCTTGAACCCGGGAGGCAGAGGTTGCAGTGAGCTGAGATTGCACCACTGCACTCCAGCCTGGGCGACAGAGCAAGACTCTGTCTCAAAAAAAAAAAAAAAAAAAAAAAAAAAAAAAGCACAGAAAAATGAGTATTTAGATTGTAATTGGCGGCTAAATGGTTGTTCATGGTATAGTTCTTTCAAAGTTTTGCTCTAACTTACATTTCCACAATAAATGCTGGTAATGAGGATGGGAGGATGGTTTCAAGGTCCGTGGTATCAAATACTACAGAAAGGATGAATACAGGTTTTATTATTTGCCTTGTGAGTTAAGAAGTCATTGGTGACCTTGAAGCCAGGTGGGCTTTTGCGGTGTGACAGAAGCCACATGGCATGGGGTGATGAGTAAATGGAAATGTGTCAGAAGACACAGGAATGTAATGAACTTCACCAGTGTATCTGTGTAATCTTTGCCACCTTCCCTATCTTTCCTGGACTTGAGTCACCCAATGGGATCCTCATACTTGCTTTGTGATGATTATGACTAGTTATCCACGTGAATAAAACTTCCTGAGATGAAAAGAGGGTTTAGAATGTGCTTACTGTATTTTTTCCTGGTTACTGCACCTATATGCCCTGGTTTCTGTGTTTATGTGTTTGCTTATGTATAGTGGCATGATTAATTGTTTTTTTAATCAGAGAGTTTTAGCCAAATCAATCCTTCCTTTCTTCCTTCCTTCCCTCCTTCCTTCCTTCTTTCCTTCCTTCCTTCTTTCCTTCCTTCCTTCTTTCCTTCCTTCCTTTTTTCCTTCCTTCCTTCTTTGCCTCCCTCCCTCCCTCCGTCTCTCCCTTCCTTCCTTCCTTCCTTCCTCTCTCTCTCTTTCTTCTTTTTTTTTTTTGGAAATTGCAGGTTGTGCTCTTTGGATGAATGCTTATGGTTTCCATCCTTAATGATTAAACACACGTAGCCATGTAGCAACTGAAATGCCTGTTTAATTTTCGTGAACATTTTGGTAAAAGCATAGTGGTTCTTCTTCAAGGCAGCACTTGTACCAGTCTATTCTAAGCTCCATTGCAAGTATGAAAATAAAGACAAACTTGCTTTAAGAATCTCCATTTTTTGAATACTTGCTTGAAGATTTCATCAGAGAATGAAGAAATTTAAATACCTTATGGTTTTTCCTCATTAACATTGAAGGCTTTTAAAAAGTTTTAACCATTGGCTATTCTTCCATCAGTGACATATTTTTATGTGTTCACTATGAATACCAGATAGCACATAAAATCCAGGTACTCTTTGCTTTGCATTCAATACTTTCCTTTTTCTTCTCTGGAAATCATGGTAATGGTGAGAAATCCTCAAAAACGAAGCAAAGCAAAAACCCTCAGGAGTGAGAAAACCAAACCAATGTATTATTGCTTTATTGTCTGACTCACAAATGTACTGCTCATGGCAAAACAAAACCAAACTAAGCCAAATACCGTTGTAGTGTTCAATTTCTCATTTAGTTCACAGCGAATATTTCTCTCCAACTCATAGAGGTTCGTAGAGAAAAGAAATAGAGAAAATTTCAAGCTGAATGTTATTTAAAATAAGTGGAGTGACTATGTAAAGTTCAACAACTATGTTCATGTCATCTCTTTAGATTTAATATTGGGATATTGCAAATAATTAATGTATTTCACCATGAGTTTCTTTTCCAGTTTGATAAAAAAATCTAAGGGTAGGCCTTTAGCAGCATGGTGACGTGTTAAGGGGCATTTTTCTGGAGGGGATGAGGGAGAAGAGAAATTGAGAGTATGAGGAGCCCAGAAAACTGGAGAATGTAAAAGCTGGTGGCTTAAGTTTAAACAAATACGTGCCTGAGATCTTCACTTTTCTAATATCCTGATTAAAATAAAGCCAGACTCCTTGTGACTCTCTGCATATATGTAACAAAATTTAGAATATTTCATTGCATGACCAGAAACTCCACACAACTGCAGCAGAGGAGAAAATAGAAAACCAAAAGGGGAAGAGAAAAGAGAAAGTAGCCCTCATCAAATGCTTCAGAGGCCCACCAATAAAAGGGCAAAGAGGCCAACATGAAGGGGAATGTGATTTAACGGCAGTTTCAAATTTTCTTAGTGGTCGAGTCAGATTTTTTCAAGGAATAACTCTGAAGACTTCTGTGAGTCCTAAAATTCACAGATGCCGAAATGTTTGTATCTTCTCTACGTCTCCCGCGTCTCATGCCTTTCTATGGCCGTGGATTTCCAGTGGATTTCCTCATACCCACAATTTATTGCCTTTCAGTTACCACTATAATTTTGTTCACAAAGTTGCATTTTTCTCTCATATCTGGAGAATGAATGGCTGTAACATCTTCACAGGAATTTAAACTATCTGCCTCTACAAAATTAACAAATGACTGAGTCTCAGGAACTGTGCAGGCTACTTACACATTATCAAAGAGCAAATGTGAATCTTTGCCTGCCAGAGGTTACTCTGTATTACAGCATTATCTAAAAAATAAGTCACTCGGAAAGACACCATAGTATTTTAAATATGATTTCTGATAGACTGATTGATTTCTCAGGGAAAGAAAGCATGAAAATCATTAAGTAATATAATGAATGAGAAAGTAGTACTATGCAAATGAAAACGTGATTATTTTGAAATCTTAGAAATACGTTGGGCATTAAATGTTTCATTTCACGTGCAACTCCTTGATCGTTTAGCAAACCACATCAGTGGACAGATTATATTTTGGCTGTATTCATGCAAGCATGTTTTTCCTTCATTTATAAAAAAGCAAATAAAGCATAGTTCATTTAAATAGCTACATGAGTATATTGATTTGGACTTCTGACTTATGTATTCCTATTATCATAGTATACTAGCACAGTTGTAAAGGTTCGGGCAAAATTATTGCCCTTTTAAACAGGAAGTTCTTAAAAACCAAATAATAACTGGATATTTAAGCAACTTCAATACATTGATTTGGGCATATGACTTTTATGTATGCCTATTATCAGAATTGCATAGAATATGCTAGCTCAGTTTTAAAAGCTCAGGCAAAATCATTTTCCTTGAAAACAGAAAGTTCTTTTTCTTCCTCCCCAAGGCCGCTAAAAATTTGAACTATTGAACTCAGATTTGAGTGATGATGTACTATACTTTGCCAAACGAGTTGTTTCCCCTTTTATAACATCCATCAGAAAAAAAAAAGAGGAGGAACACTTCCTGTCATTTGTTCATTGGTCAAACTGTTTGCCAGGAAAGTCTTTTTTTGTGTGTCTGTTTGCTTAAGTCAAGGTAATTTTAAAATAGGAAGAAAATTTCACACCGTTCTCAGGTGACATTTAGGAAAGAAAAAAGTATGAGTCTGTGTGTTACATTCTATTGGCACAGAAATGCCCAGACAGTAGTTAAAGGGCGACCCCCTGGGAACTGAGTTTATTTATTCTTATCTAAATATAAAGTACCTTGTTATTAAGAAAAAAGTACACTATCACAAAATCTCATTATTAGCATTGGAAATGAACTTGGGGTCATTTAGCCCAATACTTATCTGATAGACCAAAGTTTATTAAAACAGTTCTGTAGCTATTCTAGTCATCAAATCATGTTTTTAAGATAAGTTCTCAAAACATTGATATAACATAACTTATTTGGATGGTAAAAATATTTATTCAGTCCATTGCTTGCTTGCCTGCTCATTGACAAGCACATTCACATCTATTTATTCTGTATTTGTGTGGCTAGTTGTTTTCAGACAGTGTTGGGTGTGTAGACAACTTTAGAAATATTATTTTATTAGCTTATGTTAAAGTTTATTAATTAGGAAGTTTCTACGTTTTTTTTTTTTTTTTTGAGATAGAGTCTCACTTCATCACCCAGGCTGGAGTGCAGTGGCTCGATCTCAGCCCACTGCAACCTCTCTCTCCCGGGTTCAAGTGATTCTCATGCCTCAGCCTCCTGAGTAGCTGGGACTACAGGTGCGTGCCACCACACCCAGCTAATTTTTGTATTTTTAGTACAGACAGAGTTTTGCCATGTTGGCCAGGCTGGTCTTCAACTCCTGACCTCAGGTGATCCACCCACTGCAGAAGCTTCTACTATTATGTGTATATAGCACATATATAAATGTATATGATAGACATATAAGTTAAGTCAGTTCTGCTGTAATGCTTGTATTGAAATGCAAATTTGTTCCAATGGAATTAATATATTAATATTAATATCTTTGAGCATACCATTTGACCATAATGTGAGCTTTGCATTTGCTTATGTGCATTTTCATTCACAAGAAACGGCAGTGAATACAGAAAAGCGAAAGTTGCACCCAGCCTCACAGGAATACACAAGCACACACATGCAGGTACATGCCCCAACCGCCTACCAGAGACCTCAATTGACTGTGTGTGTTCTTTTTTTTGTTTGTTTTTGAGATGGAGTTTTGCTCTTGTTGCCCAGGCTGGAGTGCAATGGCGTGATCTCGGCTCACGACAACCTCCGCCTCCTGGGTTCAAGCGATTCTACTGCCTCAGCCTCCCGAGTAGCTGGGATTATAGGCATGTGTCACCACGTCCGGCTAATTTTGTATTTTTAGTAGAGATGGAGTTTCTCCATGTTGGTCAGGCTGATCTCGAACTCCGACCTCAGGTGATCTGCCTGTCTCAGCCTCCCAAAGTGTTAGTATAACAGGCGTGAGCCACTGCACCTGGTCCACTGTGTGTGTTCTGAGTCTTACCCCTAAAATCTGGCTTTAAGCTGGATTTTACTTTACTATGTTTTTCTTTTTAAAATTATTATTTTTTATTAACTTGTTTTTAATTGACAAATACTAATTGTGTGTATAAATGTATAAACAGGGTACAGTGTGATGTTTTGCTGATCTGATTTTAGATAACCTTCCATTCACCACTTCACAATAATTCACAAACTGCAACCCCTCCAATGCCCACTTCCATGAGAAAACACTAGGGCTTTTTCAAAGTCAAAGTGTCATTTTTATTTTAGAATTTCTGGATTTCTTAACCATCAACATGTATGGAACTGTGTTACCATTGTTATTTAGGTTCTTTTTATTTTTTTTAATGTACCACTGAGAAAATTTTAAGTGTTGTACCCTAATCCTATTTTCCTCTAAGTCCTGTGGTTTTTTTAATCTGTGAATTTTTATCAGCATAGTGATTTGAAGAATGCGTGTGTTGGCATTATAGCACAACAGACTGTATATGCTGCCCCTTACGAAAAACATGGCAAATGCAATGGCAAATGCAAGACATGGCAAATGCAAAACTGGTAGCCTTGCTTTTGTTTTGTTTTTAACCTAATTAAGATCATAGTATATGTATAATTTCTTTTTTCTTTTTTTTTTTTTTTTTTTTTTTAGACAGAGTCACTCTGTCACCCAGGCTGAGTGCAGGGGCACGATCTCAGCTCACTGCAACCTCTGCCTCCCAGGCTCCCGAATAACTGGGATTACAGGCAAGCGCCACCACGGCCCCACTAATTTTTGTAGTTTTAGTAGAGACAGGGTTTCCCCATGTTGACCTCAGGTGATCTGAGGAGTTCTGTCAGTCTCCCAAAGCATAATTTCTTATGATTTTTTTTTTTTTTTTTTTTTTTTTTTGGAGATGGAGTCTGGCTCTGTCACCCAGGCTGGAATGCAGTAGTGTGATCTTGGCTCACTGCAACCTCCGCCTCCCAAGTTCAACCAATTCTCCTGCCTCAGCCTCCCAAGTAGCTGGGATTACAGGTATGCGCCACCTGCCCAGCTAGTTTTTGTATTTTTTAGTAGAGACAGGGTTTCACCATGTTGGCCAGGTTGGTCTGGAACTCCTGAGTGCAAGTGATCTGCCCACCTCGGCCTCCTATAGTGCTGGGATTACAAGAGTGAGCCACTAGGCCCAGCCTAAATCCTCTTTTAAGAGTATCTCATAGTAATCATTACCCCTTTAAGGTACTTTTTAATTTGGGACTATTATAAGGGATACTTTTGATGGGAATCTTTGTTTGTAATGTTATTTCTAATATTGAGTAAGAGTTTAGAATACATTTCAAGAAGTAGAATCATAAGGTCAAAGGCTATGAACATTTGATACATACTGCCAAATCGACGTCCAAAATGGTTGTATGATTTTACACTCCCGGCAGTACTGTACCAATAGAACAGTGGTAGAGTTTCCACATCTTTATGATGCTGAAACAACAAAGACAAAAAATTTCATTAAAATGAAAAAACGTGTCCAGTTATATGAATGGCTTTCTTTTTTGAAAAGATACACAGTGCTAGGCATCTGGGAATTTAAAAATATATAATTATGTGATATGGTCAAGAAAATGTTCAGCTTATCTAGTAATAAATGTTTTCCTAGGTAGCTGCATGTTGCTTGCATATTTTGTATATTTAATAAAAATGACAAATTTGAGTATCTTTAATAATGAAAAATCAACATCTATTTTGAATACATGAAGTAATTCAAACAGTCAAATACTTGACACACCTGCAAATAATTGCTTATATTGACATGATCTCTGTAATTCCTCTTACTCAGGTAAGATTTTGTTATTAGGGTGTGTCTGGTGTTATGCTAAAAATCTAATCAACATTCATTCGTTCAGTATTACCAAGTCTCTTTCCTGTGGCAAGCACTGTACTGAACACTGGATATGTATGTCTAGGAGAGACTGGGCCCAGGCTTCAGATTAGATTGAATAAATTTTCAGACACCACTGTGGAAACCCTGACTTTTTTTTTTTTTTTTTTTTGAGATGGAGTCTGGCTCTGTCACCCGGGCTGGAGTGCAGTGGCACGATCTTGGCTCACTGCAACCTCTGCCTCCTGGGTTCAAGTGATTCTTCTACCTGCACTTCCCAAGTAGCTGGGACTACAGGCGCCCACCACCAAGCCCAGCTAATTTTTTTTTTTTTTTTTTTTGTATTTTTGTAGAGACGGGGATTTCACCGTGTTGGCCGGGCTGGTCTTGAACTCCAGACCTCAGGTGATCCGCCCACCTCGGCCTCACAAAGCTCTGAGATTACAGGCGTGAGCCACCATTCCCGGCCTGGAAACCCTGACTTTTAAAAAGATTTTAAGCATTTTTTAAAAGATTGCATGGATTCTGTTGTCTGGATGTCCCATAAGTCACTTAGGCAATCCTTATTGTTCAATGTTTAACTTGATTCCAATATTTCACTATGACTAAAACTGCCGTGGACTCCTTGTAACTAAATCTTTAATGCTCACCTATCATTATTTTCTTATGATAACTTCTCAGCAGAAAAAATGGCTGAGTAAAGTGATATATGCATTTTTTAAATCTTTTGACGCCTGTTACAAAATTGCCCTTTGGAAAAGTTGTATCAAATACTGTCTCTGGTAGTGTGAAGATGCCCGTTTTGATTGGGTTCTAGATTAAGAGCTATTCTAAGAATTCTTTTGACACACACACACACACACACACCAGAAACTGCTACCAAAATTTCTTGTCTTCTTTAAAATAGTCACTAGACTTAAAAGCTGGGGCCTGAACTTGATGCAAATGGTAGTCATATTGACTAGGATAATAAAGCACTTTCTAGTAGGGATCTAGCCGTGGCTTTGCCATTAATTAATTGGTGAACTTGTACATACTTGTGTTTTATCTCTGACTGAGTTTTTTTCATCTTCTAAATAAAAATGTCAAATTTGGTGATTTCTGTTGGTTTCCTCCAAGCCTACAGTTGTATTATTCTATATGTATTCTGTCCTGGATTATGTAAATTTTGACTAAGGAAAGCTTGTGGGTATGACTGTTGTCATGAATGTCCTCAAGCTCTCATTATTCCTCTGTCCCGGGAGGGAGAAGTTAGCTGTACTGGTTTCCTTGCCAGACCAAAAGGCTCTTCAGAGTGGAAGGCAGTGGGGAAGGAAGGTCTTCTTTCATGAGGCAGTCAGAAAGCAACCCCAGGAATACAATGAACTGATAATAGCTTGGAGAACTGGAGACTAGCAAGATTTCCTCCAGTCCTGGCCAGGCAGACTCAGGGTGAAGAAACCTTAGTTCCATGAATTAATAGCATGCTGAGTAGGTGTTATCATTTGGCTGTGTCCCTACCCAAATCTCATCTTGAATTATAGCTCCCATAATTTCCATGTGTCATGGAAGGGACCTGGTGGAAGGTAATTGAATCATGGGGGTGGATCCTTCCTGTGCTGTTCTTGCAATAGTGAATAAGTCTCAAGAGATCTGAAGATTTTATAAAGGGGAGTTCCCCTGCACACGCCCTCTTGTCTGCCACCATGTAAAGCATGCCTTTGCTCTTCCTTTGCCTTCTGCAATGATTGTGAGGCCTCCCCAGCCATGTGGAACTGTAAGTCCATTAAATCTCTTTCCTTTATAAATTACCCAGTCTCAGATATGTCTTTATCAGCAGCATGAGAATGTACTAATGCAGTAGGCCATCCTACCAACCAAATGTCTGTTCTGCCATCTAGTGCTAGACATGAAAATTGTGATTAATTGCACCATCCGGTTTATTGGTTAAAAAAATCATTAGGATTGTTGCTTGCTCTAGGAATAGTGAACTAATTTTTAGAATGTCCCTTGATCTCTACTGCTGGAGAGGCATTAATTAAAATCAGATGCCTCAGATGTTAGGTGTTATTAAAAGTTTTTGGACACCCTTAACACCGCTGTGGTGATCTTCCAGATATGTCCACAAAGTCATATACTCTTGATGCTCTTTTCTTTAATAATTGAAGCATAATCCTCCTCTTGGATGTGGGCTAGACCTAGTCATTCACTTGCAACAAAAAGAATATAAGAGAAGTGATGAGATGTATCTTCCACGCTTGGCTTGTTAAAATATTGTGCTTTCTGTCTTGAGTGCGTTCTCTGTCTGGAGTGACTTGAAGTAGCAGAAATTAGCTGCCATGTTTTGTGAGCAGCGCCTATGGAGAGGCCCACATGGCAAGGACCTGAAGTCTTCCAACAGCCACGTGAGTGAGCTTGGAGTGACTCTTCCACCTTATTCAAGCATCCATATGTCTGCAGCTCCAGCTGATGACTGTGATCGCAAGAGATACACTGAGCTGAGCTGGGACCACCCACTTAAGCAGCTGCAGCATTCCTGACTCTGGGCAACTGTGTGAGATAATCAATGTTTGTTATTTTAAGCTATTAAGGTCTAGAGTCCCTTGCTGTGCCGCAATTGTTAATGCAGCCACCACCACCATTTGCTAAGGCAGTGCTTAACCTAAGTTGCATCAGAATCACCTGGAGAGCTGATTAAAACTCAAGTTCCTGGGCCTCAGTCCCAGAAATACCAATGCAGTAGGCTTAACATGAGGCCCGAGCATTTGCATTTCTAACAAGCTTCCAAGTAGTGCTGATGCTACTAGTGTGGAGATCATCCTTTGAGCGACAAGACCTTTATCTGCTTTCCAGAAAGACTTGCCGTGAATATGCTGTTCACAGCAGGGTAAATCTTTTCCATGGCACTTTTCTGGGAAATGTTTCTAGCTCCCCCAATCTAACTGGAGCCTCTGCTTCCCAGCATTGATGGGAACGACAGTTAATACTTACAATGGTTATTTTTGAGGCTTCTAAACCTGCTGGGCTTTCGGTAGACATTCCAGCCACTAGTCAATTATCAGCTCATTATTTTCCAATACAATTTCCCTCCCTTCTTATCTTCTATTGGCAGACTCTTTGCTAACCTCTGGTTTGGTCTTGTGCTATCTGGGAACCTCAGATACAGGCAGAAGGAGCTAAAATCTTTGATTGACCCCTAGAATAAGCTGTGAGCTGAAGATTTTTTGTATTCTTTTCCTGATGCAAGTCACCACAGTTAGAAGTGAGAGAGCAAAAACTCCCTGATTGGAACTAGGAATCAGCAAGGTATAGATTCATGCTCTATAGTTTCTTCTTCAAAGCATACCCCTGCCTTTATCTTACCAGTGTGTTTCATTTGCAATGTCTTATGAATTTGGCAAATTATGAAATCAAAATTGAGGCTGAGAATTTCATGTCTTTCTGACCTCATCCATTATCCATTTCTTTTTTGAACCTAAAAGATGCTTTTTCCCTACTTAGTGTAGGAGTTTGCAATTTGATGGAGGAATCAGAAAAGAGCCTCAGCATGGGTAGTACACATAATGCTAGGCAAAGGGTATAGGTAATAATTATCAGAGAGTTTCACAACTGAGAGAGCAAGCAAGAGTGGCCTTGGTATGCTAAAGCAAATGGGGGAAAGCCTCCTGAAGGAGATGGGATTATTAAAAAATGGATAGGAATTAGATAAACAGAGAGACTGAGAAAAAATTCCAGGTAGGGGCAACTGTGAAGTGGAAGAGGGAAGCATATGTGGATGCATTACAGGATGGTGGCAAGAGGATTAATTTGACTATAGGGGATATTTTGTCTTCAAGCAGTATTTCAAGGTGAGATGGGAAAGAAAAAGCAGACCCCCCTTGCAAGGGACCCTGGACATCAGTTTTAGTGTTTTACAATTACCATCTATTGACATGGGGAACATTTTTGAGCAGGGTGATTATGAGACATGCCCTTCATTTTTTTTGTGTGTTTTTTGTGTGTGTGTGTGTGTGTATTTGTTTTGTTTGGTTTTGTTTTCAGATGGAGTCTTGCACTCTTGCCTAGGCTGCAGTGCAGTGGCATGATCTCAGCTCACTGCAGGCTCCACCTCCTGGGTTCATGCCATTCTCCTGCCTCAGCCTCCTGAGTAGCTGGGACTACAGGCGCCCGCCACCATGTCCCGCTAATTTTTTGTACTTTTAGTAGAGATGGGGTTTCACCGTGTTAGCCAGGATGGTCTCGATCTCCTGACCTCGTGATCCGCCTGTCTCAGCCTCCCAAAGTGCTGGGATTACAGGTGTGAGCCACCACACCCGACCCACTGTTTTAAGAGTGATAGGGCCGGGCGCAGTGGCTCAGGCCTGTAATCCCAGCACCTTGGGAGGCTGAGGTCAGGAGTTCGAGACCATCTTAGCTAACACGGTGAAAACCCGTCTCTACTAAAAACACAAAAAATTAGCCAGGCGTGGTGACACACACCTGTAGTCCCAGCTACTTGGGAGTCTGAGGCAGGAGAATCACTTGAACCCGGGAGGTGGAGGTTGCAGTGAGCTGAGATCGCGCCACTGTACTCCAGCCTGAGTGATAGAGTGAGACTCCATCTCAAAAAAAAAAAAAAAAAGAGTGATATGGCAATGGGTATATACTGAATTAATTGAGCACAAGGATAGAGAGTACTGGGGTGAGAACTGCATTAGGGAATGGTCTTAGTTTATCTGCTGTAACAGAATACCACTGATTTAAACAACAAATACTGATTTCTTACTTCTATGGAGGTTGGAAAGTCTAAGACCAAGGCGTGGGAAGAGCTGGTGTCCAGTAAGGGCACTCTTTCTGGTTTGCAGACTGCCATCTTCTTGTGTATTCTCACATATCAGAGAGAGCAGAGAGAAGGAGGCAAGCTCCCCTGTGCCCGTAACTCCACTTTGGAGGCTCCACCCTCATGCCTTCATCTAAATCCAATCACCTCGCAAAGGCCCCCAGCTCCTCGTACCATCACATTGGAGATTACAGTTTCAACATATGAATTTGGGGGAGGGGTACAAACATTCAGCCCGTGTTGTTGACACTCACACTCAACATTGAGCTCAGTCACATGTTGATTGTGAGGATAGAGGGTTCTGGAGGTGGGAACTCTGCCAGAGACACAGCTACTGTCTTTTGGGCTGGTGGCGATGAAGACCTGGACCAGGAAAGACTGGAGAGGAAGAATCATCAGATTTCGATTTCTGGTTGGTTCAGGAGACTAAAAAGGAATCATAAATGATGACTTTCCCAACTTTGCAGCATGGTGGTGTGGAAATGGGTAGAACTGAGGGGGCATGGTTGTGGATAGACAGAGAGGTCAGGTGGGGAGCTTCGAGTTCTAGGTGGAACCTTCCATGAGACAGGCATAACACTACAAATGGAGGCTTGGAATGCTCTGCTTGGAAGTGAGAAGACAAAGCATGGATGGATTGAGTATTTATGAGTTGGAAGGAGGAGGAGGTCTTGGAAGAAGCCTTCCTGTGGGCATTGGGGTATTCTAAAATGCATTCAGAGAGGGTGGATGAGATCTAGGGCAACTGTAATGCCATAGAGGTTGGGGAAAGGTCATTTTAAATGTGGACAGGAAGGAGGCTAAGGAGAGCCAAGAATACTGAAAATCTGATGGATTTGTCAACTAGGAGATCAGGGTGAGGAATCTCATGGTGTTCAATGAAATCCAGACATCAGTGGAAAAACTTTAGTGGAGTTGGCTGTAATCTTTCTTCCAGGACCTCCTGAACTCCAGGACTCCACATAAAAGTCCTTTTCTGCTCATTGGGATCAGGCTGTTAAATAAGCAAGGTCTTGTGGCGGAAAAGGGTCATCTGCTTTCCCTAATTCAATATATACAATTTTAACTTATTCTTTTCCTGCCTCCCATATCCCTAACAGGACGGCTAGTTCCTTGAGTTTGTGTTTTGCTCAATTTTTTATTTTCCTGTGGTTTCTGGCACAGTGCCTTGCACATGGTAAAAACTCAGAAAATAGCTGTTGAATTCCCCGTCTACTTAATCCTGTAAAATAAAAGCATGGGTGTGAAGATCAGGCAGGTGAAATGACCTTAACAAATTAAAACACAGCCTGGACCTCTCCTCTAGGGAGCCCAGCCTCTATGAACAGAAGCCAGAGATTTAATTACAGCCAATACAATTGTGAGCCCTATATCAACCTCAGGATCAAATCCCTGTAGCAGCTCTCGCATACTTTCTGCTGGCCTCCCTTGATGCCCTTTTTTCATGGGTATTTCTTAGCACCCCGACTTTCTCTAAGCCTCCATTTACAATTTCCAAATGCATTGTTTTCCTAGTCCTTCCAGATAGGGTCCCACAAGAAAGTGGTCCGAGCGGTCACCCCCTAGGATGGAAAGGATCCTTGGACACAGGAGCCCAACCTTTGATCCTGCACCTGCCATATGATGACTTGATTTGGGATAAGTCAGTTCCCTTCTTTAGGACTCAGTATTATCCTCTCAAAAATACATTTGATTAAATGTTTTCTGAGCATATTCATTCACCTTTAGAGAAATATCCCTAAACATTTCATAGACGTAAAAAGGACATGGTAAGGAGAGAGATGAAGAGAGACAGAAAAAATAAATCTATCCAGCAACATTTGGTTACCCAGAAAAGCATTTTCCTGTGGAGTCTCTGTGTTTTTTAAAAACATTATTGGCAGGGTGCTGTGGCTCATGGCTGTAATCCCAGCACTTTGAGAGGCCGAGGTGGGTGGATCACATGAGGTCAGGAGTTCGAGACCAACTGGCTAGTGTGGCGAAACCCCGTCTGTACTAAAAATACAAAAATTAGCCAGATGCAGTGGCACATGCCGGTAGTCCTAGCTACTCAGGAGGCTGAGGCAGGAGAAACGCTTGAACCTGGGAGGTGGAGGCTGCAGTGAGCCGAGATCATGCCACCGCACTCCAGCCTGGGCAACGGAGTGTGACTCCACCTCAAAACAACAACAACAACAAAACATTATTATGAAAATTTCAGTATATAGCAGCACTAAAATAATTTTATAGTGAAAACTCATCTACCCATTGTCTAGATTCTATTCTTTACATTTTACTAAACTTGTTTTTATCATATATGTTTCCATCTACCTATCCTCTCTCCAGCACTAATTCCCTTTTTGATTTCCTGATCCCTCTGAGGATATGACTGTCCTGAGACATCAGAGGCTTGCTGTAAAGTTATGGAAAATTGTCAGTCATTGAGGTGAAGTGAGGTTGGCCAGTTGGTAACCTGTGCCATCTAGGTTGCCCTCAGAAAGCGATTTTCTTCCTGCAGTCGTCAAAGCGTAGAGCACTTGCTAAAATAATGCATCAACTGAATTATGTAAAATATGAGAATAGGAAGACTGAGTTTCTTTGAAAACAGACACACATAATTTATAGATCCAATTAAGTAATGTCCATCAAAGCAGTCCCCAGCAGAGGTTATGTACTTACTCTAGTATTGCCGTCACACAGAGTATTTCGGGGGATTTTTATCTGGAATTCCCTCTAGAACTACATGTGTCACAAGGAAACTGGCTTTATTGTTTCTAGACAGGCCATACACTGATTAGATTCATAATCACAGCTTTGCAAAGCCCCCTTCCTCCCACCTTTCTCCCTTTAATTCCAGTTTGGCTCTAGTTCTAACTACGCATGAATTTGTATGGGCTGATAGCACAATTGTGAATTCCCTAGGTTTACGGACACCTAAGAAGACAGCCTTGGTAACAACAGGCCTCTCCTATATCTCTAATGCTGAGCAACTCATTGCCAAATGCCTGCGTCTCAGTTTCCTTCTCTGTCAAATATGGTCAAGGACTTTTACTTTGCTTTAGTGAAAGGGTTGTTGTGATTAAAAAACAAAACAAAACAAAACTGAGATGCGTAGGAACCTAAAACTCCTGTAAATATGTGAAAAATACATGGATATTTTGATTTTAACTGTGTTTAAATAAGTTGTAGGCTGGACACAGTGGCTCACCCCCGTAATCCCAGCACTTTGGGAGGCTGAGGCTGGCGAATTGCCCAAGAGTTGGAGACCAGCCTGGGCAACATGATGAAATCCCATCTCTACAAACAATTCAAAAATTAGCTAGGCCTGGTGCATGCACCTGTATCCCAGCTAATCTGGCTGAGGTGGGGGGATCACTTTGAGCCTAGGAGGTTGAGGCTACACTGAGCTGTGATTGTGTCACTGCATTCCAGCCTAGAGAGCAGAGTTTGTTTGTCTCGAAAAACAAACAAACAAAAAGGAAATAACCTTAGAATGCTAGCAATGCTGGAATTATGGATGAGTGATTATCTTTTTTTTCAAAACCGTATAAGGTGATATTATTACCTTTATCATGAAAAAGCGTATTAGAACTAAGCATCCAATATTCTTTTCACTTTTAGGACAAACAGCAAGAATAGACTTTTGTAGTAGTTACTTAGTTCAAGAAGGAAACAACGAGTCATTTGAGACAGAGATTGAAATAGCATGGAGAAGGTCCTTCTTTGTCTCCTGGTAGCATTGAGTACGATTTACGTCTTCCATATCCTAAGATCATTGGTTTACTTTGCATCTCTGAGTAACAGCTGGAATCTCTCAAATGTGGTGAGAATATTCATATATCAATAATTCTAGAAGATTTTTCTTCTACCAGTTTTGAGCTATAAGAGGATTTTGAAAGGTTAGAATAACTGTTTGTTAACCAGCTAACTCCCATCTTCTGCACAGTGCCACTTTCCAAGAGGGATTAATGGGAAGTCCCAGAATAGAATCTCCAGCCTACACATCTAGGACACAGCTTCTGTGAGCAGGAAGGTGGGAGGAGTGTGGAATGGTTAAAGACCCATTTTAGATGGAGACGAACAGAGAATGTGAAAACCAGGAAGGTGACAGCCAGAGCTGATGATAAGCCAGCTCCAAAGGAGAGGTAGCACTGAGATTCTTCAGACATGCTTTTCAGTTATATTTTACTTTTTGTTTCACTACCTTTCCCAAGGGATTGAATTTACATCAGAATTTTACTCCCAGTGGAGGTCTCTTGCATTAAAGTTTCAGAAGTTGATAGTTGTAAAAAATGAACGCCTGAAAAATCGCTACTGGTTGTATAGAGAGATAGAAATGGAAGGAGCTGGCAGGGCATGGCTGGGGGACACTGGCCGTGAATCACCTGATTCATGCAGGCTTTGTGTACTTGCTGACAGGCCGCAGCAGTCTCCGGTGGAGGGCTGGGACTGGTGTGTGTATCTGCCATGTCTCGCAGCAATGCATGTGGAGCTTGGATGCCTAGCCTCTGTTCACATAATATGGTGCCAATAAAGCATCATAATTAAAATCTTTAATTATCACAGAAACATTTCCAGCAATAAGAGGGACTGAGCTGAAGAAAGAAGTGATCTACTTCTCTCTTCTTTCCACCCAAAATAAACACAAAAGAACGCTGCATAAAATGTAACAGCTACCACAACAAAAACAAGTATATCCAGCCAAAGTTCAAAGTAAGGAAATCCTGCCAGGGCAGTAAGTGGGGGCTGAGGCTGCTGTAGCCCACAGACAATAAACAGGAGAAAAGACCTGGGTTGAAAGCTGGGATTCAGGAATTTGGCCACTGCCTGCATTTGCCCCTGGAGACAAAACCATGCCTATACATAAAGCCAAGCATCTTGACACGCTCCATGCTCCTTGACCTCATAGATTAGAAAACCCTGCCTCCCAGGCTCAGCAAAAGTGCCAGGAAGCTTGCCCTCTCTGTAGGCTTTTGGACAAAAAATAAAAATAAAAAAAGTCTCTCATAAGGAATTAAAACCACAGGTCTGAGCTCTATGTTTGCATGTGGCCTGAGTTTATGCTTCCCGTGAAGTGTGAGAACCACAAGCTGAGAAATCAACAGAAGAACTGGTCTCAGGACCATTGAAAACCTTGGTATCTTTGGCAAAAGAAAAACTGAAGCTGTTCCGAGTGATTTTTTACAACTTGGTTCCCAGGAGACTACCCCAGAATGAACGACCACAATTGAGGATGGGAAACACAGTTAGAAATTTCAGTCACTCGAAGAAAGAAACCTACCGTGTGGAAGAGGCAGTAGAACCAACAAACCCCAAACTGACCTCAAAATCATAACACTCTGAAAGATACTTACATGCTTGTTTCAAATTAAAGAAACAAAAGAAAATATTAAAATTATTATGAAAAATCTGGACAGCATAAAAATATTTGACAAAGAGCCAAATAGAATGTGAAATGAAAAATTGTAAATGTTGAAGTTAAAAACTCAATAGGAAGGATAAACTGCAGATTAAAATAGCAGAAAAACATAGTCCAGGCATACCTCAGAGATCTTGCAGGTTCTGCTCCAGACCACTGTAATAAAGCAAATATCACAGTAAAGCAAATATTACAATAAAGTGAGCTGAACAAGTTATTTGATTTCCCAGTGTGTATAAAAGTTATGTTTATGCTATACTATAGTCTATTAAGCGTGCTATGTAATTATGTCTAAAAAAGTACATACCTTAGTTTAAAAATACTTTATTGCTAACAAAGTACTAATGATCAGCTGAGTCTTCAGTGAGTTGTAATCTTTTTGCTGAGAAAGAGTGTTGCCTCAGTGTCGATGGCTGCTGACTAATCAGGATAGTGGTTGCTGAAGACTGGGGTGGTTGTGGCAATTTCTTAAAATAAGGCAAAAATGAAATTTGCCTCATTGATCCACTCTTCCTTTCATGAAAGATTTCTCTGCAGCATGCGATGCTGCTGTTTGATAGCATTTTACCTCCAGTCGAACTTCCTTTAAAATTGGAGTCAGTCCTCTCAAATCCTGCTGCTGTTTTATCTACTAAGTTTATGTAACATTCTAAATCCTTTGTTGTCATTTCAACAATGCTCACAGCATCTTTACCAGGAGGAGATTCCGTCTCAAGAAACCACTTTCTTCGTTCATCCATAAGAAGCAACTCATTATCGGTTCAAGGTTTATTGTGAGATTGCAGCAATTCAGTCACATCTTCAGGCTCCACTTTTAAGTCTAGTTCTTGGGCCATTTCCACCACATCTGGAGTTACTTCCTTCTCTGAAGTCCAGAACTTGTCAAAGTCATCCATGAGGGTTGGAATCAATTTCTTCAAAACTCCTGTTTGTGTTGATATTTTATAACCTCCTCCCAAGAATTACAAATGTTCTTCATGGCACCTAGAATGGTGAGTTCTTTCCAGAAGGTTTTCAGTTTACTTTGCCAAGATCTATCAGAGGAATCACTATCTATGGTAGCTATAGCCTTACAAAGTATATTCCTTAAATAATGAGACTTGAAAGTCAAAATTACTCTTTGTCCTGTGGGCTACAGAATGGATATTGTATTAGCAGTTATAAAAAACAACATTCATCTTATACCTCAGAGATCTTAGATAACCAGATGCATTATCAATGAGTAGTAATATTTAGATGGATATCTTTTTTTTCTGAGCAGTAGGTCTCAACAGTGGGCTTAAAATATTCAGTAAACCATGCTGTAAACAGATGTGCTGTCATCCAGGCTTTGTTGTTCCATTTGTACAGCACAGGCAGAATAGGCTTAGCATAAATTGTAAGGGCCCTAGAACTTTTGAAATGGCAAATGAGCATTGGCTTCAGCTCAAAGTCACCAGCTGCATTAACTCCTAACAAAAGTGTCAGCCTGTCCTTGAAACTTTGAAGCCAGGTATTAACTTCTCTGTAGCTATGAAATTCCTACATGGCATCTTCTTCTATCTTCCACGTTGTCTACATGGAAAATCTGTTGTTTGGTGTAGCCACCTTCATCAATAATTTTATGTAGATATTCTGGATAACTTTTTGCAACTTCTGTGTCAGTACCTGCTGCTTCATCTTACACTTTTATGTTATGGAGATGGCTTCTTTTTTTAAACCCCATGAACTAGACTCTGCTAACTTCACACTTTTTTTTTCTGCAACTTCCTCACCTTCTCAGCCTTCATAAAATATGAGAGAGTTAGGGCCTTGCTCTGGATTAGGCTTTGGCTTAAGGGGATGTTGTGGCTGGTTTGATCTTCTGTCCAGATCAGTGATAAGGCTGTTTCACTTTCTTATCATTTGTGTGTTCACTGGAGTAGCACGTTTGTTTCCTTTAAGAACTTTTCCTCTGCATTTACAACTTGGCTAACTGTTGCAGGAGGCCTAGCTTTCAGCCTGTCTCAGCTTTCAACATGCCTTCCTCACTAAGTTTAATCATTTCTGGCTTTTGATTTAAAGTGAGGGAGGTGCAACTCTTCCTTTCCCTTGAACATTTATAACGTTGTAGGGATATTAAATGACCTAATTTCAATATTGTTGTGTCTCAGGTAATAGGGAGGCTGAGGAGGAGAGAAATGGGGGATAGCTGGTCTGTGGAGCAGTCAGTACACACACATTTATCAATAAAATTCCTTGTCTTCTATGGGCGTGGTTTGAGGCACCTCAAAACAATTACAATAGTAACATCAAAGACCACCAATCACAGATCACCATAACAGATACAATAGTCATGAAAAAGTGAAATATTGAGAAAAATACCAAAATGTGACACAGAGACACAGCATGTGAGCATGCTATTGGAAAAATGACCCCGATAGACTTACTTGATACAGGGTTGCTGCAAACCTTCAATTTTTAAAAAATGCAATATCTGCAATGCACAGTAAACCAGAGCTCAATAAGGCAAGGTATGCCTGTAATAACTAAAAGATAAATGATAAACTTACTGAACAGCAGAGGAAAACAGCTGAAAAACGTTAACAATGAAAAGATTTGAGAAACTTCTTAAAGAGATAAAAAGATGGAACTGTAAAAGGGTGGTTTACACACTCGGAGTATAGACTTACTAGGTCCAAAATGCATTTAATAAAACTTCCAGAGGACAGAACGTGGAGAACTTTCAGATAAACAAAGAGAGAAGTAACTACACAAAACCTTTACTGAAACTACTAAATGACATGCTTTAGCAAGAAAGACTGAATCCAGAAGGAAAACAAGATGTACTAAAAGCAAGGGTGAGCCGAGAAGATGGTAAACACACTCATCCATCCAAACGAGCTGTGACTATAAAATTAATAAAAGTAATATGTTGCTTGGATTAACAGCAGTTTTACCAATGGTAAAATTAGAATGAGAGAAAGGTGAAGTGGAGGGCAGTGTTAAAGCATTTTATTTTTTATTTTACTTACTTATTTATTTTTTTGAGACAGGGTCTCACTCTGTAGCCCAGGCTGGAGTGCAGTGGCACGATCACAGCTCACTGCAGCCTTGACCTCCCAGGCTCAAGTGATCCTCCTTCCTCAGCCTCTGGAGTAGCTGGGACTACAGGTGCAAGCCACCATGCCGAGCTAATTTTTGTATTTTTTGTAGAGATGGGGATTCACTATGTTGCCCAAGCTTGTCTCGAACTCCTGGGTGATCTGCCTGCCTTGGCCTCCCAAGGTGCTGGGATTATAGGCAGGGGCAACTGCGCCTGGCCTCAAGCTTTTTAAACCCTTGCATTGATAGAGAAGGATTGCAATAGTAATTTGAGGTTTTCTTAAATTAGCTACCATGCAAAAATTGAAATGTAACCACTGAAATAATAATTTCTAAACTGGAAAGGGATTCAATAAAATAAACTTGACTACTCCAATAAAAGAAAAGAAAAAAACAAACAGACATAGTACATAGAAAGCATCAAATAAGATGATAGAAAACAAGTCCAAATTTCATCCAGGCACGATGGCTCATGTCTGTAATCCCAGCACTTTGGGAGGCCAAAGCAGGCAGATCACTTGAGGTCAGGAGTTTGCGACCAGCCTGGCCAACTTGGCAGAACCCCGTCTCTACTAAAAATACAAAAATTAGCCGGGTGGTGGCATGCACCTGTAATCCCAGCTACTTGAGAGATTGAGGCATAAGAATCATTTGAACTCGGGAGGTGGAAGTTGCAGTGAGCTGCGATCGCACCACTGCACTCGAGCCTGGGTGACAGAGTGAGACTCTGTCTCTTAAAAAAAAAAAAAAAAAAAAGGAAAGAAGTCCAAATTTCTAAGCACAGGGGACATTCCACATCTGTGGGTTCTACATTCAGGGATTCAACCAATCTCCAGCCCCCGCTCCCACAAAACAATACAATAATAAAAAGTAATACAAATTCTAAAAAATATGGTCTAAGAGCTGTTTACGTAGCATTTCCATTCTGTTAGGTATTACAAGTAATCTAGAGAAGATTTAAATGTATACAGGAGGATGTGTGTAGGTTATATGCAAATACCATGCCATTTTATATAAGGAACTTGAGCATCCATGGATTTTGGTATCCTTAGGGGGTACTGGAACCAATCCTTTGTGGATACCAAGGGACAACTGTAATCAAAATAAATTTAAATGGATTAAAATCAAATACTAAAGGAGTCTCAGATTGGATAATTTACTCAGAAAAAATAAATCTCTGCCAAAAAGCATCTGAACCTTTTGAGAAAATCCCTACTGCCTTTAATATTCCTCAGGATATTTCACTTCTGTTATTTTCTGCATCAAGGGGTAAAAATGCATGTTGCTGAGCATTGGCAAAAGGAAGTTCAGAGTACAGAAAAAATATCATTAACACATGTCATGAGGTGCTGCTGATGGAGGCAGAATTGCTTTCCTGGATTAACAGTAAAAACTTCCTAAAACCCATCTAATCTCTTTAGCTTCCTGAAGAGCAATGGTAATTCAGCTTTGTGGTCCACAAGACGAGTCCAAATGTTTTATTGTGCAATCGTAGATTGGCCCATTTATTCAATAATAATTAATAAGAAATTAATTTTTCTTGATAATTAAGAAAAACTAGTGCCTGGCACCGGTGCTCATAGTTGCAATTTTGTGATCTTTAAGTTGTCCTTTCACAGTTAATTAATAGCATTTAAAAAGTACAGAAACGTGTATCAGGAAAGGAAGGAGCTGCAACCGCATACTCCAGGGACAAATACCCATTGCCAGAAAGAGAGACAGCAGCCTTCAGTTCTGTGTTGGGGACTTGTGCGTGTCCTTTGAAAAGGCTGTTTCCTGAGGCTTTGCTCAACTATGACCCTCTGAACTCCATTGACTTAGTGATTCCCAGAGTTAGAGAGTGTCAGAGCTAAAAGAACCTCTGGATTTCTGTGAAGCTGCTCTAGAGATGAGGACAACTTACATGCTCCCTCTCTGCCCCCCACACTGGGGTCAACACTTTAGACTAGTAGCTGGACATATCTGACATTTTCTTAGTTTGCTTACATCCTCACAAAATGCCTACATACATCCTGCTCCAATTCCCTTGGCCCCAGCTGGCATAGGTCCTCCTGCAGAATGACTTGAGTGAAATAAATGCAACATTGGTAGCAAACAACCCACAGACCCTCCAGGTAACTGAAAGAGCCCAGAATATGTTGTCCCTTCTGCAGCAGGAAGCTCCCTCCTAAATCCCTTCATTCCCTTTATACCCCAACTTCAGTTTCTTTCCATACCCTGACCAACCTAAATTGATGATGTGGTTCTACCCTTTGCTGCGGTTCTGGCGAACATTTCAGAGGCTCATCACTGTCCCTTTTTCCAAATGGGGTCTAGGTATCCCTGGAGAAGGCAGGGCTGGGAAGGTTAGATAAAGTGATTCTCTTCTCCCTGCTTCCCATTTGCAGCATACAAGATAACAGGTATGTATTTTTCCCACTTATCGTGGACCTTCAAGAATCTATGGAATCTTGTTTAGGGCCCCTTTACGTCTGACTCAATTTCTTTACCCCAATGAAATGAGCAAACAGCTGGCTTTTCAGGCTCTGTATCGGGTCCTGACACACAATCCCCTTGTAAAAGAAGCTAGGGCCTTCCAGGCAACAAAAGTTAGGCAGAAAAATCGTCTTTTTATTAACTCAAATACTGTCCTGTCATAGTAAATATAAGATGGTTTACGGTCACAGGGCACATCGACTGGCTTCATAAACGCTGGCTCCTGGAGCTCAGCTGGGTGCCTTGATATTTGACTCTGGATGGAGTTTGGCCCAGTGGAAACGTTTGCCCGTGATTTCCATCAATGTAGAAAAACAGGACTTAGAGCTCATAAATTCTCTGCCTGGCCAGGGTTGGGGATGGGAGTTCTATTGTAGAGCCTGGGGGAAGGGCTGAAGCTTGAGGGTGGAGGATGTTAAAGGACTTCCATCAGGATACTGTTTCTTCAGTTTTTGAATCTGTCTTTCACGGTGGACATTTTTATAGGGCCATTCAATCCCAGGATGTAATGGAGATCAGAGCGGGTGTGAGGGGGCTGCAATGTCAGGAATTGGATAGGGTTACTTTCCCCCCCACCCGCTGTCCCTCGTGTGTGCCCGAGCAGCCACACTGGTGACAGGATGTGAAATGTTCGCAGAATAGACGAGGCTGTCTGTCTGTCCACGGCACACACGTCTGTCCCTGCCTCTTGCAGAATGAGCGATCCTGGACTCCTCCAGACCATGACTGTGTCTGACTCATCTCCTGGCATGTGATGGAAGCTCAGTCCACTCTTGCAGGCTGCGGCTCCTTTTTCCTAGAGACAGAGCCAAAGTTACTGCTTGCCTATTCCAAAAAGACAGGGTGGTCATGGCCATGGGGAGAAGGGAAAGAAGAGGGAGGTATATCCGTTATTTATTCACATAGTCAGGTATTGTAACCTGTCACAAACGCTGGTCTTTGCTTGAGAATTCAACCGTTTATAAGGGACATGGGCGGCGTGACTTTGTCAATTACAGGTTTCTTCCCCAGCTAAGCTCCTGGGCCCAGTGACAGCCCACACCACTGAGAGCTTCATCTGAGGAAGCCGCCTTCAGCACCACACAGATCCGTACCCTACACTCTCTTTTTGCCCTTTGTCTGTCCTCTTTGTACCCCTGGGATCCGGACATTGGCACTGGCACAATTCACAGCTCTGTCATTTTGCGCTTGTGTGAGTGAAGTGCCTGCAGTTGGGTGTGGCGTCCATCTCCTGCTGGAATCCCGCAGTGTCTCCAGCCTGGTGGGAGGTCTGACACATTGTGGACAATGCATTTAAGAATGGTCTGGTGGCTAGGTCCAGTGGCTCACCCCTGTAATCCCAGCACTTTGGGAGGCCAAGGTGGTTGGATCACGAGGTCAGGAGTTCGAGACCAGCCTGGCCAACATGGCGAAACCCCGTCACTACTAAAATTACAAAAATTAGCAGGGCATGGTAATAGGTGCCTGTAATCCCAAATCCCAGCTCCTTGGGAGGCTGAGGCAGGAGAATCGCTTAAACCCAGGAGGAGGAGGTTGCAGTGAGTCAAGATTACGCCACTGTACTCTAGCCTGGGCGACAGAGCAAGGTTCTGTCTCCAAAAAAAAAAAAAAAGAATGATCTGGTATCTCAGGGTGAATGCTCGAATGCTCACAAGAAAATCAGGAGCAGAGGGAAGGAAAAATGCAGTGCAGTGTCACTTCCTAAGGCAAGAGACTTAGGTAGGGGTGGACAAGAATACACAGCCATACCCAAAGTCCAAACTTCCTTTCCTCTAGGGCAATGGGTCTCAATTCTGGCTGCTTGTTAGAATCTCCTGGGAGCTTGTAAATACCAGCATCCTTGTTCTGTCCCCAGTGATTTCTACTTTTATTGGTCTGAGGTAGGCTCCAAGGCATCTCTGCATCTTTTAAAAGCTCCCAAGATGACTCTAACATCCATCGAGGAATGGAGGCCTCTGGCTGAGATGTGTTACAAACAGAAATGAGGGAGATGGAAGCAATGTGTTTCTGGTCTCTTACTGGATCTTCTGTGCCCACCTCTCCCATAGGCTACATGGTGTCAGGATCTGTGCTTTGCTGTACAGTATTGCTGGAACTTAAGTTTGAATTTTACCAACCTTCCTTCTGTAAACTTCAGGAATGTCACTTTAATTTCCCACACTTTGCTTCCCCTGTCTTTTACAAGAAGAAAACATTTTAATAAGTTTTCCTGAGGTACTAAGTACTTCAGTTCCAAACCAGATTCTCTATCAGGCACCTGTGTTGAAATTGCACTTTGATCAAAATGGAATTGCAATAGTTAATTATTTAGAGATATTTACTCATGATTTTTAGTAATGGAGCTATATTGTTAGTCAGCTCACTTTACCATAGGCATAATCAGCAGGGTATCCAGACTAAAAGAAACTCTATATTCCAAACCAAAAATCCAGACACACGCTGTAATAAAATTTGTTTTCCTCCATGTTAAATATCCTGAGTATGATGATTGTATTATGATTACTTAGGAGAATGTTTTTGTTTGTAGGTAATACACGTGGAAGTATTTGAGGTGAGATGTCATGATGTTTAACTCTGTTACAGTTCAGAAAGAATATATAGAGTTACACACACACAGAGAAGCAAAGGTGGCAGGAAAAAAGAAATGGTGACTCCAGTTGAAGAGTATGTAGGTAATACACTTTTTTTTTTTTTTTTTTTTTTTTTTTTTTGGAGACGAGTGTCCCTCTGTTGCCCAGGCTGGAGTATAGTGGCGCTGTCTCGGCTCACTGCAACCTCCACCTCTCGGGTTCAAGCGATTCTCCTGCCTCAGCCTCGCGAGTAGCTGGCATTACAGGCATGTGCCACCATACCTGGCTAATTTTTGTATTTTTAGTAGAGATGGGGTTTCACCATGTTGGCCAGGCTGGTCTTGAACTCCTGACCTCAGGTGATCTGCCTGCCTCGGCCTCCCAAAGTGCTGTGATTACAGGCGTGAACCACCACGCCCGGCCAATACACTCTTACTATTGTACCTTTCCTGTAACTTTGAAAATTTTCAAAATATAAATTTAGAGGATCAAAGAATTGTTAAGAAAACAAGATGGGCCTTTTGCAAAAAAACCAAAACCAAACTTGCTGCTTGAAAAATAAATATTAATTGTACAACCTAAGCAAAAAATAAAATAAAATAAAATAAAATAAAAATGTGTATTTACACATTGCCCCTCAGTCTCCTCAGTTGCCTTAGGGATAGCCTGTGCTTCCATCCTGTACCTGGAATGTGAAGAAGAAAGTGCTGTTCACTGAATTTGGTAGGAACATGTTCATTTCCATTTCTAGAGTTTTCTAAGGGGAAGGATACTTTAAAGATAATCAATTGCCTAAGACCTTAATAATAAATAAATTAGCCAATAATAAATTAAACATATAATACAAGATCAAACTTTTATAATATATAATATAAATAAAATTATATCATAAAATATAAGATTATATCTAATATGTAATTAATGTAATATGTTATATAATTAAATTTTATATAGAACATTAAAATATATGTATGTAATTGAATATATATTCACATGTAATAAAAACATTATATTTTCAAAAATATTTTTACTTTTAGGTGTAAGAAGAGTGTAGAAGTAGAGTTTGGACACATAAATGTCTGAATTTCTAGATGCTTGAAGAGGTGTGTCCATTAATACGAAATTACCTTTTCCAGATTTGCCTTGGGTGGTAGCCCCCAGCTGAGGTGCTAAGAGACTGGAGTAAAACAAAGCATCTCCACCCAGTCTCTTTTTTTGTTGTCATAATAATACTAACAGTTAATATTAGTTGAATACTCATATGTGCCAGGCTCCAGGCTGATTGGTATTCATTGTTTTACACAACAGTGTTCCAGATTTGTATTCCTTGTTTTACATAATTGTTACAATTTCCCCATGAGGTAGGTATTATTATTAGCCTTTGTACAAGGGCATAGCTGAGATTCAGACAGGCATTGTAACTTACTGAAGGCCACATCACTGCTAAGTGGTAGAGTCAGAATCTGAGCACAGAGCAGTATTATTCCTGAGCTCAAGCCTTAAACCATTGTAATCTACCACCTGGCCTTTTATTATTACTTTTCAGTAGCATTGTGGTTTTTTTCTTCAAGGGCTATTTTTTACACTGGCATTTCGTAAACATTTTTGTGACAATTTTTTAGACTTCCGTGTTTAGCTTATTTGATGATGCAACTCTGCAGTCTCTAATCTCTTCATTATTCAGTTCTTTAAAAAGCATGTACAATATATTAAGTCTGCAAATGGTACAGTTAACTTCTCACATGCCAGATTTGATATTTTGCCATGTTTGTTTGTTTCAGACATAGCTACAGATAGATAGAGATCGTTTTAAAGAAAATAAAACTGGAATAGTTACAGGCAGATGTGCCTGTGTCAGATTCCACCCTCTGCCTTCCTTCGCTCGAGATAATCATCTTTTTTAACATTTTTATCATTTGCTTTCTTACTTTGAATTTTTTATTACTTACATATAGCATAGATCACTACTGTTTTTGTTTTTAAATTGTATAATTGATCTTTGAAATTTTTATTTTATCTATGTATTATTGAAGTACATAGTACTTTATATATATTATAAATAATACCATATGTATATAGTAGAAAGTAATGTTTTCAACATTTACAATTTTTTGCACATCCAATTTTTGTTTGTTTGTTTTAGAGACAGTGTCTCACTATGTTGTCCAGTCTGGTGTGCAATGGTTATTCACAGGCACAACTGCAGTGCACCAAGTCTCTAACTCCTGGGCTCAAGGGATTCTCCTATCTCAGCCTCCCAAGCAGCAAGGAGCTACAGGCTCGAGCCTCTATGCCTGGCTTTTCCATTTTTTTCTTAAATCTTGTCCTATAAATGAAATCTTGGTGGACTATAGCTTTCCTGAGTCATACATATTTTCCCTCAGATTTCTGCGGAATCTGCTCCCAGGTCTTATGGTATTTAATGGTGTTAAGTAAAGGCCTTAGACCACTTCTTTTATCTTGCTTTTAGGTAACTTACAGGATTCTGTCTTTATTCCTAAAATTCAAAACGTTTACCAGGACACAGCAAATGCTTGTCCCTTTTCAGCAATTTTGTTAACGATGAACATTTTTTCTCTGAGGATTCCAGGTCTTGAGATCTTTTTCCAAAACATTCAATGACCTACATTGTGGAGCTTCATTCTCTGATCTCAACCTGTCTGCTCCTCTTCCTGTTCCCATATCTGAGTAGCTTTTCTCTGCAGCTTGAGAGGAGATGGCTTCAAGCTTGGCCTCCACAATGATACTTAACCTTTCTACTTTTGTATTTTCAGTTTCTTTGAATGAGTTCACCTGTCCTTTTTTCCTGCTCACCTCTTAAGTAGCTGCTTCTTAACCTGTCTTTATTCTTACTATTCTTTATTCTTAGTATTTCCAATTTCATCTCTGTTTGATGAAGTCCATATTTACATTTAGTGAGAGTATTGGACAGGTATCACTTAATTCTTACCTTGGGTTTTTTTGTTGTTGTTGTTACAAATCTTCTTTTTTCTTCCCTCTGAAAGGTGCCTTTGTTGTCTCTTTCTCTTTAGAGGTTGTCTTTTTCTTTTAATTTTGTAACTTCTCTTTCTGATGTCTGTTGACTCATGCTTAAATGTTCAAGGGTTTTACTCAGGCCTTTAATTTGCTCAAAAAGTAGAGTGTGTGATTCGCCTCAGATAAACAGGAGGTCTAGCTGATGAAAAATCCATTCTTATTAAGTGATTCAGCAACTGTGAAGAGGGGAAAAGAGGCGGAATCGCAGGGCATCCATTAAGGAAACATTTCTGGGCCTTCGTCCGACCCGTGCTCATTTTTATGAATCTGCTGGGCTAGATGTTTGCTTTGTATGTATCCTTTTGTTTGTTGGAAGTTTGTTGTTCTCATTTGTTTTAATTTGGGTGAGCTAAGCCATCTCTGTGGCTATACAATTTGACTGTGTCGAACCTATTGCCTATTCTGGTACCTGCTCTTTCAGGGAATCTGTTCGCTGTCCTGAGGATATTCTGCTGGGTGCAAGTATGTGCAAGCATGGCTGCCATTGAGTTTCTGAGTGCATTTCTGTTTATGCTGATTTCATCTTGCTTTTTTTTTTTTTTTTAGGCGGAGTTTCGCTCTTTCGCCCAGGCTGGAGTGCAGTGGCGCGATCTCTGCTCCCTGCAACCTCTGCCTTCCGGTTTCAAGCGATTCTCTTGCCTCAGCCTCCCGAGTAGCTGAGGCTACAGGTGCCTGTCACCACGCCTGACTAATTTTTGTATTTTTAGTAGAGACAGGGTTTCACCATGTTGGCCAGGCTGGTCTCGAACTCCTGACCTCGTGATCCGCCTGACTCGGCCTCCCAAAGTGCTGGGATTACAGGCATGAGCCACCATGACCGGCCTCACCTTGCTTTCTTTTTATTTTTTATCTATTTATTTTATTTTCTTTTATTTTATTTCTTTTTTGAGACAAAGTCTCGCTCTGTCGCCTAGGCTGGAGTGCAGTGGCACAGTCTCGGCTCACTGCAAGCTCCGCCTCCCGGGTTCACACCATTCCCCTGCCTCAGCCTCCCGAGTAGCTGGGACTACAGGTGCCCGCCACCAGGCCCCACTGATTTTTTGTATTTTTAGTAGAGACGGGGTTTCACCATGTTAGCCAGGGTGGTCTGCCCTGTCCTGACCTCGTGATCTGCCCGCCCCGGCCTCCCAAAGTGCTGGGATTACAGATGTGAGCCACCGCGCCCGGCCGGCTTTGCCTTGCTTTCTAATTCTCCCCAAATCTAGGGAGATTGAAGTCCTTCTGGTGTAGCCCCTCATCACATCACATACTGTTTTCGGGAAGGTATTATATCTGTGCAACATGGCCCTAGGTGTCATCCTTTAACTTGATTCCTCAAAGCTGAATGTGGATGCCACCCTTCACTAGGGCTCAGTACTGAAGAAGGGCTTCCCAGATTTTTCTTCTTCTTAGGTCATTTTGCATAAGATTGGGAGAAAGACAAGAGAAGGAGGAAATCTAACGAAACCAAAGGTATCTTTTATTTCATAATTCGTGCCTTTGCTTTTATGCTTAGAAAACAGTTCTTCAGGAATGACTTCATCTGTTTTCAAGTTCTTATATGTAATATAATATACTCTCAGACACATTTAACTCAACACATCTGGGGTTGACTTTTGCATGTGGTTTGAGGTGCTGCTGGAGCTTCATTTCTTATCTCAAGTAGTTAAATGATTGTCTCAGCACCTTCTGTTAATTATAAACATCTTTTGCATTTTTATTATTTTATGAAAAAATGACATATTTGTGCATGTAGAGAAATCATGTTGTGTTTGGGTGTTAGGTCTAAAACTCCACGTGTAAGTAAGCTCTTAATACAGTCTAACATCGACTTGAGAAACTCTTTAATCAAGTCTAGGATGGTTTTGAGGCAAGATGCTTCCACTCTAAGGGGCCCTCAGGGATCTGGGGACCTTGGAGAAGACAGGTGAGTCTCAGCCCCATTTCTGTTTTCTAGGACACAGGCTCCTAGTTGAACACCAGGCTAAATTGCCTGCATCATTTCAGTTGTGCTGTGTCTCCCCATTGCCAAGTTGAATCTGTGTAAGTGAAATGGGTTTAATGTTGAATGCGACACCCCTTTATACAAAAGTAGATTACATTTCTTCCTCCACCTGTTCCATTCCCATACTGCTTGAAACACGGTAGGTTTATAAAAACAAGGGTTTGCGAAAGACTTCCTGGAGTGGAATGGAGGGAGGATGAACTCCAGGCAGAAAAGGCCCACCCAGCGGGAGGCATAAGGGTGTAATCTGTGCTCAGGAAGCCATAAGTGTTTTTGTTCAGCAGAAATGGGGGTCACCGCTGGGGAGTAGTGGGTGAGAACACCGACGAGGTAGGTAGCGTGGGACACCATTGGTGAAAATGGTGAATTCTAGACTGAAATGTCTGTGAGTTATTTGCAAATCAGGCACGTGCTGCTGAATGAGGTTAAGTGACATTATTCTCAGGGGGCTTGAGGAATACTAATTTGGCACACCAGGACATAGGGTGGAATAGAGTTAGGGGGCAGTCTGCCTGTGGGGAGATAATTTATGGGGATATTACCATCGTTTAGTTTCAAGATAATAAGGTACTAGACTTGTTGGGGGTGGAGGGTATGGTGGAGGAAGGTGGTATCTGTTAAATCCTCAGGGATGGCATCTTATCCCAACCCTGCAGGTTTTGAAAATCTGGATGAACATTTCCTCTTCGTGCTTGAAAGACAAAACCTTTGCTTTATCTCTCTTTCAAAAGGAGGCTGAGCATGCTTCGAACTAGATTGCCTTGGTAGGTCTGGGGACTTAACAGTTCCAAAGTCAGCACCCCTCAACAAGAAAGGCAATAATCAGCTGCGCACCCCTCAGGGGTTTGCACTGAGCTGCCTTGAGCACATAGCCTACAAGGCATCACAGAGATATCAGCACCGCACAGGGCCTAGCGGCTGTCAGATGTCAGCTCTGGTAATGACTGTATCTTGTAAAACTTTGTGAATTTCCCATTCCCCTTGTGAGCACTTTTATTTCTCATTTATATTTTTTAATAAGCTTGATACATTATACATTGCTCATTTGCTACTAAAATTGGAACCAGTAGAGCAATAACTGGCAATTACCTCCTGAGCGCTGTGAATTTTCCTGCTACTTTTCTGGAATCCGTGGAAGGCTCAGAGCTACTCAAACCACCAGGTTTTGGCCTTAGGCTTTGCAACTGGACCAGTAGTCTTGCCAAGCCTCTGCCTAGAACACAGACTAGCCACTCAATAGAAACTCTCAGAAAAAAGGTACAATCGAATGTCTTGCTTATGAGGCAGGAAGTTTTCAAAAATGCTCTTTTTCCTTCTGAATCTGTGACTTTTTTTGAGTCTCTGGCCCTCATGCTTCCTGGTGATGATATCAGTGGCATCACTCCCTTACCTTTGTGTCTAATTTTCCTTGCAGACTCCTGTCTAGAGTTTTTATAGGACAATTATTAGATCGTCTATTGCTCTATAGCTCCTATCTGTAAGCAGTATCAGTGGAATAAAATTCCTCCTGGATGTTATTTTAAGGGAAGTTTAATTAAGATGTGGATAGTTAGGTCAGGGGCCTACTTACAGATTTCAAAGGAAGTACCTGAGAGGGGAGAATGTGTGAGAGAAGGGGATTAGGGATGATGAGCTTAAAAAAAGGTATTTTGATAAACTAGTATTATTTCACATGTCTAGAAAGAACTCTAGGAGTTGCCAGAAAAGAGTAAGTTAGCTGGCTAGGGGCATCTCAGAAGAAAAGCTTTTAAAACAAGGGATGATGTGGACAGGTGTTTGATTGGTAAGGAATCAAATCGAAGACATTCAGGGGATTTGAACTGCTGTTCAGAATTTGAGATATGGATTTTTTATTTAGAATGTAATCTAATCTGGACAGGTCTTGAGGACCCCAACAAAATCAAGGGTAGAGAAGATCTTAGTTGTTTCAACTAAGAGAGAAGGCACAGTATCCTCATCAAAGAGGTCTGTAATGATGCTGTTATTTAAAGCTGCCAGTGCAATGATGGCTTCTGGCTTAAACCATTGGTGAATGCAGCCACAAGACCCACTCCTTTCTGCAAGCAGCTTCTCTCACACAAGGTATGTCATGGCGGTCTTCATGGCCAACCCCAATGCTGCACCTGCTGGGGCATCAGCGCTTCCTGTCCTGTGAACTTACAGAACACCTCTCCTCAACCCAGCACTGTCATAGCTGAAGGGAGGAATGACTCCAGCTCTCTACTTAGCCATAGAGACACAGTGAAATCATTTGTTACTGGGATCCTGTATTTTGTTTGCACCCTTTAGCCAAAGCAATTCTTGTAGTCTCTGCCCCATGAAAAACATTGTAGACTCTGCCCCATGAAAAACAAAAGAAGCTTTAACTAACATGGTCCTAGAAAGACCAGGAAGCCTTAGACCCAGGGGACTAGAATTCCAAATGGCACTACAGGCAACTTTTCTAGGCAGTCAATTATAATTCTCCTTCTTGCTTAAAGGGGAGGACTGTAAGTCTACCAGAGAGGGAAGAAGTTCTTGACTTGATTTATTCAAGGCTCCAATAATGTGCATGCAATGGAAAATGTGAAAAGTGGGAATCACTTTTCTCCAGTATACCACATCCATTTCCACTTCTCAAGCACAAGGGCAGCTGATCATGCTGAATTGGGAAAGGTCTTAGCTGTGCCTTTCTTTGTCTTAATTTACATTTGAAAAAGTTCTCCAGCCTTGCCTAAAACAGTTAATCATTTTGGGTTCAGCACTGTTCCTCCAACCAGTAGGCAGAGTTCTGGAGAAAGACGTATTTCTGTATACATGGGGATTCTCTTTATAAGTAAACTTAGAAATGAGGTGACAGAGCCAAAGCCAGCCACCTAAGATGAGGCAGAAACGGCCTCCTCTGAATCCCCCTTTGACGTTGCCCTTGAGAATGCTTCCTTGGGGAAGCTGTATTGATCAACACTGGAATCGTATTTTGCCCTGCCATGCCTGGTGCTTAGGTTATCAGTATTGTGGTCAGCCAAGGGAAAATTAAAGTGTTCAAGAACCGGCCAGGTGCGGTGGCTCACGCCTGTGATCCCAGCACTTTAGGAGGCCGAGGCGGGTGGATCACGAGGTCAGGAGTTCGAGACCAGTCTGGCCAACATAGTGAAACCCTGTCTCTACTAAAAATACACAAAAAATTAGCAGGGTGTGGTGGTGTGTGCCTGTAATCTCAGCTACTCAGGAGGCTGAGGCAGGAGAATCATGTGAACCTGGGAGGCGGAGGTTGCGGTGAGCCAAGATCGTGCCACTGCACTCCAGCCTGGGCGACAGAACGAGACTCTGTCTCAAAAAATAAAAATAAAAAAATAAAGTGTTCAAGAACCAAATACAGCAATTGCCAGTCACACAGCAATAAAATCAGGTGTAAATCAAATCAGTAAGTGCCCATCAGTGTCCTGTGCAGGTGGGAATAGAAAGAGGATTCAGACAGGGTTCCTATTTTTACAAAGCATGCAGCTTAGTTAGATAGAGTAGACTCAGATCTGAAGCGTTAGCTAGTAATCCTCAAGTTAAATTATATAAGAAAAAACATACAAGAGGAAGAGGAAATGCCACAAGGAAATACCAAATGCGTGGAAAACAAATCATTATGGTCAAGTTGCACACAGGAGGTCATTGGACCTTAACTAATAAGGATTTGATATGATCAGGAAGATGATCAAGAATGAAATTCTAGGAATGGGAAGCTGTTTGAGGACAAGCATGAAGAAGTAAGTGAATACAATTTATTCAAAATAACGTAAAAATACCCCCCCCCCTTTTTTTTTTCTTGGAATGAAATTTATTTAAGCAGGGAAAATCGTTTAGAGCCAAAAGTGAAGAACTCTGGCTGGGCAGTTTTGAGATATCTAGTAACCCCTTCTGAACAGGACAGTGATATGGCCACAGTGGTGGGACTGTTTATCTATCAATTGCTGTGTGAGTGTTGGAAACCTCTGTCAGCTGGGTATGGCTGCTGTAGCAAGTAAATGGTGATCCTGTATTTATTTTTATATTTATTTATTTATTTATTTATTTATTTATTTATTTATTTATTGAGATGGAGTCTCTCCGTGTCGCCAGGCTGGAGTGCAGTGGCCCGATCTCAGCTCACTGCAACCTCTGCCTCCCAGGTTCAAGCGATTCTCCTGCCTCAGCCTCCCAAGTAGCTGGCATTACAGACACACACAACCACGCCCACCTAATTTTTTTGCATTTTTAATAGAGACGGGGTTTCATCTTGTTGGCCAGGATGGTCTCGATCTCCTGACCTCGTGATTATTGGTATTTTACTCGTTATAGATTTTTTTGAATTGATTTCATTTTTTTTTTTTTTTTGAGACAGAGTCTCGCTCTGTCGCCCAGGCTGGAGTGCAGTGACGCGATCTCGGCTCACTGCAAGCTTCGCCTCCCGGGTTCATGCCATTCTCCTGCCTCAGCCTCCCCAGTAGCTGGGGCTACAGGCACCTGCCACCATGCCCGGCTAATTTTTGTATTTTTCGTAGAGACGGGGTTTCACTCTGCTAGCCAGGATGGTCTCGATCTTCGGACATCGAGATCTGCCCGCCTTGGCCTCCCAAAGTGCTGGGATTACAGGCGTGAGCCACTGCGCCGGGCCTGATTTGAATTTTTAAAAAATATCGCATCTTGTTTATCTTTATATCTGTTTTGTTGTTGTTGTTGTTGTTGTTGTTGTTTTGGTGTTTGCCTTCCATTTTGCACCTAAAGCAAGTAAGTACCGCATTTGTCTTATCCTAATCTCGGTCCTGAATATATCTTCAAATTTTAGTGTCTACATAACAAAGTTTATTTTTCACTCATAAAACTGACAATGCAGGCGTTCTTGGTCAGGTGACTCAGCTCCAAGTGGTGATTCAGGGACCCAGGCTCCTCACACAGCACATGCTTCTAAGATCGCTCAGGGGCTCAGCTCCATTCCAGCAGCCAGAACCAGAAAAGAACATGGGGGGCGTGTGTGGAGGGAGGTTTCCAAAGACCAGACTAAGAAGCAATGCACGTCATCTCTACTGTAATTTCCTTGGCCAGAGGTCATTCACACCTTATGCCATACTGGAAGGGAGGTTGGCAAATGAGGTGTAGCTGTGTTCTCAGGAAGAAGAGGGAATAGGCTGGGTGAACAGCCAGTGAACCTTTCTGTCATGAGTCCTGAAAAGAAAATTTAAACTAAAGTCATTCAAAATTTAGTCCATGCACTCTAAAAAATTAAAACAAAACAAAACAAAACAAAATGATTACTACTACTAAACGGATTCAGTTATCACATAAACTTGTATATGCTGTGTGGTGTTGCATATACAACATTTAGCAAATTCACAATGCATGCTAGTGTTTTAAGGCTCTGAGAATAAATGAGACAAGTTTATTTAAATTTAGCCTTATATTCCCCCAATATCTATATGACCATGGAACCTTCTTTCCATAGAATATTTATCAGTATCCTGTCAGCACTTTGGAGATAGTGGGTCTACAGGAAAGGAAAGTTTATCAATAAGAAATGAATCAAGGTTCCTCAGGGTACAATAACTAATTCAGTTATGAGAATTGGCAACTCTTTATGGCGAACTAAAATAAACTAGTTTCGTGACTTTTCCCAATAATTTTCTTAGACGCTAAAAGGAACAAAGCACGTGGCTGAAGAGCTTCCTGTGTGACAGTCGGCATGGAACCATGTTAAGTCTGTATGGGGGTTTAGGGGGCTTGGCTAGGTGATGTCCAATAGTCCAGTGCTGGAGCCCAGTAGAGTGGGGAGCAACCACCATCAGAAGAGGATGAGTGGACTTAGTGCTTTGGAAGTCATCAGTGTTCAGGAAAGTGCCCTGAGGTCAGAGGATTGTCGAACAGCGGTGGAACAAAGGAATGCGGCAAGAGGAAATTTTTACACAGAAGGAAGGAAGAGAGCTCAGAGGCTGAGCAGTGCAATGCAATAACAACTATGAGCCTTTGTGGGTAGATGACATTGTGTCCCGAATTTATTCCTTCCGGTGGGTTCTTGGTCTTGCTGACTTCAAGAATGAAGCTGTGGACTCTCACAGTGAGTGTTACAGTTCTTAAAGATGGTGTGTCCAGAGTTTGTTCCTTCGGATGTTCAGATGTGTCTGCAGTTTCTTCTTTCCAGTGGGTTGGTGGTCTTGCTGATTTCAGGAGTGAAGCCGCAGACCTTCGCAGTGAGGGTTACAGCTCTTAAAGCCAGCGTGTCCGGAGTTGTTTGTTCCTCCCAGTGGGTTCGTGATCTTGCTGACTTCAGGAATGAAGCTGCAGACCCTTGTGGTGAGTGTTATAGCTCATAAAGGTAGTGCGGACCCAAAGCGTGAGCAACAGCAAGATTTATTGTGAAAAGCAAAAGAACAAAGCTTCCACAGTGTGGCAAGGGACCGGAGCAGATCGCTGCTGCGGGCTCGGGTGGCCAGTTTTTAGTTCTTATTTGGCTCTGCCCATGTCCTGCTGATTGGTCCATTTTACAGAGCACTGATTGGTCCATTTTACAGAGTGCTGATTGGTGTGTTTTTACAGAGTGCTGATTGGTGCATTTACAAACCTTTAGGTAGACACAGAGCGCTGATTGGTGCATTTTTTACAGAGTGCTGATTGGTGTGTTTATAAACCTTTAGCTAGACACAAGAACGCTGATTGGTGCGTTTTTACAGAGTGATGATTGGTGCGTTTGAAAACCTTTAGCTAGACAGAGTGCTGATTGGTGTGTTTACAATCCTTTAGCTAGACAGAAAAGTTCTCCAAGTCCCCGCCCGACCCAGAAGCCCAGTCAGCTTCACCTCTCAACATGTGGAGTGGAGACTGCCAGTGAAGTCTAAGAATATGGTAGACTGGGGGATAGGATTAGAGACGGTTTGTTAATCTGAACACTATCTAAGATATTAAGACACATGGTGGATATAATGGACTAAACATGTTCCTGCAAAATTCATACATTGAAGCCCTTATCTTCCATGGGGTGGTATTGGTATAGATAGCACTTTCAGTAGATAATCAGGCTTAAGTGAGAGGATGAGAGTAGAGATGCTATGACGGGATTAGTGCCCTTATTAAAAGAAGAGACCAGGGGTTTCTCTGACTCCTCCATGTGAGAATGACACAGAATATGGCCATTTACAAAGCAGGGAGAGAGCCCTCACTAGATGCTGAATCTGCCTACACCTTGATCTTGGACCTCCCAGCCTCCAGAACTGGGAGAAATACATATTTGTTGTATAAACCATCTTGTCTGTGGTATTTTGTTATAGCTACCCAAAGTAACTGTAACAATTTAGAGAAGTAATACAGATACAAAGTCATCAGACAATGAAAATGGCTACTGGAAACCATGAGAGTGTGAAAGTGAGAATTTAGACTTGGTTAGTATATTTAAATAATCAGGACTACTGTGCTGTGTTTAATAACACCATACCTGACGCCAAACGTGTGGTTTTTTTTTTTTTTTTTTTGGCTCACACCAACCAATTCTCCAACTCTCCAGACACCAAGTAGGTGTTCAACAACTCAATTCAATTCTGACACTATCTACCTGGAGTTAGCATCCTATCCCTGGAGTTAAGGGCTCAGTCCCTCCCACAAGGCTGCCCCATATCAGATGCTAATCCCAAGTCCCAGGCCTCCTGTACTTCTGACTGACTGGCTAAATATCAAGGGTTCTCATAACCCCTTTCTTAGGTTCAATAATTTGCCAGAACAACTCACAGAACTCAAAAAAGACTGTACTTATTATAACCAGTTTATTGTCAAGAATACAACTCAAGAACAGCCAAATGGAAAAGATGCTTAGGGCAAGGTGTGGAGGAAGGGCATGGATCTTCCCATGTCCTCTCTGGGTGCACAGCCTCCCAGCACCTCCGTAAGCTTTCTGAACCCTGGTTGTTTAGGGGCTTTTATGGAAGTTCCATTACATAGACATGATGAACTAAATCACTGGCCATTGTTGATTAGTTCCAATTCCAGCCCTTTCTCCCCTCCATGGAGGTTGTAGGGTGAGGCTAAAAGTTCCAACTCCCTAATGGTGCGTTGGTCTTTCTGGCAACCCGTTCCCCTGAAGCTATCTAGGGGCCCCCCAACCATCAGTCATCACATTTACTTGCAAAAGGCACTTATTACTCCCAAAATTCCAAGGGCTTTAGGAGCTGTGTCAGGAACTGGGGACAAAGACCAAATTTTTTTTAATGATCACAGGACTTTAAAAGGAAAGACATAGTGTTAGATGCTATGGGGAGGGATGAAGTTGAAGACTTATTTTCTTCCCTTGAGGTGAATGGGAGTGATGGATGGGTCTCTGTGTAAGACATGTGGTCATAGAATTTAATAGCCAAAAGAAATTTGGTAATCATTAAATCTAATGTATATTCTGTGACGGGTTCCTAGGCAACTGCAAAACATGAAATTCCATGGTTAAATAAGTTTGCTAAAAGTTGCATACCATATGAAGTTTTATACTGCTTAGTAGCCCATCGGAAGGTCTGAAAAGTTTTAGAGTAAAGATTAAACACATTTTTCTCAGCTCTCCCTACACTTGTCTCCAGAATCCCTTTTATCATGACACAAGTATTTTCATTTATTCAACAAATATTTATTGAACAACTGCTGCTTGGCACTGTACTACGAAAAGTTGGTGTTCTAGAGGACACAGTTTGAGAAATGATGATCTTGTCCAACTTCAGCGATTTTCAGGTGAGCAAATTAAGTCTATGAATAATCACATTTTAGTCAAAGGAGGTAGTTAAAGAGAGAGGCTGAAAGAGGGGGTGCCATTTCCATAGGGAAATCAGTAGGAAAAATCTACTGCAAGATAACGGCAATTAAGAAGCGTAATATGGGCTGGGCGCAGTGGCTCACGCCTGTAATCCCAACACTTTGGGAGGCCGAGGCGGGTAGATCACGAGGTCCGGAGATCAAGACCATCTTGGCCAACATGGTGAAACCCTGTCTCTACTAAAAATACAAAAATTACCTGGGCGTAGTGGCACACGCACTTGTAATTTCAGCTTCTCGAGAGGCTGAGGCAGGAGAATCTCTTGAACCTGGGAGGCAGAGATTGCAGTGAGCCAAGATCACGCCGCTGCACTCCAGCCTAGCAACAGAGTGAGACTCCGTCAAAAAAAAGAAAGAAAGAAAAAGAAAAAAGAAACATGATAAGGAGTTGTAGAAATGGTTTCAGAGGCAGATTCATTTTTTCCTGGGAGTGGCATATAAAGATAAAGGACTAGATAAGATGAAAGTGCTTGCATCTTAGTGGTGAGGAGTTGGTCCACGTGGTAGACAGTCAATTTTATGAAGTCAGAGAGGGCGGACAGGTGGAAATTAGTCAGATAAATGCACATACGCACTCTCTCTCTCAAACGACCCCCAGAGCTGGCAAGAGGCTGGAGATCAGATTCACCTGGTACTTTTTTTTAAATTATTTTGAGAAGGAGACTCGCTCTGTCACCCAGGCTGGAGTGCAGTGACACAATCTCGGTTCACCGCAGCCTCTGCTTCCTGGGTTCAAGCGATTCTCCTGCCTCAGCCTCCTGAGTAGCTGGGACTCTATAGGTGCGCACCACCACACCCGGCTAATTTTTGTATTGTTATTAGAGAAAGTTTCACCATGTTAGCTAGGCTGGTTTCGAACTCCTGACCTCAAGTGATCCATGCGCCTCGGCCCCCGAAAATGCTGAGATTACCACCTGATGCTTTTTAGCATTTTGCTGGATGTACTGAGTGATGCAGACATGAGCAACGGAGGTTTCTCCCGGGACTCCGTGGAGGAGGTGATGCAGCCGCAGCTCCAGGATCAGCAAACACTGGTGTCCTAAGCATAGTGGGGTTATTTCAGATGTCACAAAACCAAAATCTCTGTGGCCCAGTGGAGTGTAACAAAAGATACACAAACCTCTTCCATGCAGAGAGATACATAGCTCTCCGGTATAGCTAGGGAGAAAGAAGGAAAGATTTCTCAGATGGTGAAGGCAGGCCAATCGAAGAGAAAAGGCCAGAAATAAAACTCCACCACGATGAGAAGCAACCTCTGTGAGGAGTTACTGGGGGAAGAGTCCCCTGTGGAATGAGCACTGATGTCTCCATTCATTGTGCAGGTCCCTCTCACACTGCTTTCATTACTTGAACACTATCTGGTGTCATTAAGATATCAATTTTATTTAGGTATATCTGCATTGGCAGTTTAATTATGTCTGGGTAAGGCCCGATATTTATTCATGGGTGATCTTGGTAGTTGTCAGACACCAGCCTGAAGATAAAGGCGTCCATGCCTGAGGAATGCTAATGCTCCCCAGCCTGTCATTTGACAAGCGCACATGCCAGTTACTACCAAACTGATTATTTCAATCATTAACAACACATGCATCAGCCTCCTTCACCCGAGATTGCCACGTGCATTCATCTTTTCATAAACAGTTATCTGACAAGGGTGCTGAGAATTGATGTTCTGGGGGGAATTGCCCAACTTGCCTTAGCTACGGATGCAGCAAGCTGAACGCCCCGCTTAGCATCGTCATTTCATTAATCAGATTAGCACAACGCCCAATTGAGTGAGCACCATGTTCCTAAACAATCTCCAATCAGGGTTCCTTTCTGTTGTCCATGCTGGTGGCTGCACTTTTTTTTTTTTCCTGGAGGGTTCAGCTTTGCAGATCCTCTTAGAAAACTTGGATCTTTGCTTATCCCACCACCCATCCCATTTATAATAATTACTCTTGTTCCAAGGAGCAGGGTGCGGGGAGAGGCTCTGGGTTTGTGGAGGCGCCATCTGCTCCTTATTGCTCACCTGAGTCAGAGCCTCCTGACATCACTTCTCTGCAGCAATGAGAGCCAGATATCCACACAAAGAGGCTGGGGCTGTGCCAGACGGCGCAGGGCCTGAAAAGTGATGAATGAAAGAAATGTGAAACAGTAAAACTGCTCCCAGGCAGCGAGCCCTTCCTTCAAAGGGTGACTCACAGAAAAGGCAGTTTTGCCTTAGTTAGGAAGGTCGTCCCAGACCCCTACAGCTGAAGGACTAGCATTTGTTTCTCTACACTCACAGCTTGTGCAGATCGCATCTCACCCATCAGGGAAAAGAGAACACTCTGTTCAGTTTCACTAAGGCTTTTTGTTGCTCTTCTTCTTATGATGTAAGGCAAACTTCCAGGGTTTGGGTTTTTAATGGTTTTATATGATTACCTTTTCATGAGAAGCACAGTTATATTTATATTTTTAAAGCAAACCCAAAGTAAGAAAAAATGTATATATTTTCATCATATGAATGGAAAGCATTATATATTTTTTCTTTTCTTGGAATATTTTCATTTGATGACACCAATGGCATGATGATGATGATAATGTTTTCTATTTATTTGATGCTTTACTAATATATTCTTTTCAATTTTCACAAAAACTGTACTTTCTTTTTAAAAAGATTTTTGGAAACTGAGATGAAGAGACTTTGGGCAACTTGCCCAAGATAATGAGCTACTTAGTGGTAACCCTTGATGAGAGGGTTTTAAAATCCTACTTTTACCACTTAAAAGTCATCATAGAGTCCTGGTAGTCCAACATTCTTTGTGATGCTTCGGAATCCAGATCGATGGTTATTTATGAGATGGGATCTTACCCACTTTTGTTATGTAGCTCATTCTCATTCTTCTTTTGAAAAGCTTTAACAGTTAAAAATTCCTTTTTTATCATTGAGACAAATTCCTTATTTTTTAAAACATTTCCAACCAGTTCTAGATTTCCTTCTAGATTCACAGAGAACAAATCTGATTCTGCATGTATTAGGTTGGTGCAAAAGTAATCGCGGTTTTTGTCATTGAAAGTAATAGCAAAAACTGCAATTACTTTTGCACCAACCTAAAAGTAGTCACTGTCTTCAGATATTTAAAAACAGCCATAATGTCTTCTGGAAACTTCTCTTCTTCAGACTGATTCCAAATGTTGAAGTTGTGGCACTGTATTAGTCTGCTTGGGCTATGTCAGAGAAAAAAAAATATTTTTTCTCTACTTCCACACATCTCTCGATATAACACTTCTGACACTACATTCTCCAGCACACATCATCTGGGTGTCTTATTCAATTCAGTTCCGACACCATCAACCTGTAGACAGCATCAGATATCATAGGTTAAGGGCTCAGTCTCACAAGACTGCCCCCCACTTTAAATGCTTGTTGCGATTAGTATACCTCTGATTGATTATCTGGCTATAAATTGGGGTTTTCCATGAACGCTTCATTAGATTTGTTTAATTTGCTAGAGTGGCTCACAGAACTCGGGGAAACACTTATGTTGACCCACTTATTACAAAGGATATTACAAAGGATACAGAGGAGCAGCCAGATAGAAGAGATGCATAGGGCGAGGTATGTAGGAAGGGGTTTGGAGCTCCCAGATCCCTGGTTGCACCAACCTCCAGGAACTGCTGTGTGTGCAGCTCTCTGGAAGCTGTCAGAACCCAGTCTTGGGTTCTTGTAGAGGTCTCATCACATAGGCATGATTGATTAAACCACTGGCCATTGGTGATGAACTCAATCTTCAGCTCCTCTTTCCACCCCAGAGGTGTGTGTGTGGTGGTAGTGGGGGAGCTGAAAGTTTCAACCCTCTAATTACAACATTCCCCTGGCAACCATCCCCCATCCTGAGGCTATCCAGGAGCCCCCAGCCACCAGTCATCTCATTAACATTCACAAAGAAATTTATTGCTTTAGATTCCAAGGGTTTTGGGAATGATGAGCCAGGAAACAGGAAGACCAAATATCAAAATATGGTAGCCTGTGATATTTCGAAATATCACAGGCTACCATAACAAAGTGCCACAGGCTGGGGGACCTAAACAACAGTTTATTGTCTCACAATTCTGGAGGCTGGAAGTCTGAGATTGAGGATGGGTAGGGTTGTTCTCTCCCGCGACCTCTCTCCTTGGCTTGCACATGGCCACCTTCTCTCTGTGTCTTCACACAACCTTTCCTCTGTGCAGACATACTCCTGGTATCTCTTCCTCTTCCTTTAAGAACACCAATTCTGTTGGATCAGGGATCTACTCTTCCAACCTCACTTAACCATTTTTTTTTTTTTTTTTTGGAAACAGAGTCTCGCTCTGTTGCCCAGGCTGGAGGGCAGTGGCGCAATCTCTGCTCACTGCAACCTCCACCTCTCCCGAGTTCAAGTGATTCTCATGCCTCAGCCTCCCAAGTAGCTGGGACTGCAGGTGCACGCCACCATGCCCAGCTATTTTTGTATTTTTTATAGGGATGCAGTTTTGCCATGCTGGCCAGACTGGTCTCAGACTCCTAACCTCAAGTGATCCACCTGCCTTGGCCTCCTAAACTGCTGGGATTACAGGCATGAACCACTGTGCCCGACCCCTCATTTAACTTTAATAACCTCCTTTAATGCCCTTTAATCTTCAAATACAGTCACATTGAGAGTTGAGGCTTCAACTTACCAATTTTGAGGGGATATAATTCCGTCCATTCCAGGTATCAATGAAGTCAAGGCATCCATTCCTTCAACATGCTTTACTACATGTACAGAAACCACAGCAAGTCAAGATTGTTCACAGTTGAAAGAGGTTTCTGGAGGTGTGTGAACCATCTGAACTTCATCCTCTTTCTTCAAGTAGCCTTCAAGATTTGTGCCCACTGAACGAATGCTATGGAAACTGCCAACAGATGACCATCTGGTCACGATGTTCAAAGGCTCAACCTAAACAACATTGAAAATTACCAAAACTAAGGCAAAGGGTATGATTCTACTAAAGAAAGAGACTCCTTAAGGAGCAAGAGTCTCTAGGAACTGACTCTTCAGCAGTACTGAATGTAAAATTGGAATAACCACCCTCTCAAATCTCAGAGAAACTGGACTTAGGGCTCTTTTTTTATTAGAATGTGTTTGGGAAGGTGGACAGGGTGATTGTATCAACTGGCCCTTCCATTCCCAATGTGTGTACCAAGAGCGAGTGAGACAGTGATGAATTACCCAGGATGAGGTTAGAATAATTTAATAAAAAGAGGTGGAAATGGGGTCTTTAATTCCTAACCTTTTGAGCTGTGGCTAAAATCCATTAATAGAACATGGATTAAGAGTCCAAAGTAAGATTACTCAGCATCACCCGCCAGTGAATCACTCTGGCACTTGGGTCAGAATTAATATCTGAGAATTCTTTGAAACTTTATGGCTGGAATTTTTCTTTCCCCCTGGCTTGGCTTCTTTTGTAGTCTTAGCCTCTTTAGCAGAGGAGATAGGAAATCTTTGGCATCCATTCAAAAACTCATTCAAACCACAGAGTAGAACTTTAAAGGAGGCCTTTGGGGATATGTGGGGTCAGTTGGAATAGTTTATATCATAGCTTTCAGTTTAAAACAATTTTTTACAGCATCAGTAGGGAGAATTATATCACAATACATAAATAGATTTAGCAGGATTTACAAATCCACATGTGTTCCCTTAAGCAGTAGTTTTCAAATATTTGATGACCTTAGAACTCCTAGTTCAAATGAAATTTTACACTGAAGTGAAAATGAACACTGATAAAAGGGGAGTTTCTCTGCTTAAATAAGGATGTGAGGTCCCAGAGATCCCTTCTGCCTTTCCCTTTTGCTCTTTTGGGTAGCCCCTAAGGGGAATGAATGCCAAGATCTTCCAGGAAGATAGATTGAATGCTTTTTCTCTAGGAGACTCTTGTTCTACAGTGAAGTTCGCTCAATGAACCACAGAAATGTGTGAGCAAAGGCTGATCATTAAGTGGTAAGTCACACCTCTCCTTAAGTTTTGAAAAAATATTTTGAAAGTGATATCTGGTCTTCCAACGTAAATGCAGAGATGAAAGAAACAGACTTTTCTTTCTCCACAGCAGGAGCACTTAAAAGTCTTTGACTATTTAAACTACTGGAAAAAGGTACATTTTATCAATTGAGCATGCATTTTTAGTCCATCAAATCATACAATGTTGAAGATGGAAGGAACCCTAGAAATTGATATCAAATGAGGCAATTACACAAAATGCTTTGGAACCTGTGAAACATTTTGCAAGAGTAAAATTTGATGATGATATTTAACCCTTTCCACTAACTAGAGCTTTAATGCACCTTTAATGTTTAACCCTGAACCCTTTGGCAAGAACTCAGAAAGGGAAAAACCACCCTGCCCAGTGTCAAGCTGCTGGTCAGTGACACAGATAACACTAGAACATTATAGATTGTTGCTTGAAGACATTGTGATCTGTCACAAAAGCCTAGGAATCAGAGGTCAATCAGAAATTAGAAAGAAATCGTTTACTTTCTCACTCACAAAAATATGTTTTATTTATACCTAAGGTGGATCCCAAGGGACTACTTTCTGTTGGAACACAAAAGAGAAGTCTATCAGTCTTGATCTGCAAATCTAAACCATGTTTTAGAGAGGGGATTTAGGCTTATTTACTAACTAAGCCCAAACTGGGGTGCCCAGGAGCACCCTCTCTTTGTAGCTCTAGTGACACATTTTGAGCAAATGGGTGGAATCTCATCTTACATGGTTGGTGGTGAGCTTCTAAAATGAGTAAAGAAGTTAAAGATCATACAAAATCAGAATTTTTTTCTGAGGACCCTTCAGACTCTTAGAAGCTCAACGACAAATCATGTGTTAATACTATTGTCTATGGAAATTTCACTGACATGTTCCTTTTCCTGTGACATTGGAAGCTAACGTCTCTTTCGAATTGAGGAAGGCAGCATAAATAAGGTGTTTTGTCTTCTTTGTGCTTGATTGCTTGAATATGAATCATGTGCTCTGATTCCTAAACAAGTTGCCTGTTTGACTTACAAATTGACTCATGGTGCTAGAACTGGTCTGAAGCTCAAGTCAATTTGAAATGAGAATCCAATAACAAACACGCAGTGATGTTTAAAGAAAAAGATGTTCTTTGCCAATGTCTCTAACCTGTGAAGTGAAATTATGGAGAGTGACCACTAACTCCCTGAGCTGACCATTAGTACCCTCATCCACGCTAGGGTTGAGAAAAACATTGGGAGCTAGTACGGTTGACTGTCTCCATAGATATGCCAACTATTTCTCCCACCCATATTTGTGCATTCCATTTACCCCATCCAGATACGGAATCATGGAATCTAATTATGTTCACTCCACTTGGATTTGAGCTGGCCTTGGGATTTGCATCAGCTACTAGAATGTGGCAGCAGCAATGTTGTGCCAACTCCAGGCTTAGCCACTTAGAGCCCTGACAGCTTCTGCTGTGGCTCACCTTGGAGCCCTGAGCCACCAAATAAGGAATTCAACAACCCTGCTGAGGAGAGGCCCAGACAGCTCCCAGATCTTCAGCCACCACAGCTGAGGACCCAGATATGTGAGTGAAGCCACCTCGATATCATTCTAGCCCCAGCTGACCTCTCCGTCAACTAAAGCTAAATGAGTGACTGTAGCTGATATCACATGGAGCAGATGAATCACTTAGCTGAGCCCTTTCTAAATTTCAGAATTATGAGCAAATAAATGTTTTGTATTGTTGCAAGCATTAAGTTTAAGGATGCTTTGTTAAACAGCAGTACATGACAGTTAGTTGGCCAAGAGATTTCTGATAGATTTTGTTTTATAGACTCTTCCATGATCCTCTTCCTTCTCCAGATAGGCTCTCCTGCTTTCGTGTCCCCTGATTTTACCCCAAATCTTGATTGAAAAGAAAAGCAAAACCAAAACACCTGGGACTTCCTCATTGGTAGATGCTGCACAGTCTTCCTTTCCTTCCAAGCAGATGATGTGGTTGGGGGATCTTGCCTGAGTCTCTTAATGTTCTCACCTTTCAGGAGTGGTCAGAAATGTGGGTCAGAGTATTATGCTGGCATTCGGTTTTCATTTCCCATTACAGAAGAAGACATGGACAGGTGGCCCACAATTACTTTCTAAAGAATTCAATACCCCAGGGAGAAGGGGTTAGTGATAAGCATCAGAAGTGAAAAATTAGACAATTGTTGGGTAACCGGGGTAAGCGGAATGAATTTCTAAGAATTTCTAAGTGCTACTATGAAAATAGCAACAGACAACCTTGATGACTTGCAAAATGGTCAGATCACTTCTGTGGCTAATCGGGATGGCTTGGAGTCAGTCAGTAATTGAGCCATTTCAGTCAATTCTGAAATAAATTTGTCTGCAAAAAAAGTAGAATAACCATCTGTAAACACAAAGGGTTTATCCCAGTATCCAATATCATGGTGAATTTCATTCTGCAAAATGCAGTTGCTGGATGTTTAACCATTAAGTAGTAAGACACATTATTTCTGTTGTATTAAAAAACACTATAGAGATGATGTGTCATTTAAAATACACAAATGTAGCCCTGACAGACCAAATAGATGTTTCTTAATACAAGCATCTTTTGAAACCCTGGCACAGTAAAGCAATCGCTAAAGAATGTTTATTGTATTAGTTGAACAAGTCCGTTAAATCCAATAATGTTGTCACCTAAGAAAACACCAAAGCTGAGTTTTTAACCTTACAGAAATATTGATGGCATAAAGTGGAGGCTGATGAAATAAAGATTTCTTATTACTTTTACTACCTTGGAATAACCTTCTACCTGTGAACTGTAGGAAAATGCTTTGCCAGTGCCACCACCTGCCCTCCAGGGTAGCCCTACCCTCAGTTGACAAGTGTTCGTAGAAATTTTATAGGAGTTTTCAGTGAGGCATCAGTTGTCTTTAATACTTGAAAGAAAATTGAATGGAAGGATCCAATTACTCATGTGAAAAATGAATCTTCTACCCAAGGTTTGGCCACTGCTGGTATGCTTGTTTTAAAACTGAATTATAGGCGCAATACATTTGCCAGAGACACAGGCATTAATTTCTCTCAAACCATTCAAGATTGGGAGGACAGAATAGAAGGGAGCAGAGAGAAAATAAGATGATAAGAGCTTCACGTTGATTTATTCACCTTTGTGCAAAGTAATGGGGACAAGAGGGAGGCGGCCCCCGGAGCCTGGAAGAGAGATGGAGGAGCTGAGAAAGGAAGGATTGCAGGGCAGCCTGCCAAATAGAAAGTCAGATTGTTGTTCTTAGATGATATAAGATTGCTTTATTTCTCTAGTTGCTTTATAAAAATACATATGCATAAAATATGCCACACGATGCAGCTGGAGTGAATGAAGTCCACTCTATTTATCCAAGAAAAGATTGTATTCCTAACCTGCCTGTCTGTTAGCTCATTCTCTTAATAAAGATAAACTGATCCTCTACCTAGCAGAGCTCAGGCTATGATTCCAATGTGTTTGATGCTAGGAGTGCATGAGTGATTGGCTCACGACGTGCCCTAGGCAGATGGATGGATGGATGGATGCTCTGAAGCACAAAGTTGACACCATACAGAAGTCTGCGTATGTGAGCTATCATAGTTGCAGAGGAGGTACTGTCCTTCGCAGACCTTACGTCAGGTCACTTAGCATAGGTGGGAGAAGTATTGGACAAGGAGTCTGTGCAATCCTCCTCAGCTACTAACTAGCTCCATGCAGGACTAGGCTCATAATTTTCAGGGCCCAGGGCAGTAAGAAAATGTAGGGATCCTTGTTAAAAAGAAAAATGAGAATTTTAAGACTGCAGTGTCAGTGCATTAAACCAAAGGCAGAACCCTTCTAAGTATGGTGATCTTTTGAGTGCAGGACTCTGTGGGACTGCATGGGTTACATGCCCAGAGAGCCTAACCTGGCTCCATGATTTTGTGACAAGAAGCTTCTCATTTGGGACTGTCAGTTTCCATGTGTTAAGAGAAGCCAACTGGAAGTGATCAGCAGCTTTCACCCTAGGGGTGTTAAACGTGGGCGTGGTCAGTTAGCAACATTAATGGTGAGGTTGGATCTTCTCTGTATTATGGAATTTGAATCTTAATTCCAAGAAAACTTTCCCCTTCCTGTTTTTGGAACCATGTGACAGTGCAGAGGGGAATACCCACTCTCTTGGGTACCCAGGAGATGGGGAGCAGAAAGCTTGTGTCCATTGTCTTATAGAGCAAAAGAAAACTTATATTAACAAAGAGTATATTTTCTCACGTCTATAAAAGAAAATCAAGTCCATTCCATAAATTAGCCCTTGACTTTCTTCTAAAACAACTTAATTTTTTTTTTTGTCTCCAAACAGAAATTTTAAAAAATAGCATAAGCTCATTTATCTTGGAACTGACATTGCAGGCAAAGTTGTCAGGTTTATCTCTTTGAAAAGAGACCTTGAAACCAAAATGCCTTCTTTCAAGCTTGGGCTCTGAAGTTGAACTTCTGGGAGATGACAAATGAGAATGGGATGAAGTATAACTTTTCTTATTTTAACCATAAAAGTATCGCTAAACCCAAGCATATTACTTGACTTATAAGTTCTGAGAAATAGAACTCTGTCCAGCAGTTGCAAGATTAGTAACTGTGGTTCTCTAGGTCATTTTGGGAAGGTTCTGGAGTCACCAGAACCTTGCTGATATTTCAGTTTCTCATCTTAATGAAAGAATCTAGTATAATTCTGTGAATTTGCTAGTTTTCCCTGTTCACACCCCAGAGGGTAGCCAATGGGTCAGTAAAACCTTAGAAACCATTCATCAGCATTGGAAAAGCCATTTGATACCAACTTGCCATTTTGCAATGAACAGGTGTGTTTCTGACTTATACATATTTTTACTTTTTTAAGAAAGATTTTTTTTAAGAGGGAGAAGCTGATTTGGAAGAACAGACATCCCAATATATTTGGCCTATTTTCATGGGTTTTTAATTTCTTTTTTTTTATACATCCATTTAACAAATGCAGTTGATCCTCACTATTCACAGATTTGTGTCTGCAAATTTGCCTACTTGCTAAATTTATTTGTAACTCCAGAATCAAGACTTGTAGCACTTTCACAGTCATTTGTGGGCATGCCCAGAGCTGCCAAAAATTTGAGTTGCTTGAGGTTTGCAGCTGAGGTTGAATGAAACAACACTCTCCCTTCTTGTTTTAGCTCTCATACTGTAACCTGGCTTTCTTGCATGTATTTGGAGACTTGGTTTTTGCACTTTCATGCTTTTTGTTGATTTCACTGTTTAAAACGGCCCCTAAGTGTAGTGCCAAATTGCCATCTAGTGTTCCTAAGCACAAGAAGGCTGTGATGTGCCTTGCAGGGAAAATACATATGTTAACAAACTCCCTTCAGGCACAAGGTATAGCACTATTGGCCATGAGTTTAGTGTTAATGCATCAACTATATATTAAATAATGTGTCTTTAAACAGAAACACATAAAACAAGATTATGATTTGAGCATTTGACAAAATGTGACCAGAAACTCATAGGAACCTAGCCCTATGTTTCCTCTAGGAGCATTGGTTCAGTATTCACTAATTAATGTTTCATTTTATTTATTTATTTATTTATTTATTTTTGAGATGGAGTTTTGCTCTTGTTGCCCAAGCTGTTGTGCAATGGCACAATCTCGGCTCACCACAACCTCTGCCTCCCAGGTTCAAGTGATTCTCCTGCCTCAGCCTCCCTAGTAGCTGGGATTACAGGCATGCGCCACCACACCTGGCTAATTTTTGTATTTTTAGTAGAGACGTGGTTTCTCCATGTTAGTCAGGCTGGTCACGAACTCCCAACCTCAGGTGATCTGCCTGCCTTGGCCTCACAAAATGCTGGGATTACAGGTGTGAGCCACTGCACCCTGCCATTATTTATTTTTTTGAGACAGGGTGTCACTCTGTTGCCCAGGCTGGATGGCAGTGGCAGCATCATGGCTCACTGCAGCCTTGATCTCCCTGGGCTGCAGCAATCCTACCACCTCATTCTCCCAGGATGCTGGAACTACAGGTGCATGCCACCATGCCCGGCTAACTTTTTTTTTTTTTTTTTTTTTTTTTTTTTTGGATTTTGTAGAGATGAAGTTTCACCATGTTACCCAGGCTGGTCTCAAACTCCTGGGCTCAAGCAATCCACCTCCCTCCACCTCCCAAAGTGCTGGGATTACTGGTGTAAGCCACCACACCTGGACTGCAGCAACTTTATAGAACATAATTACTTAGAATAACAAGAACTGACTGTATGTGTTGAGAGTCTGCTCTGTTCAAATGCCCTGAAGGAGGCAAAGTACAATAAAAGGTATCCTATCTTCAAGGAGTGTGTTTAATGGCAATCTTTTCCGTTTTTGAGTACTTGTTCCAAGCATCTTAAATATGTATCTGCTTTAATTTTCTCAGTAACACTGTAAGTTAGACATTAACGCCATTTATAGAAACAAAGACTTGAGTTATCTCAGCTACTACTAAGTAGAGCAAGCAGGATTTGGACTGTCCACATCATGCATTCATCCTATCACATTCTTCTACCTACCTAGTCAAGGGGAAGAAAACTTGCAGGTTATGGTTTCATAACAAGACTCTAATGCCTGTGATTGCTTCGGGATCTATGGAATTGAGACAAACGAAAGTACCCAAATTGATATTTCTGGCTAGTTTTCTTAAAAATACTAAATTCATCCTAATTTCTTTCTCTCTCTTTCTCTGAGACATCTGTGAAAATGCTCTCAGAGAAGCTCTTCAGGGATTTACAGTCCTTCCTATGTTAAGTTCTTTCTCTTCTGATTTGTTACATTAAATAAGGCAGGAATTTTAAACAAGCAAGAAAAGAACTTTATACTCTAGACTATGATCTTTGACGACAATAAATGTCACTGAAGATTTTGTTTGGTTCTGTTTCTTTTTGGGTTATTGCTCTCCTATTTGATCAAATTATAGACCCTATCTAAAGCTTTAGGAAGTTGTTTCCATGAAAGTAACATCTTTCTATCGTGATGCAATCAGATTTCTCCTGCTTTTTGTTATTTTGATTTAAATTCTTTGCAATGAATGGAACCAATCTCAAATGACAGATACAGAGTTGCCTTAAAAATTAGTAACTTCAGTTTATAAGTATTCTTTGTATATTTTCATTATTATTTTTCTTACCTCCCCTTTAAAGGTCTGGGAACTCATTGAAAACAGAGTCTCTGTTCCAGACCTTTCTCCTTCCAAACAAGACTTAGGACGATGACATTTCCTTTTTCTGTTTCTTCAAGGTTGCTGTGAGGATAAAGTGAGATAACCTACAAAGTCACCTTAAGCAGTGTGTGGATTGTAGCAGATATGTATTAAATATTCGTTTCTTTCCTATTTCCCTTATTAAGCAGTTTAATTACTATTCAGCAGTGCATGCCATTTACAAGGTTGGTAAGCAAATGTGAAAGCCTAACTTGACTATATATATTAACCTTATACATGTAGATATTTTACACTTTACACAGTTCCCCCCTCCTCCACAATCTTGACATATTCTATTCAATTTAATTCTTACAGCAACACTATAAAAAGGATGGAGCAGGTGCTGTTGTCCTTTTTTGATAAGATGATGGAACTGAGGTCTAGAGTGGATGAGATTATTCAGGGTGAGATCCAGATGTCACTGAAAACAGCCTATTATATTTCCTCCATTTTTATCATAAGTCAAAGCATGTGTGTGTGTGTGTGTGTGTATATAAACATATACACACACACACACACGTATATGTATTTGTGTGTGTGTAACCATAACCATATTGTTTACTAGTTGCAAATATGTCTTGGAAATACTCAACAAAGATGATAAAAAACACCAGAACCTGAATCCTGCATGCTGCTCTCTGATGCTTCTATCTCCTGCTGCCCAGATGTCCCCAGTTTCAGACTTTTGTCTGATAGGACTATGGAAAATGATTGTCTTTGCCCATCTTCAGTATTCCATCAGCAGATATTTAAGAGCGACTCTCTCGTAAACTCCTAATACCCATCTTGCTTGTGTTGATCTCCACTTTATTCCCCTTTCATTCTGGCCCCCCTCGGGCCCTGGACTCTCCTGGAAAACTCATTTCCTCACGATATTGCCTCCATCTCCTTGTTGCTAGGTGTTCAGCTAGCTCCTGAAGCGCTAGGCTTTGTTTCTCAGTTTCTAAAACCCAGGCTTCTTTGAAATTTGCTTCTGACCCCCAACAGCCTTAGGACCCTGTTTCCTAATTTGAACTCAGCATTCTCCTGGTCAGCCCCTGGTCTTCCTGGCACCATTGCTAACTAGAACCACTCTACCTATGCCCCGCTGTGTTACCTGATGACAATCAGATCTTTTGCAAATGCAATGGTAAAGGAACACAAGTGCAGCCAGTGCTTGGGAGGGCATAAGAGATGTGTAGAAGATCCTGTGTTCAGCAGCCCGTCTTCATCTGAAACAGAACTGCCAGAGAAGTCATTGGTGAACTAAGTCCGTGGCTTCTCCCCTTAAAGTACGCTGTTTCAAGTCATCTGGCTGATTGTGCTTGCAAAGAGCCTTGATTTTGAGCTCTAACTACCAGCCGCTAATTCAAGCCTGGCCTCTGATCATTCATCTTTTAAGTGTTCAGCTTCTGAATCCCATTTGATTCCCTGTCCCCTCTCTCTTTCCTACCACCTCCCCTTGATGTGGCCAGAATAGTTAACTCAGACAATTAGTAAATGCTGAATCATTGAGTCAGTGAATAAGGCAAGTGTCTGTGTGAGGTATACAACTTCCTGAGTGGGTTTAATGGAAGCCTAAAGAGATTTTTCACAGATTCATGGGTTTTCAAAGGAGAAATTTGCATATTAATAAGAAGCTGTTCAGACTGATTCGCTTAATGTGTTTGGAGTAAGTATAATTAAATGTCAAGGGAGATATATCATGAAGTAATGAAGCTGAAGCCAATTTATCAAAAATAAGGTCTGGAGAGAGACATTTCAAATAATAAACAGTTCTCTAACCTTCCTTTTTAAGGTGATTTGCTTAGTCTGGGCCAAGATTTACATGTTTTTTGAGACTTGGTTCAAACAAAGATGCTGGGAACTGGGTGGGGGTGGGGAAGGAGAATGAACATTTTTTCCCATTCAAGTTTATAACATTCAAGGAGGTCTTTCCTGTCTGAAACACTTTTAAAGGGGACAAAACCTATTTCGTTTTTCTCACTCAGATATCGGGATGTGGGTAGGATCAGCACCCCACCCAAACTCCACCATTATAGCTGCCATTTGAAAACTCCTGTTCTGATGAAAGGGAAGGTGATATGCAACGGGAGCTAGTTCATCAGGAATTGCAACTGTGAGAAAAATGGATGAAAATACAACCCCGAGTTCTTGATTTTGAAGAGTGAGCTATTTACTAATGGACATGTTTTAAGAGTTGGTCATTCTTTGAGCAAAGTCAACCCATGCTTTGCTTTGAATTCACTTAGGAAAGATATCGCGATAAAATTGCACAGCCATCTTTTTGTGCTTATTCCCTAAATGCTTGATTAAATTAAGAAGTTTAAGCTCATGCAATACATGGATTCTCTTGAGTTCAGATGACACTGAATCGACCTCAGGAATAGTTGCTTGACCCAATCAAATGGAAACACTCAATAGCATCTGATTCTGTTTATCAGGATGTGAAAGTCACTGGGTTCATTTCTAGCCAGAGAAGAGGGATCAGGATCCTCACTGGCCCACCTCAAAGAGGTCTCAGGGGAAGAGAGGAAGGGCTTGAGTCAATACTGTAAAACTACTGGGTGGAAGAAAGAAAATGCCTGCCTCGTATTCATTTGTCACACTGAAAAAATGAAAAGCCACATACAGAAAACTGAGCGATTGAGTTGCTTATACTTGTATTGACTGTGACTTGTGCTGACTGTGGCCATGGGGAGGATAAAGCAGAGAAAGGCCATGATTCAGGACTATCAGCTTTTGGGGTGGTGGCAGGCTCCCCCAAGTCTTACAAAGGGAGGTAACTTTGAGAAGCATCAATCTATTTTGTTTCATAACCAAACAGATTGTTAGATTGTCTATATATGATTTTTAAAAGTTAGTGTGACCCACTGCCTTTGTAACAGGACCGCCTTTGAAATCTGCCTGTCTTGGGTTCAAGTCTCTCCACACCTCCTTATCATCTGGCTAACTTGGTACAAGTTACTGAAGCTCTCTACACTTCAGTCATTTGGAGAGTGGGAATAATAATGCCACCTTGCTTGGCGTTTGTCAGGATTAGAGATGATGTATGTGAACTACCTTGTTGATATTGTTGTTGTGATTGTCATTTGACCCATAACTTCTTGTCACCATCTTTTCTGGATATCCTTTGTAGACATCATTTATACCTCAAATGATTAGTGATAATGATCCTTGCAATTTCCTCTTAACTTATTCAAAGCTAAAAATAAGAACTATATTTTAGGTGGGACTGCATATGTCTGAGCAGGAGTGTCCTTTGGGAACTTTGTATTGCATCTATTCAAAGGAATGAAAAGGGGGCATTTCTTCTTCTGAGATCAAGCCCCTGGTCTTTCTCCTTTTCCTAATGGTAGGTATATGCCCACCCCAACCCGTGTGTATGTGTGTGTGTGTGTGTGTGTGTGTGTAGTTACATAAATTGATTGATTGCTGTTGTGGTTTCAAATATTTGTAGCACTAGAACTCATTTTTTTTCCTTAAACATCTGTTACAAATTCTTAATATATAATACAATTCATGATGACTGAATTGGGGTGGGGGGGAGCTCTAGAACCCACCTGCTTAGCCATCCTCTCATTTCATGGAGTAACCCTAAAACATTTACAAGGAGACTTTGGGGTTGTGTTCAGCAAGTTTTGATAGGAAATGCTTTTGAATTCCTCAAAGTCAACCCACAAAATGTTTTCCCTGTAGTGTTATTTCCATATCTTTCTTGAGAGCCGTGAAGGTAGGAGGATTTTGTGATCAAATATGAATAGGAAATGAATTCAACAAACATAAATGGATTTTTTACAGTAGACTTTTAAAGTCTGTGGACTTCTAAGATTCACTGTGAAAAGTCAAATGGGATTTGTCACATACAGTGTTTCCCATATTACAATGACAGTGGAAAGCATTTTAATGAAAAACCCACAGGACTCTGTGTTTCTTGGAATGCAGTTTGGTAATTTTTTTTTAATAAAAGCAAATTATGATTTATAAAATAACTTCCTTAGGATGGATGGTCTTCCTTGTTAGAATTTGATAATGGGCTTAAGGAAGTTATTTTAGAACCACATAAACATGTCTTTTTCTTCTCTTGAATAAGTAGTCAGCAATAGGAATATTAACTGCCATTTTCTTTCCTCAAAACATGGGCCTAGAGATGAATTTTACATGATAGATTGGTGTTATGATATGATTGATTTAACTGTACCATGGGACAAGTAATTCATTCTCTCCTTAACAAATAGCAGGTGCTATTTTTTCAAGGAAACCACCTACATAGAAGTAAAATATCTGTTTTAGGGCTGTCAAAAATACTATGCTATGGAATTCTACATATTTTATTGCTTTGTACAGCTCATTCTTCTCCCAGGACTACCATTTCCCTTTATCAGAGTCTACAAACCAATAGGAGTATATACATAGAGTGTTTGTGACAGCTGTTTATGTTGGATCCCGTATTTCCCAGCTTTATCTCCCCGCTTCATCCCCCACCCCGACCACTGCACACGTCCACATGGTTCCATGCATTACCCATGCTCCCACATCCTGCTCTTTATAACATGCCTTTGTGCATGTGTCCATCCCGCTGCTTGAAATGCCTATTTTCTTCTTTCCTACTCATTCAACTCCTGTTCATCTTCAGAGTCAACTCAAATGCAGTTTCCTTCATGACTTCACCTTCCTCAGTTCCCCCAGTGGTTGGATCCATCACACCCTCTTCTGCATTGCATGCCACTTTGTTTGCAACTCATCCTCTGTCACCATGGGGGTTCTCCAGGAAGCAGATCCTAAGAGGGAGTTAGAAGTACAAAAGGTGTCTTAGAGAGGGAACTCTGTACAAGTAAAGGGAGGGAAGTTGGATTGGGTAGACCCTCATGCAGACCTGACAGTCTCTGCCAGACCAATGGGGAACTCTGGAGCAAAGATCGCTCAGCACAGGAGTCACTGGGCTAAGCCTTGGTGTCACCACCTTGTTCCACTATTGACCAAGCTCTGCTCTGAGCAATCCATGAGCTCGAGAGTGAGATGGAGCCTAAAGGCTCTAACAGCTGAAACCTGTCGGCTGCCCACACGTCACACAGCTGGATGGCAGGCAAGTCCTTTCCTGAAGGGTGATCTGAGTAGCACATCTCTGTGCCTGTCACATTTCCCATCCTTTTTGTTGCCTGCCAGAGTTTTTATTCCTTGACCCACATGTCCAGAAGGTTAGAGGTAGATGGGACTTTGGAGCCCATGCAGTGCAGCCTTCACATTACATTAGGAATGGAGACGTTCGTTACTTATACTGCATTATAACTTCCCTGACTGTATGATCCATTCTGAATTGGATCCCAAATCAGAATCCAGTAGATCCCCTCCTTCTTTCCGATGACACGGATCAGTATACATGTATCTGGCCACCCCAGGAGGCACTGCTTATTCCTGGGGGCCAAGAAGAATGAATGTTGATAGCTGTAAAAAAAAATAAGAACATTATTAGTGATATCGTGATATCTGCAGTAGGTCATTGTACTTTAATTATACATTTCCCAAAAAAGCAAACAGCAACCAAGAATATTGACACTTTAAATATTAGCCTTTTGTGACTTGAAGTCCCCACGCAATTACAGATAATGGAGGGGAGCTAAACTCCACAAAGCCAGATCCGCTGCAGCCATAGTTGGAAGCCTACGAACAAATGTTTGTTTGTAAAAGGAGGAAAATCAATGAGCAGAATGGGAATACATTGGAGCAGAGTTTGTTTCCCTTTCTGTTGATCAATCAGTCTTCCTAGAAGCTGCTGGGCTGTGGGGTTATCTTAGACGCATTTCCAAAGACCTGGGCTCTTGGCACTTTGTGGTGAGCAATCTTTGTGCTGTGGGGAGCAGGGGGGCTTCACTCTCCCACCAGGGTCCACTCCGCTCCTGGGGTGATGGATAATGCCTTAATTACCAAACCCAGAGCAGGTGATGTCTGTCTTCTTGGTCCTGAGGGCTCTTGATTACTTAACTCCCTCCCCAAAAGGAAACACTTTCCACATCAATAATTAAACAGAGCAATTAGGGGAATTTTAAAAGTATAATTGGACAGAATCAACTCTGTGTCCCTTGGGTATTCTATCTCTTTTTCTTTTTAATGCTCCATGCCCTCCCTCTCCTTTTTCTAAAGGATCATTTTGTGGATATAGCAGATAGGAACATAGTTCAGTGTCTTTAGTGCAGGCAAGAGAGAAAAAAAATCAGTTTAAAGGAATGAAAGAGGGGTGGAAGGTAAGTGCAGACCCAGGCTGTCTGGGTTCAGTCCTGGGACCTGCTGTTTCCCACGTATAGCAGCCTCAGCTCTTGGGGCTTGAGGAAGGCAAAGCAGGTAGGTTGTTTGGGGCTGGAACAATCCATTGTGCAGGAAGTCTCTGGAAATGGGATTCTCAGTTCCCAGAATAGTGCCCAGCCAGCAGCAAAGTATGTGGCAGCCCCCATAGAAAACCACCACTGTGGGCCGGGTGCGGTGGCTCACGCCTATAATCCCAGCACTTTGAGAGGCCAAGGCGGGTAGATCACCTGAGGTCGGGAGTTCGAGACCAGGCTGACCAACATGGAGAAACTCGTCTCTACTAAAAATACAAAAAAAAATATTAGCTGGGCGTGGTGGCACATGCCTGTAATCCCAGCTACTCGGGAGGCTGAGGCAGGAGAATCGCTTGAACCTGGGAGGCGGAGGTTGCTGTAAGCCGAGATCATGCCATTGCACTCCAGCCTGGGCAACAAGAGCGAAACTCTGTCTTAAAAAAATAAAAAATAAAATAAAATAAAAAGAAAATGACCACTGTGAGTGGCTTTAACTTTACTCTGATCTGCCTAGTATCCTCAGGTGAGGAGAATATATATTTTTTAACCTTGAGGAAATGAAAATTAATCACAGACCAACCCAATAATATATATATATATATATATATATATATATATATATATATAAAAATTAAAGTTGTATCCAAGTTCAATATGGCAATAAAAATTTTTGCTTTAAGTGTTTCCTTCCCCCCAATTCCCAGTGACATGGCCAAAGAAATAGTAGCAAGAAGGAAAAAGCACTGTCAGTAACGGAAAAAGAACAATCACCGTCTACCTACTAAAGAGCTCATAAATTCTCTAAGATACAATGCAGGGAAGTCTGGATTGAGGCGACAGCAACTGGGAAGTTGGGACAGGAGCCTCTGAAGGAAAGCTTGTTCTCAGAAGGAAGCAGAAGGGACCATCTGCAAACCCCAGAGCTCAGATACTGGGCCCCAGGGAGGGCGCACTGCAGGGCAGTGACACAGGGCAGATTCTAAGACTGCCCTGTGGAGACGCCAAGGGCCAGGACTGAACAAGCAGGATTCAGGCCTGCAGATGGCAAGGTTGGTGCCTGGAGGACTGATATCCCAGTCTCCTAGGATATCATGTCAAGTACAGCTGGGGGCTTAGTGCAGCCAGCCTCAGGTCTCAGCCTTGGCATACCAGTTCCTGTGCTGTCTCCCTGCCTCCTCCTCTTGGGATATTTATTTGACTTTTAATTTGATAAAGTAAATCACAGAAAAAAAAAAGGGTAACATTTCTCTTCTCCCTTCCTCTGGCCCTGAACAGATTTCAACAGGCACTCAGAAAAACAGAAGCTGTTTCAGTCCCAAATATGGACAAATATAGATTCACCTCTGGTGCCCTGTAAGGTCAGCAGGAAGGAACATGATCAAACATAAAACTCAGTCGTTTAGAAGAACAGAGTCAATTGGAGGGATCAGAATGAATGTCCTGCCTTCCTGACCCTCTATGATATAGAGTTTCAGTATGAAATGGGAGAAAACAGGAGAAAATCTCTAATTTGTTTTCTCCAGATTTCAGTCTGTAATTTGAAAAGGTTAACTGAGTATCATGCAAAAGTAATGAAAGTGGCCTAAATGTATCCTGATTCCAAGGAGAAAAGTTTAATCAAGGGAAAACAACAACATCAGCACACAAAAACCCTGCAATTATCTAGATGACAAAAACAGGTTGCCTCAGAGGAAAAAAAAAATAATGCTGGCATTAGATGTCTTCCTTGAAATATTACATTTCAGAAAGCATTAGCCTAATATTACAGTTTTAAGGAAAAAAAAATTAGGACAATAATTTTTAACTGTCCAAATTACCTGATATGGTTAAGGTATAAAGAAAGTTAAGACATCACAATAAAAATGAATGAACTAAAATTACATCATAATAGGAGGAATAAGAATCTGTGATCATTATTTCTTATTTGTAACAGACATACTAAAACAATATGAAATAAGTTTAAAAATGTAGGATGGTCAAAGCTGACTTACCAGACTTGCGAGTATGCAGACACACTCATACATACATACTCCAAGACAGAAAAGAAAGAAAATAAAAGAAAGCAAGCTGGGGTAACAAAATTAGCATCAGGCAAAGTAAAATTCAAGGTAAAACATGTTAAATAAAACAAAAATATCTATTTTTAATAATCAAGGGTATAATTTATAGCTTAATATTTATGAACCTTTATGTAGTAGATGGCATAACCACTAACATCAAAATATATGACATGAAAGCTGTTAGAAATGCAAGCAGTGACTTTTAAAATTTACTTTTACTTTTATTTGGAAACAATTATAGATTTGTAGGAATGTGAATAAATTTTGCAGAAAGTTCCTATGTACCCTTCACCCAGCCTCTCCCAATGTTATCACCTTCTATAACTATTGTACCATATTAAAGCCAGGAAATTGATATTGATACAATCCATAGAACACGTAGAAATTTTTTAAAAATACCACAGTACTGGTGGAATATTCTAATACATTCATTTGAACTTTTGCCAGAGCAATTGGAAAAACAAGAATAAATATAGAAATATCAAAAATATGCTTAAGCCGGGCTCAATGGCGCACACCTGTAATCCCAACACTTTGGGAGGCTGAGGCAGGCAGCTCACCAGAGTCCTCCCCCTGGGCAACGTGGTGATACCCCATATCTACAAAAAAAACAAAAATTAGCCGGGTGTGGTAGTGTGTGCCTGTAGTCTCAGCTACTCAGGAGGCTGACTCAGGAGGATCGCTTGAGCCCTGGAGCTTGAGGCTGCAGTGAGCCGAGATCATGTCACTGCACTCTGGCCTGGGTGACAGAGTGAGACCCTGTCTCAAATATATAGGCTTAATTTTGATGTGATAAATAGCTATCAGAAGGCTACTTATCCACACAGAAAATAGTCGTTTCAAAAGTCTGTGATGTATTTGTAAAATGTGTATATACTTGGCCACAAACTCATACTCTGTGAGTGACAAGTAATAACAAAGGAAAAATAAAATTAATAAAATCAATATAAGGTTAAAAACTATTTTTTAAAACCTGTAAAGAGGAAATCAAACATGCAGCTAAAGACCATGTATGTAAGAGCCAAATGATAACACTATATACCTATCATGTTTGTACAGTCAGTGATGTAAATAGAATGAATTCACATTTTTATGTATTTTAATATTAAGGTAGGAAGAATGAAAATGGGTAAATAAGCATTCATGCCCCCAAACTTGAAAAAGAACAAAAAGTAATAAAACAATGAGACTAGATACGGCCAAAAATAACAAAGAAATTATAAAACATACATTACATAACTCTACAATAATGAATTTTAGATATATCTGAAATAAATTCTCTATCAAAAGACACAAGTTGCTAAAACTCTCTGTGGGAAACAAAGCAGGCAAAAACAACCAATTGAAAACAGGCAAAAACTTACCGAGAGAAAACTATTGGAGATTTTTCCGTGTAAAACTAACTCTTATCTATTTTCTGTAGCACCCAGAAAACCTCTCTTAGTGTGGAGGGCACAAATTCTATGGAAAGTTCTTTCCAGGGGCAATAGCAATCCACCATTATCAGATCTGCCATTTCTCAACATCTTTGCAACATTTGATATTCAACACCATAGATCACAGGTACATTTAAAAATGATTTCCTGCATCCTTTTCGTTTCCTCTTCCATATGACACTGCCCTCTGTCTTCGTAATTTTCCCCCAAATGTGGGCTCTCAAATATCCAGGCTTTGTCTTACCCATTACTACGTTATTTGTTTCCGTTAACTGATCCAGTTTCCTGCTCAAGAAATTAACTAGACTGGCCATATTCTTTGTCGTTTCCTTGTTATTTCACCCACTTTCCACACAACTATATGGCCAGTTCTTCAAATGCAGATTGGGTTGTTTTTTTCTTTTCTAGAAAGGAAATATTTAAGAAAAAAATAGAGAAAGCTTCACTTTGTCTTTAGCTTGATCCTAGAGTCTCAGATGCTGGACTCTTGAGACCTAGTTCATCCTCTGTCTTCTGTGAACTTCCTAGCTTGTATAACTTCTCACTTCTGCCTTTGGTTTCCATCTTGACCCTTTTCTATTTTTTTTCTAAGTATTCGGCATTTCTCACTCACCCTAGCTGTCTGTTTTAGCTTTACCACTCTGGATAAAGCTCCACTTCTGTGTTCTATGGTTACCACAAACTTATGGCCAAAACTGAAAAGGTTATCTTTTGTACTTGCTTTGTGTGTGTGTGTGTGTGTGTGTGTGTGTCTCTCTGTGTGTGTGTGGTGTGTGTGTGTGTGTGATTATGAAGCTTGACTTGACTTGAAACAGCTTTGGTATCATTAAATATTATTTTGCCATTTTTTTATTGTTTCAGTTTTTATGTGTTCATGCATATGCCCCCAACTGACAGCAAATGCCATTTTCTTGTCTAATTTGACTTGATATTAACCATCTGACCTGTGTCATCTGTCTGTAAAGTGAGATTTAAATACACATTGCTTAATAATTGTCTCCTGAAATATATAATAAGCCCAGAGATGGCAAGATTGGGCAGCTTTGCACATATTTTGCTATTTCCTTCAGCATATAGACTCCCTAATCTCCTGAATGACCCATGATATTTTGTTTTGATACTTTTATATTATCTAAGGTAGACAGAAATCACTAAACTTGTGTTAATAAGGTAGAAAACAAAGTGCCCATTAGTTGTTGAAAGAAAACCATATTAAATTAAAACAACCAAACAAAAGCATACAATACAATATTGAAGAGAAATAGAGATTTCTAAGTGGGAGACTATAACCCATCTCTTAGTAATAGCACAGATAAATAATAGGCTTTCTGAGGGTCAAGATACTCTCTCGGTATTGTTAACTTTTTTTTTTTTACCATAATCCATGTTATTTATCTGCATATACATACATACAAACAGATGAATATGAAATACATGTTCACGAAACAATTACTTCTCTTATGCTATGCTGTCTGATATTTTTTATCTGATCCTATTTTGCTGTATTCCACTTTTTAAATTAAATGTTGGTGGCAATTTTCTAAAGCAGTGGTTTTCATCAGAGGACAGTTTTGCCCCCAGGAGACATTTGGCCACGTCTGGAGACACTAGCAGTTGTTATCACACCCTAGAGGGGGAGTGGAGGGAAGGGAGGTTGCTACTGGCATCTATCTATTCAGTCCAGAGATGCTGCCTAAATTTTACAATGCATAGAACAGCCCCCAAACAAAGAATTATCCATCCTGGAACGTCAGTCGTGTTGGGGTTGAGAAACTCCTATCTAAAGAGTTGTATCCACAGATGTAAACACACTTCCCTCAATCCTAGGGTTACCAAGAAGAGAGGAACATTGCCTGTAACAATATGATAAAGTTCTTCTAAGAGGAATAATTAGAGCAATTTTTGTCTATATGAAGACCCCACAAAGTAGGCCCATCTTTCCTATTATAGTGCTTGATGTACTCTTTCTTCAAGTTTATATCAACTTGTGAGACCTTGAAGGCCATGCAGGGCACGTTGAGGTTAAACGTTAACGAATGCCTCTCTAAGTGTCCATGAAAGCGGATTCATCACTCGGGGAGATTAGCTGTGTTGGGTTAGAACTAATGAGCTTTGAGTGCCAGTAGTTGCTATGTGAGCTTAGTGGGGCATTGAAACTCAACAGCACTCAACTTCTTTCTGACCTGCCTGG